>NC_000018.10:19651058-19954518 GCF_000001405.40 Homo sapiens
CAACTAAAGGAGTAGAACCTTTCTTTTCATAGAGAAGTTTTGAAACGCTCTTTTTGTGGAATCTGCAAGTGGATATTTGGCTAGTTTTGAGGATTTCGTTGGAAGCGGGAATTCATACAAATTGCAGACTGCAGCGTTCTGAGAAACATCTTTGTGATGTTTGTATTCAGGACACAGAGTTGAACATTCCGTATCATAGAGCAGGTTTGAATCACTCCTTTCGTAGTATCTGGAAGTGGACATTTGGAGCGCTTTCAGGCCTATGTTGGAAAAGGAAATATCTTCCCATAACAACTAGACAGAAGCATTCTCAGAAACTTATTTGAGATGTGTGTACTCAACTAAGAGAATTGAACCACCGTTTTGAAGGAGCAGTTTTGAAACACTCTTTTTCTGGAATCTGCAAGTGGATATTTGGCTAGCTTTGGGGATTTCGCTGGAAGCGGGAATACATATAAAAACACACAGCAGCGTTCTGAGAAACTGCTTTCTGATGTTTGCATTCAAGTCAAAAGTTGAACACTCCCTTTCATAGAGCAGTCCTGAAACACTCCTTTTGTAGTATCTGGAACTGGACTTTTGGAGCGCTTTCAGGGCTAAGGTGAAAAAGGAAATATCTTCCCATAAAAACTGGACAGAAGCATTCTCAGAAACTTGTTTATGCTGTATCTACTCAACTAACAAAGTTGAACCTTTCTTTTGATAGAGCAGTTTTGAAATGGTCTTTTTGTGGAATCTGCAAGTGGATATTTGGCTAGTTTTGAGGATTTCGTTGGAAGCGGGAATTCATACAAATTGCAGACTGCAGCGTTCTGAGAAACATCTTTGTGATGTTTGTATTCAGGACACAGAGTTGAACATTCCCTATCATAGAGCAGGTTGGAATCACTCCTTTTGTAGTATCTGGAAGTGGACATTTGGAGCGCTTTCAGGCCTATTTTGGAAAGGGAAATATCTTCCCGTAACAACTATGCAGAAGCATTCTCAGAAACTTGTTTGTGATGTGTGCCCTCTACTGACAGAGTTGAACCTTTCTTTTCATAGAGCAGTTTTGAAACACTCTTTTTGTAGAATCTGCAAGAGGATATTTGCATAGCTTTGAGGATTTCGTGGGAAACGGGATTGTCTTCAGGTAAAATCTAGACAGAAGCATTCTCAGAAACTTCTTTGGGATGTTTGCATTCAAGTCACAGAGTAGAACATTCCCTTTGGTAGAGCAGGTTTGAAACACTCTTTTTGTAGTATCTGGAAGTGGACATTTGGAGCGCTTTCAGGCCTATGTTGGAAAGGGAAATATCTTCCGGTAACAACTAGGCAGAAGCATTCTCAGAAACTTATTTGAGATGTGTGTACTCAACTAAGAGAATTGAACCACCGTTTTGAAGGAGCAGTTTTGAAACACTCTTTTTCTGGAATCTGCAAGAGTATATTTGCCTAGCCTTGAGGATTTCGTTGGAAACGGGATTGTCTTCAGAGAAAATCTAGACAGAAGCATTCTCAGAAACTTCTTTGGGATGCTTGCATTCAAGTCACAGAGTAGAACATTCCCTTTGGTAGAGCAGGTTTGAAACACTCTTTTTGTAGTATCTGGAAGTGGACATTTGGAGCGCTTTCAGGCCTACGTTGGAAAAGGAAATATCTTCCCATAACAACTAGACAGAAGCATTCTCAGAAACTAGTTTCTGATGTGTGTCCTCAACTAACACAGTTGAACATTTCTTTAGACAGAACAGTTTTGAAACACTCTTTTTGTGGAATCTGCAAGTGGCTATTTGGCTAGATTTGAGGATTTCGTTGGAAACGGGATTACATATAAAAAGCAGTCAGCAGCATTCTCAGAAAGTTCTTTGTGATGATTGCATTCAAGTCACAGAATTGAACATTCCCTTTCACAGAGCAGGTTTGAAACACTCTTTTTGTAGTGTGTGTAAGTGGACATTTGGAGCACTTACCGGCCTAAGGTGAAAAAGGAAATATCTTCCCATAAAAACTAGACAGAAGCATTCTCAGAAACTTACTCGTGATGTGTGTCCTCAACTAAAGGAGTAGAACCTTCCTTTTCATAGAGAAGTTTTGAAACGCTCTTTTTGTGGAATCTGCAAGTGGATATTTGGCTAGTTTTGAGGATTTCCGTTGGAAGCGGGAATTCATACAAATTGCAGACTGCAGCGTTCTGAGAAACATCTTTGTGATGTTTGTATTCAGGACACAGAGTTGAACATTCCCTATCATAGAGCAGGTTGGAATCACTCCTTTTGTAGTATCTGGAAGTGGACATTTGGAGCGCTTTCAGGCCTATGTTGGAAAAGGAAATATCTTCCCATAACAACTAGACAGAAGCATTCTCAGAAACTTATTTGAGATGTGTGTACTCAACTAAGAGAATTGAACCACCGTTTTGAAGGAGCAGTTTTGAAACACTCTTTTTCTGGAATCTGCAAGTGGATATTTGGCTAGCTTTGGGGATTTCGCTGGAAGCGGGAATACATATAAAAAGCACACAGCAGCGTTCTGAGAAACTGCTTTCTGATGTTTGCATTCAAGTCAAAAGTTGAACACTCCCTTTCATAGAGCAGTCCTGAAACACTCCTTTTGTAGTATCTGGAACTGGACTTTTGGAGCGCTTTCAGGGCTAAGGTGAAAAAGGAAATATCTTCCCATAAAAACTGGACAGAAGCATTCTCAGAAACTTGTTTATGCTGTATCTACTCAACTAACAAAGTTGAACCTTTCTTTTGATAGAGCAGTTTTGAAATGGTCTTTTTGTGGAATCTGCAAGTGGATATTTGGCTAGTTTTGAGGATTTCGTTGGAAGCGGGAATTCATACAAATTGCAGACTGCAGCGTTCTGAGTAACATCATTGTGATGTTTGTATTCAGGACACAGAGTTGAACATTCCCTATCATAGAGCAGGTTGGAATCACTCCTTTTGTAGTATCTGGAAGTGGACATTTGGAGCGCTTTCAGGCCTATGTTGAAAAAGGAAATATCTTCCCATAACAAATAGACACAAGCATTCTCAGAAACTTGTTTGTGATGTGTGCCCTCTACTGACAGAGTTGAACCTTTCTTTTCATAGAGCAGTTCTGAAACACTCTTTTTGTAGAATCTGCAAGAGGATATTTGCATAGCTTTGAGGATTTCGTGGGAAACGGGATTGTCTTCAGGTAAAATCTAGACAGAAGCATTCTCAGAAACTTCTTTGGGATGTTTGCATTCAAGTCACAGAGTAGAACATTCCCTTTGGTAGAGCAGGTTTGAAACACTCTTTTTGTAGTATCTGGAAGTGGACATTTGGAGCGCTTTCAGGCCTATGTTGGAAAGGGAAATATCTTCCCGTAACAACTAGGCAGAAGCATTCTCAGAAACTTATTTGAGATGTGTGTACTCAACTAAGAGAATTGAACCACCGTTTTGAAGGAGCAGTTTTGAAACAGTCTTTTTCTGGAATCTGCAAGAATATATTTGCCTAGCCTTGATGATTTCGTTGGAAACGGGATTGTATTCAGATAAAATCTAGACAGAAGCATTCTCAGAAACTTCTTTGGGATGTTTGCATTCAAGTCACAGAGTAGAACATTCCCTTTGGTAGAGCAGGTTTGAAACACTCTTTTTTTAGTATATGGAAGTGGACATTTTGATCGCTTTCAGGCCTACGTTGGAACAGGAAATATCTTCCCATAACAACTAGACAGAAGCATTCTCAGAAACTAGTTTCTGATGTGTGTCCTCAACTAACACAGTTGAACATTTCTTTAGACAGAACAGTTTTGAAACACTCTTTTTGTGGAATCTGCAAGTGGATATTTGGCTAGATTTGAGGATTTCGTTGGAAACGGGATTACATATAAAAAGCAGACAGCAGCATTCTCAGAAACTTCTTTGTGATGATTGCATTCAAGTCACAGAATTGAACATTCCCTTTCACAGAGCAGGTTTGAAACACTCTTTTTGTAGTGTGTGTAAGTGGATATTTGGAGCGCTTTCCGGCCTAAAGTGAACAAGGAAATATCTTCCCATAAAAACTAGACAGAAGCATTCTCAGAAACTTACTCGTGATGTGTGTCCTCAACTAAAGAAGTAGAACCTTTCTTTTCATAGAGAAGTTTTGAAACGCTCTTTTTGTGGAATCTGCAAGTGGATATTTGGCTAGTTTGGAGGATTTCGTTGGAAGCGGGAATTCATACAAATTGCAGACTGCAGCGTTCTGAGAAACATCTTTGTGATGTTTGTATTCAGGACACAGAGTTGAACATTCCCTATCATAGAGCAGGTTTGAATCACTCCTTTTGTAGTATCTGGAAGTGGACATTTGGAGCGCTTTCAGGCCTATGTTGGAAAAGGAAATATCTTCCCATAACAACTAGACAGAAGCATTCTCAGAAACTTATTTGAGATGTGTGTACTCAACTAAGAGAATTGAACCACCGTTTTGAAGGAGCAGTTTTGAAACTCTCTTTTTCTGGAATCTGCAAGTGGATATTTGGCTAGCTTTGGGGATTTCGCTGGAAGCGGGAATACATATAAAAAGCACACAGCAGCGTTCTGAGAAACTGCTTTCTGATGTTTGCATTCAAGTCAAAAGTTGAACACTCCCTTTCATAGAGCAGTCTTGAAACACCCCTTTTGTAGTATCTGGAACTGGACATTTGGAGCGCTTTCAGGGCTAAGGTGAAAAAGGAAATATCTTCCCATAAAAACTGGACAGAAGCATTCTCAGAAACTTGTTTATGCTGTATCTACTCAACTAACAAAGTTGAACCTTTCTTTTGATAGAGCAGTTTTGAAATGGTCTTTTTGTGGAATCTGCAAGTGGATATTTGGCTAGTTTTGAGGATTTCGTTGGAAGCGGGAATTCATACAAATTGCAGACTGCAGCGTTCTGAGAAACATCTTTGTGATGTTTGTATTCAGGACAGAGAGTTGAACATTCCCTATCATAGAGCAGGTTGGAATCACTCCTTTTGTAGTATCTGGAAGTGGACATTTGGAGCGCTTTCAGGCCTATGTTGAAAAAGGAAATATCTTCCCATAACAACTAGACACAAGCATTCTCGGAAACTTGTTTGTGATGTGTGCCCTCTACTGACAGATTTGAACCTTTCTTTTCATAGAGCAGTTTTGAAACACTCTTTTTGTAGAATCTGCAAGAGGATATTTGCATAGCTTTGAGGATTTCGTGGGAAACGGGATTGTCTTCAGGTAAAATCTGGACAGAAGCATTCTCAGAAACTTCTTTGGGATGTTTGCATTCAAGTCACAGAGTAGAACATTCCCTTTGGTAGAGCAGGTTTGAAACACTCTTTTTGTAGTATCTGGAAGTGGACATTTGGAGCGCTTTCAGGCCTATGTTGGAAAGGGAAATATCTTCCCGTAACAACTAGGCAGAAGCATTCTCAGAAACTTATTTGAGATGTGTGTACTGAACTAAGAGAATTGAACCACCGTTTTGAAGGAGCAGGTTTGAAACACTCTTTTTGTAGTATCTGGAAGTGGACATTTGGAGCGCTTTCAGGCCTATGTTGGAAAGGGAAATATCTTCCCGTAACAACTAGGCAGAAGCATTCTCAGAAACTTATTTGAGATGTGTGGACTCAACGAAGAGAATTGAACCACCGTTTTGAAGGAGCAGTTTTGAAACACTCTTTTTCTGGAATCTGCAAGAGTATATTTGCCTAGCCTTGAGGATTTCGTTGGAAACGGGATTGTCTTCAGATAAAATCTAGACAGAAGCATTCTCAGAAACTTCTTTGGGATGTTTGCATTCAAGTCACAGAGTAGAACATTCCCTTTGGTAGAGCAGGTTTGAAACACTCTTTTTTTAGTATATGGAAGTGGACATTTGGAGCGCTTTCAGGCCTACGTTGGAAAAGGAAATATCTTCCCATAACAACTAGACAGAAGCATTCTCAGAAACTAGTTTCTGATGTGTGTCCTCAACTAACACAGTTGAACATTTCTTTAGACAGAACAGTTTTGAAACACTCTTTTTGTGGAATCTGCAAGTGGCTATTTGGCTAGATTTGAGGATTTCGTTGGAAACGGGATTACATATAAAAAGCAGACAGCAGCATTCTCAGAAAGTTCTTTGTGATGATTGCATTCAAGTCACAGAATTGAACATTCCCTTTCACAGAGCAGGTTTGAAACACTCTTTTTGTAGTGTGTGTAAGTGGACATTTGGAGCACTTTCCGGCCTAAGGTGAAAAAGGAAATATCTTCCCTTAAAAACTAGACAGAAGCATTCTCAGAAACTTACTCGTGATGTGTGTCCTCAACTAAAGGAGTAGAACCTTTCTTTTCATAGAGAAGTTTTGAAACGCTCTTTTTGTGGAATCTGCAAGTGGATATTTGGCTAGTTTTGAGGATTTCGTTGGAAGCGGGAATTCATACAAATTGCAGACTGCAGCATTCTCAGAAACTTATTTGAGATGTGTGTACTCAACTAAGAGAATTGAACCACCGTTTTGAAGGAGCAGTTTTGAAACACTCTTTTTCTGGAATCTGCAAGTGGATATTTGGCTAGCTTTGGGGATTTCGCTGGAAGCGGGAATACATATAAAAAGCCCACAGCAGCGTTCTGAGAAACTGCTTTCTGATGTTTGCATTCAAGTCAAAAGTTGAACACTCCCTTTCATAGTGCAGTCCTGAAACACTCCTTTTGTAGTATCTGGAACTGGACTTTTGGAGCGCTTTCAGGGCTAAGGTGAAAAAGGAAATATCTTCCCATAAAAACTGGACAGAAGCATTCTCAGAAACTTGTTTATGCTGTATCTACTCAACTAACAAAGTTGAACCTTTCTTTTGATAGAGCAGTTTTGAAATGCTCTTTTTGTGGAATCTGCAAGTGGATATTTGGCTAGTTTTGAGGATTTCGTTGGAAGCGGGAATTCATACAAATTGCAGACTGCAGCGTTCTGAGAAACATCTTTGTGATGTTTGTATTCAGGACAGAGAGTTGAACATTCCCTATCATAGAGCAGGTTGGAATCACTCCTTTTGTAGTATCTGGAAGTGGACATTTGGAGCACTTTCCGGCCTAAGGTGAAAAAGGAAATATCTTCCCATAACAACTAGACAGAAGCATTCTCAGAAACTTGTTTGTGATGTGTGCCCTCTACTGACAGAGTTGAACCTTTCTTTTCATAGAGCAGTTTTGAAACACTCTTTTTGTAGAATCTGCAAGAGGATATTTGCATAGCTTTGAGGATTTCGTGGGAAACGGGATTGTCTTCAGGTAAAATCTAGACAGAAGCATTCTCAGAAACTTCTTTGGGATGTTTGCATTCAAGTCACAGAGTAGAACATTCCCTTTGGTAGAGCAGGTTTGAAACACTCTTTTTGTAGTATCTGGAAGTGGACATTTGGAGCGCTTTCAGGCCTATGTTGGAAAGGGAAATATCTTCCCGTAACAACTAGGCAGAAGCATTCTCAGAAACTTATTTGAGATGTGTGTACTCAACTAAGAGAATTGAACCACCGTTTTGAAGGAGCAGTTTTGAAACACTCTTTTTCTGGAATCTGCAAGAGTATATTTGCCTAGCCTTGAGGATTTCGTTGGAAACGGGATTGTATTCAGATAAAATCTAGACAGAAGCATTCTCAGAAACTTCTTTGGGATGTTTGCATTCAAGTCACAGAGTAGAACATTCCCTTTGGTAGAGCAGGTTTGAAACACTCTTTTTTTAGTATATGGAAGTGGACATTTTGATCGCTTTCAGGACTACGTTGGAAAAGGAAATATCTTCCCAAAACAACTAGACAGAAGCATTCTCAGAAACTAGTTTCTGATGTGTGTCCTCAACTAACACAGTTGAACATTTCTTTAGACAGAACAGTTTTGAAACACTCTTTTTGTGGAATCTGCAAGTGGCTATTTGGCTAGATTTGAGGATTTCGTTGGAAACGGGATTACATATAAAAAGCAGACAGCAGCATTCTCAGAAAGTTCTTTGTGATGATTGCATTCAAGTCACAGAATTGAACATTCCCTTTCACAGAGCAGGTTTGAAACACTCTTTTTGTAGTGTGTGTAAGTGGACATTTGGAGCACTTTCCGGCCTAAGGTGAAAAAGGAAATATCTTCCCATACAAACTAGACAGAAGCACTCTCAGAAACTTACTCGTGATGTGTGTCCTCAACTAAAGGAGTAGAACCTTTCTTTTCATAGAGAAGTTTTGAAACGCTCTTTTTGTGGAATCTGCAAGTGGATATTTGGCTAGTTTGGAGGATTTCGTTGGAAGCGGGAATTCATACAAATTGCAGACTGCAGCGTTCTGAGAAACATCTTTGTGATGTTTGTATTCAGGACACAGAGTTGAACATTCCCTATCATAGAGCAGGTTTGAATCATTCCTTTTGTAGTATCTGGAAGTGGACATTTGGAGCGCTTTCAGGCCTATGTTGGAAAAGGAAATATCTTCCCATAACAAGTAGACAGAAGCATTCTCAGAAACTTATTTGAGATGTGTGTACTCAACTAAGAGAATTGAATCACCGTTTTGAAGGAGCAGTTTTGAAACACTCTTTTTCTGGAATCTGCAAGTGGATATTTGGCTAGCTTTGGGGATTTCGCTGGAAGCGGGAATACATATAAAAAGCACACAGCAGCGTTCTGAGAAACTGCTTTCTGATGTTTGCATTCAAGTCAAAAGTTGAACACTCCCTTTCATAGTGCAGTCCTGAAACACTCCTTTTGTAGTATCTGGAACTGGACTTTTGGAGCGCTTTCAGGGCTAAGGTGAAAAAGGAAATATCTTCCCATAAAAACTGGACAGAAGCATTCTCAGAAACTTGTTTATGCTGTATCTACTCAACTAACAAAGTTGAACCTTTCTTTTGATAGAGCAGTTTTGAAATGCTCTTTTTGTGGAATCTGCAAGTGGATATTTGGCTAGTTTTGAGGATTTCGTTGGAAGCGGGAATTCATACAAATTGCAGACTGCAGCGTTCTGAGAAACATCTTTGTGATGTTTGTATTCAGGACAGAGAGTTGAACATTCCCTATCATAGAGCAGGTTGGAATCACTCCTTTTGTAGTATCTGGAAGTGGACATTTGCAGCGCTTTCTGGCCTATGTTGAAAAAGGAAATATCTTCCCATAACAACTAGACACAAGCATTCTCAGAAACTTGTTTGTGATGTGTGCCCTCTACTGACAGAGTTGAACCTTTCTTTTCATAGAGCAGTTTTGAAACACTCTTTTTGTAGAATCTGCAAGAGGATATTTGCATAGCTTTGAGGATTTCGTGGGAAACGGGATTGTCTTCAGGTAAAATCTAGACAGAAGCATTCTCAGAAACTTCTTTGGGATGTTTGCATTCAAGTCACAGAGTAGAACATTCCCTTTGGTAGAGCAGGTTTGAAACACTCTTTTTGTAGTATCTGGAAGTGGACATTTGGAGCGCTTTCAGGCCCATGTTGGAAAGGGAAATATCTTCCCGTAACAACTAGGCAGAAGCATTCTCAGAAACTTATTTGAGATGTGTGTACTCAACTAAGAGAATTGAACCACCGTTTTGAAGGAGCAGTTTTGAAACACTCTTTTTCTGGAATCTGCAAGAGGATATTTGCCTAGCCTTGAGGATTTCGTTGGAAACGGGATTGTCTTCAGATCAAATCTAGACAGAAGCATTCTCAGAAACTTCTTTGGGATGTTTGCATTCATGTCACAGAGTAGAACATTCCCTTTGGTAGAGCAGGTTTGAAACACTCTTTTTTTAGTATATGGAAGTGGACATTTGGAGCGCTTTCAGGCCTACGTTGGAAAAGGAAATATCTTCCCATAACAACTAGACAGAAGCATTCTCAGAAACTAGTTTCTGATGTGTGTCCTCAACTAACACAGTTGAACATTTCTTTAGACAGAACAGTTTTGAAACACTCTTTTTGTGGAATCTGCAAGTGGCTATTTGGCTAGATTTGAGGATTTCGTTGGAAACGGGATTACATATAAAAAGCAGACAGCAGCATTCTCAGAAAGTTCTTTGTGATGATTGCATTCAAGTCACAGAATTGAACATTCCCTTTCACAGAGCAGGTTTGAAACACTCTTTTTGTAGTGTGTGTAAGTGGACATTTGGAGCACTTTCCGGCCTAAGGTGAAAAAGGAAATATCTTCCCATAAAAACTAGACAGAAGCATTCTCAGAAACTTACTCGTGATGTGTGTCCTCAACTAAAGGAGTAGAACCTTTCTTTTCATAGAGAAGTTTTGAAACCCTCTTTTTGTGGAATCTGCAAGTGGATATTTGGCTAGTTTTGAGGATTTCGTTGGAAGCGGGAATTCATACAAATTGCAGACTGCAGCGTTCTGAGAAACATCTTTGTGATGTTTGTATTCAGGACACAGAGTTGAACATTCCCTATCATAGAGCAGGTTTGAATCACTCCTTTTGTAGTATCTGGAAGTGGACATTTGGAGCGCTTTCAGGCCTATGTTGGAAAAGGAAATATCTTCCCATAACAACTAGACAGAAGCATTCTCAGAAACTTATTTGAGATGTGTGTACTCAACTAAGAGAATTGAACCACCGTTTTGAAGGAGCAGTTTTGAAACTCTCTTTTTCTGGAATCTGCAAGTGGATATTTGGCTAGCTTTGGGGATTTCGCTGGAAGCGGGAATACATATAAAAAGCACACAGCAGCGTTCTGAGAAACTGCTTTCTGATGTTTGCATTCAAGTCAAAAGTTGAACACTCCCTTTCATAGAGCAGTCCTGAAACACTCCTTTTGTAGTATCTGGAACTGGACTTTTGGAGCGCTTTCAGGGCTAAGGTGAAAAAGGAAATATCTTCCCATAAAAACTGGACAGAAGCATTCTCAGAAACTTGTTTATGCTGTATCTACTCAACTAACAAAGTTGAACCTTTCTTTTGATAGAGCAGTTTTGAAATGGTCTTTTTGTGGAATCTGCAAGTGGATATTTGGCTAGTTTTGAGGATTTCGTTGGAAGCGGGAATTCATACAAATTGCAGACTGCAGCGTTCTGAGAAACATCTTTGTGATGTTTGTATTCAGGACACAGAGTTGAACATTCCCTATCATAGAGCAGGTTGGAATCACTCCTTTTGTAGTATCTGGAAGTGGACATTTGGAGCGCTTTCAGGCCTATTTTGGAAAGGGAAATATCTTCCCGTAACAACTATGCAGAAAGCATTCTCAGAAACTTGTTTGTGATGTGTGCCCTCTACTGACAGAGTTGAACCTTTCTTTTCTTAGAGCAGTTTTGAAACACTCTTTTTGTAGAATCTGCAAGAGGATATTTGCATAGCTTTGAGGATTTCGTGGGAAACGGGATTGTCTTCAGGTAAAATCTAGACAGAAGCATTCTCAGAAACTTCTTTGGGATGTTTGCATTCAAGTCACAGAGTAGAACATTCCCTTTGGTAGAGCAGGTTTGAAACACTCTTTTTGTAGTATCTGGAAGTGGACATTTGGAGCGCTTTCAGGCCCATGTTGGAAAGGGAAATATCTTCCCGTAACAACTAGGCAGAAGCATTCTCAGAAACTTATTTGAGATGTGTGTACTCAACTAAGAGAATTGAACCACCGTTTTGAAGGAGCAGTTTTGAAACCCTCTTTTTCTGGAATCTGCAAGAGTATATTTGCCTAGCCTTGAGGATTTCGTTGGAAATGGGATTGTCTTCAGATAAAATCTAGACAGAAGCATTCTCAGAAACTTCTTTGGGATGTTTGCATTCAAGTCACAGAGTAGAACATTCCCTTTGGTAGAGCAGGTTTGAAACACTCTTTTTTTAGTATATGGAAGTGGACATTAGGAGCGCTTTCAGGCCTACGTTGGAAAAGGAAATATCTTCCCATAACAACTAGACAGAAGCATTCTCAGAAACTAGTTTCTGATGTGTGTCCTCAACTAACACAGTTGTATATTTCTTTAGACAGAACAGTTTTGAAACACTCTTTTTGTGGAATCTGCAAGTGGATATTGGGCTAGATTTGAGGATTTCGTTGGAAACGGGATTACATATAAAAAGCAGTCAGCAGCATTCTCAGAAAGTTCTTTGTGATGATTGCATTCAAGTCACAGAATTGAACATTCCCTTTCATAGAGCAGGTTTGAAACACTCTTTTTGTAGTGTGTGTAAGTGGACATTTGGAGCGCTTTCCGGCCTAAGGTGAAAAAGGACATATCTTCCCATAAAAACTAGACAGAAGCATTCTCAGAAACTTACTCGTGATGTGTGTCCTCAACTAAAGGAGTAGAACCTTTCTATTCATAGAGAAGTTTTGAAACGCTCTTTTTGTGGAATCTCCAAGTGGATATTTGGCTAGTTTTGAGGATTTCGTTGGAAGCGGGAATTCATACAAATTGCAGACTGCAGCGTTCTGAGAAACATCTTTGTGATGTTTGTATTCAGGACACAGAGATGAACATTCCCTATCATAGAGCAGGTTGGAATCACTCCTTTTGTAGTATCTGGAAGTGGACATTTGGAGCGCTTTCAGGCCTATGTTGAAAAAGGAAATATCTTCCCATAACAACTAGACACAAGCATTCTCAGAAACTTATTTGAGATGTGTGTACTCAACTAAGAGAATTGAACCACCGTTTTGAAGGAGCAGTTTTGAAACACTCTTTTTCTGGAATCTGCAAGTGGATATTTGGCTAGCTTTGGGGATTTCGCTGGAGGCGGGAATACATATAAAAAGCACACAGCAGCGTTCTGAGAAACTGCTTTCTGATGTTTGCATTCAAGTCAAAAGTTGAACACTCCCTTTCATAGTGCAGTCCTGAAACACTCCTTTTGTAGTATCTGGAACTGGACTTTTGGAGCGCTTTCAGGGCTAAGGTGAAAAAGGAAATATCTTCCCATAAAAACTGGACAGAAGCATTCTCAGAAACTTGTTTATGCTGTATCTACTCAACTAACAAAGTTGAACCTTTCTTTTGATAGAGCAGTTTTGAAATGGTCTTTTTGTGGAATCTGCAAGTGGATATTTGGCTAGTTTTGAGGATTTCGTTGGAAGCGGGAATTCATACAAATTGCAGACTGCAGCGTTCTGAGAAACATCTTTGTGATGTTTGTATTCAGGACACAGATTTGAACATTCCCTATCATAGAGCAGGTTGGAATCACTCCTTTTGTAGTATCTGGAAGTGGACATTTGGAGCGCTTTCAGGCCTATGTTGGAAAAGGAAATATCTTCCCATAACAACTAGACAGAAGCATTCTCAGAAACTTATTTGAGATGTGTGTACTCAACTAAGAGAATTGAACCACCGTTTTGAAGGAGCAGTTTTGAAACACTCTTTTTCTGGAATCTGCAAGTGGATATTTGGCTAGCTTTGGGGATTTCGCTGGAGGCGGGAATACATATAAAAAGCACACAGCAGCGTTCTGAGAAACTGCTTTCTGATGTTTGCATTCAAGTCAAAAGTTGAACACTCCCTTTCATAGAGCAGTCCTGAAACACTCCTTTTGTAGTATCTGGAACTGGACTTTTGGAGCGCTTTCAGGGCTGAGGTGAAAAAGGAAATATCTTCCCATAAAAACTGGACAGAAGCATTCTCAGAAACTTGTTTATGCTGTATCTACTCTACTAACAAAGTTGAACCTTTCTTTTGATAGAGCAGTTTTGAAATGCTCTTTTTGTGGAATCTGCAAGTGGATATTTGGCTAGATTTGAGGATTTCGTTGGAAGCTGGAATTCATACAAATTGCAGACTGCAGCGTTCTGAGAAACATCTTTGTGATGTTTGTATTCAGGACACAGAGTTGAACATTCCCTATCATAGAGCAGGTTGGAATCACTCCTTTTGTAGTATCTGGAAGTGGACATTTGGAGCGCTTTCAGGCCTATGTTGAAAAAGGAAATATCTTCCCATAACAACTAGACACAAGCATTCTCAGAAACTTGTTTGTGATGTGTGCCCTCTACTGACAGAGTTGAACCTTTCTTTTCATAGAGCAGTTTTGAAACACTCTTTTTGTAGAATCTGCAAGAGGATATTTGCATAGCTTTGAGGATTTCGTGGGAAACGGGATTGTCTTCAGGTAAAATCTAGACAGAAGCATTCTCAGAAACTTCTTCGGGATGTTTGCATTCAAGTCACAGAGTAGAACATTCCCTTCGGTAGAGCAGGTTTGAAACACTCTTTTTGTAGTATCTGGAAGTGGACATTTGTTGCGCTTTCAGGCCTATGTTGGAAAGGGAAATATCTTCCCGTAACAACTAGGCAGAAGCATTCTCAGAAACTTATTTGAGATGTGTGTACTCAACTAAGAGAATTGAACCACCGTTTTGAAGGAGCAGTTTGGAAACACTCTTTTTCTGGAATCTGCAAGAGGATATTTGCCTAGATTTGAGGATTTCGTTGGAAAAGGGATTGTCTTCAGATCAAATCTAGACAGAAGCATTCTCAGAAACTTCTTTGGGATGTTTGCATTCAAGTCACAGAGTAGAACATTCCTTTGGTAGAGCAGGTTTGAAACACTCTTTTTTTAGTATATGGAAGTGGACATTTGGAGCGCTTTCAGGCCTACGTTGGAAAAGGAAATATCTTCCCATAACAACTAGACAGAAGCATTCTCAGAAACTAGTTTCTGATGTGTGTCCTCAACTAACACAGTTGAACTTTTCTTTAGACAGAACAGTTTTGAAACACTCTTTTTGTGGAATCTGCAAGTGGATATTTGGCTAGATTTGAGGATTTCGTTGGAAACGGGATTACATATAAAAAGCAGACAGCAGCATTCTCAGAAACTTCTTTGTGATGATTGCATTCAAGTCACAGAATTGAACATTCCCTTTCACAGAGCAGGTTTGAAACACTCTTTTTGTAGTGTGTGTAAGTGGACATTTGGAGCGCTTTCCGGCCTAAGGTGAACAAGGAAATATCTTCCCATAAAAACTAGACAGAAGCATTCTCAGAAACTTACTCGTGATGTGTGTCCTCAACTAAAGGAGTAGAACCTTTCTTTTCATAGAGAAGTTTTGAAACGCTCTTTTTGTGGAATCTGCAAGTGGATATTTGGCTAGTTTGGAGGATTTCGTTGGAAGCGGGAATTCATACAAATTGCAGACTGCAGCGTTCTGAGAAACATCTTTGTGATGTTTGTATTCAGGACACAGAGTTGAACATTCCCTATAATAGAGCAGGTTGGAATCACTCCTTTTGTAGTATCTGGAAGTGGACATTTGGAGCGCTTTCAGGCCTATGTTGAAAAAGGAAATATCTTCCCATAACAACTAGACAGAAGCATTCTCAGAAACTTATTTGAGATGTGTGTACTCAACTAAGAGAATTGAACCACCGTTTTGAAGGAGCAGTTTTGAAACACTCTTTTTCTGGAATCTGCAAGTGGATATTTGGCTAGCTTTGGGGATTTCGCTGGAAGCGGGAATACATATAAAAAGCACACAGCAGCGTTCTGAGAAACTGCTTTCTGATGTTTGCATTCAAGTCAAAAGTTGAACACTCCCTTTCATAGAGCAGTCTTGAAACACCCCTTTTGTAGTATCTGGAACTGGACTTTTGGAGCGATTTCAGGGCTAAGGTGAAAAAGGAAATATCTTCCCATAAAAACTGGACAGAAGCATTCTCAGAAACTTGGTTATGCTGTATCTACTCAACTAACAAAGTTGAACCTTTCTTTTGATAGAGCAGTTTTGAAATGGTCTTTTTGTGGAATCTGCAAGTGGATATTTGGCTAGTTTTGAGGATTTCGTTGGAAGCGGGAATTCATACAAATTGCAGACTGCAGCGTTCTGAGAAACATCTTTGTGATGTTTGTATTCAGGACACAGAGTTGAACATTCCCTATCATAGAGCAGGTTGGAATCACTCCTTTTGTAGTATCTGGAAGTGGACATTTGGAGCGCTTTCAGGCCTATTTTGGAAAGGGAAATATCTTCCCGTAACAACTATGCAGAAGCATTCTCAGAAACTTGTTTGTGATGTGTGCCCTCTACTGACAGAGTTGAACCTTTCTTTTCATAGAGCAGTTTTTAAACACTCTTTTTGTAGAATCCGCAAGAGGATATTTGCATAGCTTTGAGGATTTCGGGGGAAACGGGATTGTCTTCAGGTAAAATCTAGACAGAAGCATTCTCAGAAACTTCTTTGGGATGTTTGCATTCAAGTCACAGAGTAGAACATTCCCTTTGGTAGAGCAGGTTTGAAACACTCTTTTTGTAGTATCTGGAAGTGGACATTTGGAGCGCTTTCAGGCCCATGTTGGAAAGGGAAATATCTTCCCGTAACAACTAGGCAGAAGCATTCTCAGAAACTTATTTGAGATGTGTGTACTCAACTAAGAGAATTGAACCACCGTTTTGAAGGAGCAGTTTTGAAACACTCTTTTTCTGGAATCTGCAAGAGTATATTTGCCTAGCCTTGAGGATTTCGTTGGAAACGGGGATTGTCTTCAGAGAAAATCTAGACAGAAGCATTCTCAGAAACTTCTTTGGGATGTTTGCATTCAAGTCACAGAGTAGAACATTCCCTTTGGTAGAGCAGGTTTGAAACACTCTTTTTTTAGTATATGGAAGTGGACATTTGGATCGCTTTCAGGCCTACGTTGGAAAAGGAAATATCTTCCCATAACAACTAGACAGAAGCATTCTCAGAAACTAGTTTCTGATGTGTGTCCTCAACTAACACAGTTGTACATTTCTTTACACAGAACAGTTTTGAAACACTCTTTTTGTGGAATCTGCAAGTGGATATTTGGCTAGATTTGAGGATTTCGTTGGAAACGGGATTACATATAAAAAGCAGTCAGCAGCATTCTCAGAAAGTTCTTTGTGATGATTGCATTCAAGTCACAGAATTGAACATTCCCTTTCACAGAGCAGGTTTGAAACACTCTTTTTGTAGTGTGTGTAAGTGGACATTTGGAGCACTTACCGGCCTAAGGTGAAAAAGGAAATATCTTCCCATAAAAACTAGACAGAAGCATTCTCAGAAACTTACTCGTGATGTGTGTCCTCAACTAAAGGAGTAGAACCTTTCTTTTCATAGAGAAGTTTTGAAACGCTCTTTTTGTGGAATCTGCAAGTGGATATTTGGCTAGTTTTGAGGATTTCGTTGGAAGCGGGAATTCATACAAATTGCAGACTGCAGCGTTCTGAGAAACATCTTTGTGATGTTTGTATTCAGGACACAGAGTTGAACATTCCCTATCATAGAGCAGGTTGGAATCACTCCTTTTGTAGTATCTGGAAGTGGACATTTGGAGCGCTTTCAGGCCTATGTTGGAAAAGGAAATATCTTCCCATAACAACTAGACAGAAGCATTCTCAGAAACTTATTTGAGATGTGTGTACTCAACTAAGAGAATTGAACCACCGTTTTGAAGGAGCAGTTTTGAAACACTCTTTTCCTGGAATCTGCAAGTGGATATTTGGCTAGCTTTGGGGATTTCGCTGGAAGCGGGAATACATATAAAAAGCACACAGCAGCGTTCTGAGAAACTGCTTTCTGATGTTTGCATTCAAGTCAAAAGTTGAACACTCCCTTTCATAGAGCAGTCCTGAAACACTCCTTTTGTAGTATCTGGAACTGGACTTTTGGAGCGCTTTCAGGGCTAAGGTGAAAAAGGAAATATCTTCCCATAAAAACTGGACAGAAGCATTCTCAGAAACTTGTTTATGCTGTATCTACTCAACTAACAAAGTTGAACCTTTCTTTTGATAGAGCAGTTTTGAAATGGTCTTTTTGTGGAATCTGCAAGTGGATATTTGGCTAGTTTTGAGGATTTCGTTGGAAGCGGGAATTCATACAAATTGCAGACTGCAGCGTTCTGAGAAACATCTTTGTGATGTTTGTATTCAGGACAGAGAGTTGAACATTCCCTATCATAGAGCAGGTTGGAATCACTCCTTTTGTAGTATCTGGAAGTGGACATTTGGAGCGCTTTCAGGCCTATGTTGAAAAAGGAAATATCTTCCCATAACAACTAGACACAAGCATTCTCAGAAACTTGTTTGTGATGTGTGCCCTCTACTGACAGAGTTGAACCTTTCTTTTCATAGAGCAGTTTAGAAACACTCTTTTTGTAGAATCTGCAAGAGGATATTTGCATAGCTTTGAGGATTTCGTGGGAAACGGGATTGTCTTCAGGTAAAATCTAGACAGAAGCATTCTCAGAAACTTCTTTGGGATGTTTGCATTCAAGTCACAGAGTAGAACATTCCCTTTGGTAGAGCAGGTTTGAAACACTCTTTTTGTAGTATCTGGAAGTGGACATTTGGAGCGCTTTCAGGCCTATGTTGGAAAGGGAAATATCTTCCCGTAACAACTAGGCAGAAGCATTCTCAGAAACTTATTTGAGATGTGTGTACTCAACTAAGAGAATTGAACCACCGTTTTGAAGGAGCAGTTTTGAAACACTCTTTTTCTGGAATCTGCAAGAGGATATTTGCCTACCCTTGAGGATTTCGTTGGAAACGGGATTGTCTTCAGATCAAATCTAGACAGAAGCATTCTCAGAAACTTCTTTGTGATGATTGCATTCAAGTCACAGAATTGAACATTCCCTTTCACAGAGCAGGTTTGAAACACTCTTTTTGTAGTGTGTGTAAGTGGACATTTGGAGCGCTTTCAGGCCTACGTTGGAAAAGGAAATATCTTCCCATAACAACTAGACAGAAGCATTCTCAGAAACTAGTTTCTGATGTGTGTCCTCAACTAACACAGTTGAACATTTCTTTAGACAGAACAGTTTTGAAACACTCTTTTTGTGGAATCTGCAAGTGGATATTTGGCTAGATTTGAGGATTTCGTTGGAAACGGGATTACATATAAAAAGCAGACAGCAGCATTCTCAGAAACTTCTTTGTGATGATTGCATTCAAGTCACAGAATTGAACATTCCCTTTCACAGAGCAGGTTTGAAACACTCTTTTTGTAGTGTGTGTAAGTGGACATTTGGAGCGCTTTCCGGCCTAAGGTGAACAAGGAAATATCTTCCCATAACAACTAGGCAGAAGCATTCTCAGAAACTTACTCGTGATGTGTGTCCTCAACTAAAGGAGTAGAACCTTTCTTTTCATAGAGAAGTTTTGAAACGCTCTTTTTGTGGAATCTGCAAGTGGATATTTGGCTAGTTTGGAGGATTTCGTTGGAAGCGGGAATTCATACAAATTGCAGACTGCAGCGTTCTGAGAAACATCTTTGTGATGTTTGTATTCAGGACACAGAGTTGAACATTCCCTATCATAGAGCAGGTTGGAATCACTCCTTTTGTTGTATCTGGAAGTGGACATTTGGAGCGCTTTCAGGCCTGTGTTGGAAAAGGAAATATCTTCCCATAACAACTAGACAGAAGCATTCTCAGAAACTTATTTGAGATGTGTGTACTCAACTAAGAGAATTGAACCACCGTTTTGAAGGAGCAGTTTTGAAACACTCTTTTTCTGGAATCTGCAAGTGGATATTTGGCTAGCTTTGGGGATTTCGCTGGAAGCGGGAATACATATAAAAAGCACACAGCAGCGTTCTGAGAAACTGCTTTCTGATGTTTGCATTCAAGTCAAAAGTTGAACACTCCCTTTCATAGAGCAGTCTTGAAACACCCCTTTTGTAGTATCTGGAACTGGACTTTTGGAGCGATTTCAGGGCTAAGGTGAAAAAGGAAATATCTTCCCATAAAAACTGGACAGAAGCATTCTCAGAAACTTGGTTATGCTGTATCTACTCAACTAACAAAGTTGAACCTTTCTTTTGATAGAGCAGTTTTGAAATGGTCTTTTTGTGGAATCTGCAAGTGGATATTTGGCTAGTTTTGAGGATTTCGTTGGAAGCGGGAATTCATACAAATTGCAGACTGCAGCGTTCTGAGAAACATCTTTGTGATGTTTGTATTCAGGACACAGAGTTGAACATTCCCTATCATAGAGCAGGTTGGAATCACTCCTTTTGTAGTATCTGGAAGTGGACATTTGGAGCGCTTTCAGGCCTATTTTGGAAAGGGAAATATCTTCCCGTAACAACTATGCAGAAGCATTCTCAGAAACTTGTTTGTGATGTGTGCCTTCTACTGACACAGTTGAACCTTTCTTTTCATAGAGCAGTTTCGAAACACTCTTTTTGTAGAATCTGTAAGAGGATATTTGCATAGCTTTGAGGATTTCGTAGGAAACGGGATTGTCTTCACGTAAAATCTACACAGAAGCATTCTCAGAAACTTCTTTGGGATGTTTGCATTCAAGTCACAGAGTAGAACATTCCCTTTGGTAGAGCAGGTTTGAAACACTCTTTTTGTAGTATCTGGAAGTGGACATTTGGAGCACTTTCAGGCCCATGTTGGAAAGGGAAATATCTTCCCGTAACAACTAGGCAGAAGCATTCTCAGAAACTTATTTGAGATGTGTGTACTCAACTAAGAGAATTGAACCACCGTTTTGAAGGAGCAGTTTTGAAACACTCTTTTTCTGGAATCTGCAAGAGTATATTTGCCTAGCCTTGAGGATTTCGTTGGAAACGGGATTGTCTTCAGAGAAAATCTAGACAGAAGCATTCTCAGAAACTTCTTTGGGATGTTTGCATTCAAGTCACAGAGTAGAACATTCCCTTTGGTAGAGCAGGTTTGAAACACTCTTTTTTTAGTATATGGAAGTGGACATTTGGAGCGCTTTCAGGCCTACGTTGGAAAAGGAAATATCTTCCCATAACAACTAGACAGAAGCATTCTCAGAAACTAGTTTCTGATGTGTGTCCTCAACTAACACAGTTGAACTTTTCTTTAGACAGAACAGTTTTGAAACACTCTTTTTGTGGAATCTGCAAGTGGCTATTTGGCTAGATTTGAGGATTTCGTTGGAAACGGGATTACATATAAAAAGCAGACAGCAAGCATTCTCAGAAAGTTCTTTGTGATGATTGCATTCAAGTCACAGAATTGAACATTCCCTTTCACAGAGCAGGTTTGAAACACTCTTTTTGTAGTGTGTGTAAGTGGACATTTGGAGCGCTTTCCGGCCTAAGGTGAAAAAGGACATATCTTCCCATAAAAACTAGACAGAAGCATTCTCAGAAACTTACTCGTGATGTGTGTCCTCAACTAAAGGAGTAGAACCTTTCTATTCATAGAGAAGTTTTGAAACGCTCTTTTTGTGGAATCTCCAAGTGGATATTTGGCTAGTGTTGAGGATTTCGTTGAAAGCGGGAATTCATCCAAATTGCAGACTGCAGCGTTCTGAGAAACATCTTTGTGATGTTTGTATTCAGGACACAGAGAGGAACATTCCCTATCATAGAGCAGGTTGGAATCACTCCTTTTGTAGTATCTGGAAGTGGACATTTGGAGCGCTTTCAGGCCTATGTTGAAAAAGGAAATATCTTCCCATAACAACTAGACACAAGCATTCTCAGAAACTTGTTTGTGATGTGTGCCCTCTACTGACAGAGTTGAACCTTTCTTTTCATAGAGCAGTTTTGAAACACTCTTTTTGTAGAATCCGCAAGAGGATATTTGCATCGCTTTGAGGAATTCGTGGGAAACGGGATTGTCTTCAGGTAAAATCTAGACAGAAGCATTCTCAGAAACTTCTTTGGGATGTTTGCATTCAAGTCACAGAGTAGAACATTCCCTTTGGTAGAGCAGGTTTGAAACACTCTTTTTGTAGTATCTGGAAGTGGACATTTGGAGCGCTTTCAGGCCCATGTTGGAAAGGGAAATATCTTCCCGTAACAACTAGGCAGAAGCATTCTCAGAAACTTATTTGAGATGTGTGTACTCAACTAAGAGAATTGAATCACCGTTTTGAAGGAGCAGTTTTGAAACACTCTTTTTCTGGAATCTGCAAGAGGATATTTGCCTAGCCTTGAGGATTTCGTTGGAAACGGGATTGTCTTCAGATCAAATCTAGACAGAAGCATTCTCAGAAACTTCTTTGGGATGTTTGCATTCAAGTCACAGAGTAGAACATTCCCTTTGGTAGAGCAGGTTTGAAACAGTCTTTTTTTAGTATATGGAAGTGGACATTTGGAGCGCTTTCAGACCTACGTTGGAAAAGGAAATATCTTCCCATAACAACTAGACAGAAGCATTCTCAGAAACTAGTTTCTGATGTGTGTCCTCAACTAACACAGTTGAACATTTCTTTAGACAGAACAGTTTTGAAACACTCTTTTTGTGGAATCTGCAAGTGGCTATTTGGCTAGATTTGAGGATTTCGTTGGAAACGGGATTACATATAAAAAGCAGTCAGCAGCATTCTCAGAAAGTTCTTTGTGATGATTGCATTCAAGTCACAGAATTGAACATTCCCTTTCACAGAGCAGGTTTGAAAGACTCTTTTTGTAGTGTGTGTAAGTGGACATTTGGAGCACTTACCGGCCTAAGGTGAAAAAGGAAATATCTTCCCATAAAAACTAGACAGAAGCATTCTCAGAAACTTACTCGTGATGTGTGTCCTCAACTAAAGGAGTAGAACCTTCCTTTTCATAGAGAAGTTTTGAAACGCTCTTTTTGTGGAATCTGCAAGTGGATATTTGGCTAGTTTTGAGGATTTCCGTTGGAAGCGGGAATTCATACAAATTGCAGACTGCAGCGTTCTGAGAAACATCTTTGTGATGTTTGTATTCAGGACACAGAGTTGAACATTCCCTATCATAGAGCAGGTTTGAATCACTCCTTTTGTAGTATCTGGAAGTGGACATTTGGAGCGCTTTCAGGCCTATGTTGGAAAAGGAAATATCTTCCCATAACAACTAGACAGAAGCATTCTCAGAAACTTATTTGAGATGTGTGTACTCAACTAAGAGAATTGAACCACCGTTTTGAAGGAGCAGTTTTGAAACACTCTTTTTCTGGAATCTGCAAGTGGATATTTGGCTAGCTTTTGGGATTTCGCTGGAAGCGGGAATACATCTAAAAAGCACACAGCAGCGTTCTGAGAAACTGCTTTCTGATGTTTGCATTCAAGTCAAAAGTTGAACACTCCCTTTCATAGAGCAGTCCTGAAACACCCCTTTTGTAGTATCTGGAACTGGACTTTTGGAGCGATTTCAGGGCTAAGGTGAAAAAGGAAATATCTTCCCATAAAAACTGGACAGAAGCATTCTCAGAAACTTGTTGATGCTGTATCTACTCAACTAACAAAGTTGAACCTTTCTTTTGATAGAGCAGTTTTGAAATGCTCTTTTTGTGGAATCTGCAAGTGGATATTTGGCTAGTTTTGAGGATTTCGTTGGAAGCGGGAATTCATTCAAATTGCAGACTGCAGCGTTCTGAGAAACATCTTTGAAATGTTTGTATTCAAGACAGAGAGATGAACATTCCCTATCATAGAGCATGTTGGAATCACTCCTTTTGTAGTATCTGGAAGTGGACATTTGGAGCGCTTTCAGGCCTATGTTGAAAAAGGAAATATCTTCCCATAACAACTAGACACAAGCATTCTCAGAAACTTGTTTGTGATGTGTGCCCTCTACTGACAGAGTTGAACCTTTCTTTTCATAGAGCAGTTTTGAAACACTCTTTTATAGAATCCGCAAGAGGATATTTGCATAGCTTTGAGGATTTCGTGGGAAACGGGATTGTCTTCAGGTAAAATCTAGACAGAAGCATTCTCAGAAACTTCTTTGGGATGTTTGCATTCAAGTCACAGAGTAGAACATTCCCTTTGGTAGAGCAGGTTTGAAACACTCTTTTTGTAGTATCTGGAAGTGGACATTTGGAGCGCTTTCAGGCCCATGTTGGAAAGGGAAATATCTTCCCGTAACAACTAGGCAGAATCATTCTCAGAAACTTATTTGAGATGTGTGTACTCAACGAAGAGAATTGAACCACCGTTTTGAAGGAGCAGTTTTGAAACACTCTTTTTCTGGAATCTGCAAGAGTATATTTGCCTAGCCTTGAGGATTTCGTTGGAAACGGGATTGTCTTCAGATAAAATCTAGACAAAAGCATTCTCAGAAACTTCTTTGGGATGTTTGCATTCAAGTCACAGAGTAGAACATTCCCTTTGGTAGAGCAGGTTTGAAACACTCTTTTTTTAGTATATGGAAGTGGACATTTGGAGCGCTTTCAGGCCTACGTTGGAAAAGGAAATATCTTCCCATAACAACTAGACAGAAGCATTCTCAGAAACTAGTTTCTGATGAGTGTCCTCAACTAACACAGTTGAACTTTTCTTTAGACAGAACACTTTTGAAACACTCTTTTTGTGGAATCTGCAAATGGATATTTGGCTAGATTTGAGGATTTCGTTGGAAACGGGATTACATATAAAAAGCAGTCAGCAGCATTCTCAGAAAGTTCTTTGTGATGATTGCATTCAAGTCACAGAATTGAACATTCCCTTTCCAGAGCAGGTTTGAAACACTCTTTTTGTAGTGTGTGTAAGTGGACATTTGGAGCGCTTTCCGGCCTAAGGTGAAAAAGGACATATCTTCCCATAAAAACTAGACAGAAGCATTCTCAGAAACTTACTCGTGATGTGTGTCCTCAACTAAAGGAGTAGAACCTTTCTTTTCATAGAGAAGTTTTGAAACGCTCTTTTTGTGGAATCTGCAAGTGGATATTTGGCTAGTTTTGAGGATTTCGTTGGAAGCGGGAATTCATACAAATTGCAGACTGCAGCATTCTCAGAAACTTATTTGAGATGTGTGTACTCAACTAAGAGAATTGAACCACCGTTTTGAAGGAGCAGTTTTGAAACTCTCTTTTTCTGGAATCTGCAAGTGGATATTTGGCTAGCTTTGGGGATTTCGCTGGAAGCGGGAATACATATAAAAAGCACACAGCAGCGTTCTGAGAAACTGCTTTCTGATGTTTGCATTCAAGTCAAAAGTTGAACACTCCCTTTCATAGAGCAGTCTTGAAACACCCCTTTTGTAGTATCTGGAACTGGACTTTTGGAGCGATTTCAGGGCTAAGGTGAAAAAGGAAATATCTTCCCATAAAAACTGGACAGAAGCATTCTCAGAAACTTGTTTATGCTGTATCTACTCAACTAACAAAGTTGAACCTTTCTTTTGATAGAGCAGTTTTGAAATGGTCTTTTTGTGGAATCTGCAAGTGGATATTTGGCTAGTTTTGAGGATTTCGTTGGAAGCGGGAATTCATACAAATTGCAGACTGCAGCGTTCTGAGAAACATCTTTGTGATGTTTGTATTCAGGACACAGAGTTGAACATTCCCTATCATAGAGCAGGTTGGAATCACTCCTTTTGTAGTATCTGGAAGTGGACATTTGGAGCGCTTTCAGGCCTATTTTGGAAAGGGAAATATCTTCCCGTAACAACTATGCAGAAGCATTCTCAGAAACTTGTTTGTGATGTGTGCCCTCTACTGACAGAGTTGAACCTTTCTTTTCATAGAGCAGTTTTGAAACACTCTTTTTGTAGAATCTGCAAGAGGATATTTGCATAGCTTTGAGGATTTCGTGGGAAACGGGATTGCCTTCAGGTAAAATCTAGACAGAAGCATTCTCAGAAACTTCTTTGTGATGTTTGCATTCAAGTCACAGAGTAGAACATTCCCTTTGGTAGAGCAGGTTTGAAACACTCTTTTTGTAGTATCTGGAAGTGGACATTTGGAGCGCTTTCAGGCCCATGATGGAAAGGGAAATATCTTCCAGTAACAACTAGGCAGAAGCATTCTCAGAAACTTATTTGAGATGTGTGTACTCAAGTAAGAGAATTGAACCACCGTTTTGAAGGAGCAGTTGTGAAACACTCTTTTTCTGGAATCTGCAAGAGGATATTTGCCTAGCCTTGATGATTTCGTTGGAAACGAGATTGTCTTCAGATAAAATCTAGACAGAAGCATTCTCAGAAACTTCTTTGGGATGTTTGCATTCAAGTCACAGAGTAGAACGTTCCCTTTGGTAGAGCAGGTTTCAAACACTCTTTTTTTAGTATATGGAAGTGGACATTTGGAGCGCTTTCAGGCCTACGTTGGAAAAGGAAATATCTTCCCATAACAACTAGACAGAAGCATTCTCAGAAACTAGTTTCTGATGTGTGTCCTCAACTAACACAGTTGAACTTTTCTTTAGACAGAACAGTTTTGAAACACTCTTTTTGTGGAATCTGCAAGTGGATATTTGGCTAGATTTGAGGATTTCGTTGGAAACGGGATTACATATAAAAAGCAGACAGCAGCATTCTCAGAAAGTTCTTTGTGATGATTGCATTCAAGTCACAGAATTGAACATTGCCTTTCACAGAGCAGGTTTGAAACACTCTTTTTGTAGTGTGTGTAAGTGGACATTTGGAGTGCTTTCCGGCCTAAGGTGAAAAAGGAAATATCTTCCCATAAAAACTAGACAGAAGCATTCTCAGAAACTTACTCGTGATGTGTGTCCTCAACTAAAGGAGTAGAACCTTTCTTTTCATAGAGAAGTTTTGAAACGCTCTTTTTGTGGAATCTGCAAGTGGATATTTGGCTAGTTTTGAGGATTTCGTTGGAAGCGGGAATTCATACAAATTGCAGACTGCAGCATTCTCAGAAACTTATTTGAGATGTGTGTACTCAACTAAGAGAATTGAACCACCGTTTTGAAGGAGCAGTTTTGAAACACTCTTTTTCTGGAATCTGCAAGTGGATATTTGGCTAGCTTTGGGGATTTCGCTGGAAGCGGGAATACATATAAAAAGCACACAGCAGCGTTCTGAGAAACTGCTTTCTGATGTTTGCATTCAAGTCAAAAGTTGAACACTCCCTTTCATAGAGCAGTCTTGAAACACCCCTTTTGTAGTATCTGGAACTGGACTTTTGGAGCGATTTCAGGGCTAAGGTGAAAAAGGAAATATCTTCCCATAAAAACTGGACAGAAGCATTCTCAGAAACTTGTTTATGCTGTATCTACTCAACTAACAAAGTTGAACCTTTCTTTTGATAGAGCAGTTTTGAAATGGTCTTTTTGTGGAATCTGCAAGTGGATATTTGGCTAGTTTTGAGGATTTCGTTGGAAGCGGGAATTCATACAAATTGCAGACTGCAGCGTTCTGAGAAACATCTTTGTGATGTTTGTATTCAGGACACAGAGTTGAACATTCCCTATCATAGAGCAGGTTGGAATCACTCCTTTTGTAGTATCTGGAAGTGGACATTTGGAGCGCTTTCAGGCCTATGTTGGAAAAGGAAATATCTTCCCATAAACAACTAGACAGAAGAATTCCCAGAAACTTATTTGAGATGTGTGTACTCAGCTAAGAGAATTGAACCACCGTTTTGAAGGAGCAGTTTTGAAACTCTCTTTTTCTGGAATCTGCAAGTGGATATTTGGCTAGCTTTGGGGATTTCGCTGGAAGCGGGAATACATATAAAAAGCACACAGCAGCTTTCTGAGAAACTGCTTTCTGATGTTTGCATTCAAGTCAAAAGTTGAACACTCCCTTTCATAGAGCAGGCTTGAAACATCCTTTTTGTAGTATCTGGAAGTGGACATTTGGAGCGCTTTCAGGGCTAAGGTGAAAAAGGAAATATCTTCCCATAAAAACTGGACAGAAGCATTCTCAGAAACTTACTCGTGATGTGTGTACTCAACTAAAGGAGTAGAAACTTTCTTTTCATAGAGAAGTTTTGAAACGCTCTTTTTGTGGAATCTGCAAGTGGATAGTTGGCTAGTTTTGAGGATTTCGTTGGAAGCGGGAATTCATACAAATTGCAGACTGCAGCGTTCTGAGAAACATCTTTGTGATGTTTGTATTCAGGACACAGAGTTGAACATTCCCTATCATAGAGCAGGTTTGAATCACTCCTTTTGTAGTATCTGGAAGTGGACATTTGGAGCGCTTTCAGGCCTATGTTGGAAAAGGAAATATCTTCCCATAACAACTAGACAGAAGCATTCTCAGAAACTTATTTGAGATGTGTGTACTCAACTAAGAGAATTGAACCACCGTTTTGAAGGAGCAGTTTTGAAACACTCTTTTTCTGGAATCTGCAAGTGGATATTTGGCTAGCTTTGGGGATTTCGCTGGAGGCGGGAATACATATAAAAAGCACACAGCAGCGTTCTGAGAAACTGCTTTCTGATGTTTGCATTCAAGTCAAAAGTTGAACACTCCCTTTCATAGAGCAGTCTTGAAACACCCCTTTTGTAGTATCTGGAACTGGACTTTTGGAGCGATTTCAGGGCTAAGGTGAAAAAGGAAATATCTTCCCATAAAAACTGGACAGAAGCATTCTCAGAAACTTGTTTATGCTGTATCTACTCTACTAACAAAGTTGAACCTTTCTTTTGATAGAGCAGTTTTGAAATGCTCTTTTTGTGGAATCTGCAAGTGGATATTTGGCTAGTTTTGAGGATTTCGTTGGAAGCTGGAATTCATGCAAATTGCAGACTGCAGCGTTCTGAGAAACATCTTTGTGATGTTTGTATTCAGGACAGAGAGTTGAACATTCCCTATCATAGAGCAGGTTGGAATCACTCCTTTTGTAGTATCTGGAAGTGGACATTTGGAGCGCTTTCAGGCCTATGTTGAAAAAGGAAATATCTTCCCATAACAACTAGACACAAGCATTCTCAGAAACTTGTTTGTGATGTGTGCCCTCTACTGACAGAGTTGAACCTTTCTTTTCATAGAGCAGTTTTGAAACACTCTTTTTGTAGAATCTGCAAGAGGATATTTGCATAGCTTTGAGGATTTCGTGGGAAACGGGATTGTCTTCAGGTAAAATCTAGACAGAAGCATTCTCAGAAACTTCTTTGGGATGTTTGCATTCAAGTCACAGAGTAGAACATTCCCTTTGGTAGAGCAGGTTTGAAACACTCTTTTTGTAGTATCTGGAAGGGGACATTTGGAGCGCTTTCAGGCCTATGTTGGAAAGGGAAATATCTTCCGGTAACAACTAGGCAGAAGCATTCTCAGAAACTTATTTGAGATGTGTGTACTAAACTAAGAGAATTGAACCACCGTTTTGAAGGAGCAGTTTTGAAACACTCTTTTTCTGGAATCTGCAAGAAGATATTTGCCTAGCTTTGAGGATTTCGTTGGAAACGGGATTGTGTTCAGATCAAATCTAGACAGAAGCATTCTCAGAAACTTCTTTGGGATGTTTGCATTCAAGTCACAGAGTAGAACATTCCCTTTGGTAGAGCAGGTTTGAAACACTCTTTTTTTAGTATATGGAAGTGGACATTTGGAGCGCTTTCAGGCCTACGTTGGAAAAGGAAATATCTTCCCATAACAACTAGACAGAAGCATTCTCAGAAACTAGTTTCTGATGTGTGTCCTCAACTAACACAGTTGAACATTTCTTTAGACAGAACAGTTTTGAAACACTCTTTTTGTGGAATCTGCAAGTGGCTATTTGGCTAGATTTGAGGATTTCGTTGGAAACGGGATTACATATAAAAAGCAGTCAGCAGCATTCTCAGAAAGTTCTTTGTGATGATTGCATTCAAGTCACAGAATTGAACATTCCCTTTCACAGAGCAGGTTTGAAACACTCTTTTTGTAGTGTGTGTAAGTGGACATTTGGAGCACTTTCCGGCCTAAGGTGAAAAAGGAAATATCTTCCCATAAAAACTAGACAGAAGCATTCTCAGAAACTTACTCGTGATGTGTGTCCTCAACTAAAGGAGTAGAACCTTTCTTTTCATAGAGAAGTTTTGAAACGCTCTTTTTGTGGAATCTGCAAGTGGATATTTGGCTAGTTTTGAGGATTTCGTTGGAAGCGGGAATTCATACAAATTGCAGACTGCAGCATTCTCAGAAACTTATTTGAGATGTGTGTACTCAACTAAGAGAATTGAACCACCGTTTTGAAGGAGCAGTTTTGAAACACTCTTTTTCTGGAATCTGCAAGTGGATATTTGGCTAGCTTTGGGGATTTCGCTGGAAGCGGGAATACATATAAAAAGCACACAGCAGCGTTCTGAGAAACTGCTTTCTGATGTTTGCATTCAAGTCAAAAGTTGAACACTCCCTTTCATAGAGCAGTCCTGAAACACTCCTTTTGTAGTATCTGGAACTGGACTTTTGGAGCGCTTTGAGGGCTAAGGTGAAAAAGGAAATATCTTCCCATAAAAACTGGACAGAAGCATTCTCAGAAACTTATTTGAGATGTGTGTACTCAACTAAGAGAATTGAACCACCGTTTTGAAGGAGCAGTTTTGAAACACTCTTTTTCTGGAATCTGCAAGTGGATATTTGGCTAGCTTTGGGGATTTCGCTGGAAGCGGGAATACATATAAAAAGCACACAGCAGCGTTCTGAGAAACTGCTTTCTGATGTTTGCATTCAAGTCAAAAGTTGAACACTCCCTTTCATAGAGCAGTCCTGAAACACCCCTTTTGTAGTATCTGGAACTGGACTTTTGGAGCGATTTCAGGGCTAAGGTGAAAAAGGAAATATCTTCCCATAAAAACTGGACAGAAGCATTCTCAGAAACTTGTTTATGCTGTATCTACTCAACCAGCAAAGTTGAACCTTTCTTTTGATAGAGCAGTTTTGAAATGGTCTTTTTGTGGAATCTGCAAGTGGATATTTGGCTAGTTTTGAGGATTTCGTTGGAAGCGGGAATTCATACAAATTGCAGACTGCAGCGTTCTGAGAAACATCTTTGTGATGTTTGTATTCAGGACACAGAGTTGAACATTCCCTATCATAGAGCAGGTTGGAATCACTCCTTTTGTAGTATCTGGAAGTGGACATTTGGAGCGCTTTCAGGCCTATTTTGGAAAGGGAAATATCTTCCCGTAACAACTATGCAGAAGCATTCTCAGAAACTTGTTGGTGATGTGTTTCCTCTACTGACAGAGTTGAACCTTTCTTTTCATAGAGCAGTTTCGAAACACTCTTTTTGTAGAATCTGCAAGAGGATATTTGCATAGCTCTGAGGATTTCGTGGGAAACGGGATTGTCTTCAGGTAAAATCTAGACAGAAGCATTCTCAGAAACTTCTTTGGGATGTTTGCATTCAAGTCACAGAGTAGAACATTCCCTTTGGTAGAGCAGGTTTGAAACACTCTTTTTGTAGTATCTGGAAGTGGACATTTGGAGCGCTTTCAGGCCCATGTTGGAAAGGGAAATATCTTCCCGTAACAACTAGGCAGAAGCATTCTCAGAAACTTATTTGAGATGTGTGTACTCAACTAAGAGAATTGAACCACCGTTTTGAAGGAGCAGTTTTGAAACACTCTTTTTCTGGAATCTGCAAGAGGATATTTGCCTAGCCTTGAGGATTTCGTTGGAAACGGGATTGTCTTCAGATCAAATCTAGACAGAAGCATTCTCAGAAACTTCTTTGGGATGTTTGCATTCAAGTCACAGAGTAGAACATTCCCTTTGGTAGAGCAGGTTTGAAACACTCTTTTTTTAGTATATGGAAGTGGACATTTGGATCGCTTTCAGGCCTACGTTGGAAAAGGAAATATCTTCCCATAACAACTAGACAGAAGCATTCTCAGAAACTAGTTTCTGATGTGTGTCCTCAACTAACACAGTTGAACATTTCTTTAGACAGAACAGTTTTGAAACACTCTTTTTTTGGAATCTGCAAGTGGCTATTTGGCTAGATTTGAGGATTTCGTTGGAAACGGGATTACATATAAAAAGCAGACAGCAGCATTCTCAGAAAGTTCTTTGTGATGATTGCATTCAAGTCACAGAATTGAACATTCCCTTTCACAGAGCAGGTTTGAAACACTCTTTTTGTAGTGTGTGTAAGTGGACATTTGGAGCACTTTCCGGCCTAAGGTGAAAAAGGAAATATCTTCCCATAAAAACTAGACAGAAGCACTCTCAGAAACTTACTCGTGATGTGTGTCCTCAACTAAAGGAGTAGAACCTTTCTTTTCATAGAGAAGTTTTGAAACGCTCTTTTTGTGGAATCTCCAAGTGGATATTTGGCTAGTTTTGAGGATTTCGTTGGAAGCGGGAATTCATACAAATTGCAGACTGCAGCGTTCTGAGAAACATCTTTGTGATGTTTGTATTCAGGACACAGAGTTGAACATTCCCTATCATAGAGCAGGTTGGAATCACTCCTTTTGTAGTATCTGGAAGTGGACATTTGGAGCGCTTTCAGGCCTATGTTGGAAAAGGAAATATCTTCCCATAACAACTAGACAGAAGCATTCTCAGAAACTTATTTGAGATGTGTGTACTCAACTAAGAGAATTGAACCACCGTTTTGAAGGAGCAGTTTTGAAACTCTCTTTTTCTGGAATCTGCAAGTGGATATTTGGCTAGCTTTGGGGATTTCGCTGGAAGCGGGAATACATATAAAAAGCACACAGCAGCGTTCTGAGAAACTGCTTTCTGATGTTTGCATTCACGTCAAAAGTTGAACACTCCCTTTCATAGAGCAGGCTTGAAACACCCCTTTTGTAGTATCTGGAAGTGGACATTTGGAGCGCTTTCAGGGCTAAGGTGAAAAAGGAAATATCTTCCCATAAAAACTGGACAGAAGCATTCTCAGAAACTTGTTTATGCTGTATCTACTCAACTAACAAAGTTGAACCTTTCTTTTCATAGATCAGTTTTGAAATGCTCTTTTTGTGGAATCTGCAAGTGGATATTTGGCTAGTTTTGAGGATTCCGTTGGAAGCGGGAATTCATACAAATTGCAGACTGCAGCGTTCTGAGAAACATCTTTGTGATGTTCGTATTCAGGACACAGAGTTGAACATTCCCTATCATAGAGCAGGTTGGAATCACTCCTTTGTAGTATCTGGAAGTGGAAATTTGGAGCTCTTTCAGGCCTAGGTTGAAAAAGGAAATATCTTCCCAAAACAACTAGACAGAAGCATTCTCAGAAACTTGTTTGTGATGTGTGCCCTCTACTGACAGAGTTGAACCTTTCTTTTCATAGAGCAGTTTTGAAACACTCTTTTATAGAATCCGCAAGAGGATATTTGCATAGCTTTGAGGATTTCGTGGGAAACGGGATTGTCTTCAGGTAAAATCTAGACAGAAGCATTCTCAGAAACTTCTTTGGGATGTTTGCATTCAAGTCACAGAGTAGAACCTTCCCTTTGGTAGAGCAGGTTTGAAACACTCTTTTTGTAGTATGTGGAAGTGGACATATGGAGCGCTTTCAGGCCCATGTTGGAAAGGGAAATATCTTCCCGTAACAACTAGGCAGAAGCATTCTCAGAAACTTATTTGAGATGTGTGTACTCAACTAAGAGAATTGAACCACCGTTTTGAAGGAGCAGTTTTGAAACACTCTTTTTCTGGAATCTGCAAGAGTATATTTGCCTAGCCTTGAGGATTTCGTTGGAAACGGGATTGTCTTCAGAGAAAATCTAGACAGAAGCATTCTCAGAAACTTCTTTGGGATGTTTGCATTCAAGTCACAGAGTACAACATTCCCTTTGGTAGAGCAGGTTTGAAACACTCTTTTTTTAGTATATGGAAGTGGACATTTGGAGCGCTTTCAGGCCTACGTTGGAAAAGGAAATATCTTCCCATAACAACTAGACAGAAGCATTCTCAGAAACTAGTTTCTGATGTGTGTCCTCAACTAACACAGTTGAACATTTCTTTAGACAGAACAGTTTTGAAACACTCTTTTTGTGGAATCTGCAAGTGGCTATTTGGCTAGATTTGAGGATTTCGTTGGAAACGGGATTACATATAAAAAGCAGACAGCAGCATTCTCAGAAAGTTCTTTGTGATGATTGCATTCAAGTCACAGAATTGAACATTCCCTTTCACAGAGCAGGTTTGAAACACTCTTTTTGTAGTGTGTGTAAGTGGACATTTGGAGCACTTTCCGGCCTAAGGTGAAAAAGGAAATATCTTCCCATAAAAACTAGACAGAAGCATTCTCAGAAACTTACTCGTGATGTGTGTCCTCAACTAAAGGAGTAGAACCTTTCTATTCATAGAGAAGGTTTGAAACGCTCTTTTTGTGGAATCTCCAAGTGGATATTTGGCTAGTTTTGAGGATTTCGTTGGATGCGGGAATTCATACAAATTGCAGACTGCAGCGTTCTGAGAAACTGCTTTCTGATGTTTGCATTCAAGTCAAAAGTTGAACACTCCCTTTCATAGAGCAGTCTTGAAACACCCCTTTTGTAGTATCTGGAACTGGACTTTTGGAGCGATTTCAGGGCTAAGGTGAAAAAGGAAATATCTTCCCATAAAAACTGGACAGAAGCATTCTCAGAAACTTGTTTATGCTGTATCTACTCAACTAACAAAGTTGAACCTTTCTTTTGATAGAGCAGTTTTGAAATGGTCTTTTTGTGGAATCTGCAAGTGGATATTTGGCTAGTTTTTAGGATTTCGTTGGAAGCGGGAATTCATACAAATTGCAGACTGCAGCGTTCTGAGAAACATCTTTGTGATGTTTGTATTCAGGACAGAGAGTTGAACATTCCCTATCATAGAGCAGGTTGGAATCACTCCTTTTGTAGTATCTGGAAGTGGACATTTGGAGCGCTTTCAGGCCTATGTTGAAAAAGGAAATATCTTCCCATAACAACTAGACACAAGCATTCTCAGAAACTTGTTTGTGATGTGTGCCCTCTACTGACAGAGTTGAACCTTTCTTTTCATAGAGCAGTTTTGAAACACTCTTTTTGTAGAATCTGCAAGAGGATATTTGCATAGCTTTGAGGATTACGTGGGAACCGGGATTGTCTTCAGGTAAAATCTAGACAGAAGCGTTCTGAGAAACATCTTTGTGATGTTTGTATTCAGGACACAGAGTTGAACATTCCCTATCATAGAGCAGGTTGGAATCACTCCTTTTGTAGTATCTGGAAGTGGACATTTGGAGCGTTTTCAGGCCTATGTTGAAAAAGGAAATATCTTCCCATAACAACTAGACAGAAGCATTCTCAGAAACTTATTTGTGATATGTGCCCTCTACTGACACAGTTGAACCTTTCTTTTCATAGAGCACTTTCGAGACACTCTTTTTGTAGAATCTGCAAGAGGATATTTTCATAGCTTTGAGGATTTCGCGGGAAACGGGATTGTCTTCAGGTAAAATCTAGACAGAAGCATTCTCAGAAACTTCTTTGGGATGTTTGCATTCAAGTCACAGAGTAGAACATTCCCTTTGGTAGAGCAGGTTTGAAACACTCTTTTTTTAGTATATGGAAGTGGACATTTTGATCGCTTTCAGGCCTACGTTGGAAAAAGGAAATATCTTCCCATAACAACTAGACAGAAGCATTCTCAGAAACTAGTTTCTGATGTGTGTCCTCAACTAACACAGTTGAACATTTCTTTAGACAGAACAGTTTTGAAACACTCTTTTTGTGGAATCTGCAAGTGGCTATTTGGCTAGATTTGAGGATTTCGTTGGAAACGGGATTACATATAAAAAGCAGTCAGCAGCATTCTCAGAAAGTTCTTTGTGATGATTGCATTCAAGTCACAGAATTGAACATTCCCTTTCACAGAGCAGGTTTGAAACACTCTTTTTGTAGTGTGTGTAAGTGGACATTTGGAGCACTTACCGGCCTAAGGTGAAAAAGGAAATATCTTCCCATAAAAACTAGACAGAAGCATTCTCAGAAACTTACTCGTGATGTGTGTCCTCAACTAAAGGAGTAGAACCTTTCTTTTCATAGAGAAGTTTTGAAACGCTCTTTTTGTGGAATCTGCAAGTGGATATTTGGCTAGTTTTGAGGATTTCGTTGGAAGCGGGAATTCATACAAATTGCAGACTGCAGCGTTCTGAGAAACATCTTTGTGATGTTTGTATTCAGGACACAGAGTTGAACATTCCCTATCATAGAGCAGGTTTGAATCACTCCTTTTGTACTATCTGGAAGTGGACATTTGGAGCGCTTTCAGGCCTATGTTGGAAAAGGAAATATCTTCCCATAACAAATAGACAGAAGCATTCTCAGAAACTTATTTGAGATGTGTGTACTCAACTAAGAGAATTGAACCACCGTTTTGAAGGAGCAGTTTTGAAACACTCTTTTTCTGGAATCTGCAAGTGGATATTTGGCTAGCTTTGGGGATTTCGCTGGAAGCGGGAATACATATAAAAAGCACACAGCAGCGTTCTGAGAAACTGCTTTCTGATGTTTGCATTCAAGTCAAAAGTTGAACACTCCCTTTCATAGAGCAGTCCTGAAACACCCCTTTTGTAGTATCTGGAACTGGACTTTTGGAGCGATTTCAGGGCTAAGGTGAAAAAGGAAATATCTTCCCATAAAAACTGGACAGAAGCATTCTCAGAAACTTGTTTATGCTGTATCTACTCAACTAACAAAGTTGAACCTTTCTTTTGATAGAGCAGTTTTGAAATGGTCTTTTTGTGGAATCTGCAAGTGGATATTTGGCTAGTTTTGAGGATTTCGTTGGAAGCGGGAATTCATACAAATTGCAGACTGCAGCGTTCTGAGAAACATCTTTGTGATGTATGTATTCAGGACACAGAGTTGAACATTCCCTATCATAGAGCAGGTTGGAATCACTCCTTTTGTAGTATCTGGAAGTGGACATTTGGAGCGCTTTCAGGCCTATGTTGAAAAAGGAAATATCTTCCCATAACAACTAGACACAAGCATTCTCAGAAACTTGTTTGTGATGTGTGCCCTCTAGTGACAGAGTTGAACCTTTCTTTTCATAGAGCAGTTTTGAAACACTCTTTTTGTAGAATCTGCAAGAGGATATTTGCATAGCTTTGAGGATTTCGTGGGAAACGGGATTGTCTTCAGGTAAAATCTAGACAGAAGCATTCTCAGAAACTTCTTTGGGATGTTTGCATTCAAGTCACAGAGTAGAACATTCCCTTTGGTAGAGCAGGTTTGAAACACTCTTTTTGTAGTATCTGGAAGTGGACATTTGGAGCGCTTTCAGGCCTATGTTGGAAAGGGAAATATCTTCCCGTAACAACTAGGCAGAAGCATTCTCAGAAACTTATTTGAGATGTGTTTACTCAACTAAGAGAATTGAATCACCGTTTTGAAGGAGCAGTTTTGAAACACTCTTTTTCTGGAATCTGCAAGAGGATATTTGCCTAGCCTTGAGGATTTCGTTGGAAACGGGATTGTCTTCAGATCAAATCTAGACAGAAGCATTCTCAGAAACTTCTTTGGGATGTTTGCATTCATGTCACAGAGTAGAACATTCCCTTTGGTAGAGCAGGTTTGAAACACTCTTTTTTTAGTATATGGAAGTGGACATTTGGAGCGCTTCAGGCCTACGTTGGAAAAGGAAATATCTTCCCATAACAACTAGACAGAAGCATTCTCAGAAACTAGTTTCTTATGTGTGTCCTGAACTAACACAGTTGAACATTTCTTTAGACAGAACAGTTTTGAAACACTCTTTTTGTGGAATTTGCAAGTGGATATTTGGCTAGATTTGAGCATTTCGTTGGAAACGGGATTACATATAAAAAGCAGACAGCAGCATTCTCAGAAAGTTCTTTGTGATGATTGCATTCAAGTCACAGAATTGAACATTCCCTTTCACAGAGCAGGTTTGAAACACTCTTTTTGTAGTGTGTGTAAGTGGACATTTGGAGCACTTACCGGCCTAAGGTGAAAAAGGAAATATCTTCCCATAAAAACTAGACAGAAGCATTCTCAGAAACTTACTCGTGATGTGTGTCCTCAACTAAAGGAGTAGAACCTTTCTATTCATAGAGAAGTTTTGAAACGCTCTTTTTGTGGAATCTCCAAGTGGATATTTGGCTAGTGTTGAGGATTTCGTTGGAAGCGGGAATTCATACAAATTGCAGACTGCAGCATTCTCAGAAACTTGTTTATGCTGTATCTACTCAACTAACAAAGTTGAACCTTTCTTTTGATAGAGCAGTTTTGAAATGCTCTTTTTGTGGAATCTGCAAGTGGATATTTGGCTAGTTTTGAGGATTTCGTTGGAAGCGGGAATTCATACAAATTGCAGACTGCAGCGTTCTGAGAAACATCTTTGTGATGTTTGTATTCAGGACAGAGAGTTGAACATTCCCTATCATAGAGCAGGTTGGAATCACTCCTTTTGTAGTATCTGGAAGTGGACATTTGGAGCGCTTTCTGGCCTATGTTGAAAAAGGAAATATCTTCCCATAACAACTAGACACAAGCATTCTCAGAAACTTGTTTGTGATGTGTGCCCTCTACTGACAGAGTTGAACCTTTCTTTTCATAGAGCAGTTTTGAAACACTCTTTTTGTAGAATCTGCAAGAGGATATTTGCATAGCTTTGAGGATTTCGTGGGAAACGGGATTGTCTTCAGGTAAAATCTAGACAGAAGCATTCTCAGAAACTTCTTTGGGATGTTTGCATTCAAGTCACAGAGTAGAACATTCCCTTTGGTAGAGCAGGTTTGAAACACTCTTTTTGTAGTATCTGGAAGTGGACATTTGGAGCGCTTTCAGGCCTATGTTGGAAAGGGAAATATCTTCCCGTAACAACTAGGCAGAAGCATTCTCAGAAACTTATTTGAGATGTGTGTACTCAACGAAGAGAATTGAACCACCGTTTTGAAGGAGCAGTTTTGAAACCCTCTTTTTCTGGAATCTGCAAGAGTATATTTGCCTAGCCTTGAGGATTTCGTTGGAAACGGGATTGTCTTCAGATAAAATCTAGACAGAAGCATTCTCAGAAACTTCTTTGGGATGTTTGCATTCAAGTCACAGAGTAGAACATTCCCTTTGGTAGAGCAGGTTTGAAACACTCTTTTTGTAGTATCTGGAAGTGGACATTTGGAGCGCTTTCAGGCCCATGTTGGAAAGGGAAATATCTTCCCGTAACAACTAGGCAGAAGCATTCTCAGAAACTTATTTGAGATGTGTGTACTCAACTAAGAGAATTGAACCACCGTTTTGAAGGAGCAGTTTTGAAACACTCTTTTTCTGGAATCTGCAAGAGTATATTTGCCTAGCCTTGAGGATTTCGTTGGAAACGGGATTGTCTTCAGAGAAAATCTAGACAGAAGCATTCTCAGAAACTTCTTTGGGATGCTTGCATTCAAGTCACAGAGTAGAACATTCCCTTTGGTAGAGCAGGTTTGAAACACTCTTTTTGTAGTATCTGGAAGTGGACATTTGGAGCGCTTTCAGGCCTACGTTGGAAAAGGAAATATCTTCCCATAACAACTAGACAGAAGCATTCTCAGAAACTAGTTTCTGATGTGTGTCCTCAACTAACACAGTTGAACATTTCTTTAGACAGAACAGTTTTGAAACACTCTTTTTGTGGAATCTGCAAGTGGCTATTTGGCTAGATTTGAGGATTTCGTTGGAAACGGGATTACATATAAAAAGCAGTCAGCAGCATTCTCAGAAAGTTCTTTGTCATGATTGCATTCAAGTCACAGAATTGAACATTCCCTTTCACAGAGCAGGTTTGAAACACTCTTTTTGTAGTGTGTGTAAGTGGACATTTGGAGCACTTACCGGCCTAAGGTGAAAAAGGAAATATCTTCCCATAAAAACTAGACAGAAGCATTCTCAGAAACTTACTCGTGTTGTGTGTCCTCAACTAAAGGAGTAGAACCTTTCTTTTCATAGAGAAGTTTTGAAACGCTCTTTTTGTGGAATCTGCAAGTGGATATTTGGCTAGTTTTGAGGATTTCGTTGGAAGCGGGAATTCATACAAATTGCAGACTGCAGCGTTCTGAGAAACATCTTTGTGATGTTTGTATTCAGGACACAGAGTTGGACATTCCCTATCATAGAGCAGGTTGGAATCACTCCTTTTGTAGTATCTGTAAGTGGACATTTGGAGCACTTTCAGGCCTATGTTGAAAAAGGAAATATCTTCCCATAACAACTAGACACAAGCATTCTCAGAAACTTATTTGAGATGTGTGTACTCAACTAAGAGAATTGAACCACCGTTTTGAAGGAGCAGTTTTGAAACACTCTTTTTCTGGAATCTGCAAGTGGATATTTGGCTAGCTTTGGGGATTTCGCTGGAAGCGGGAATACATATAAAAAGCACACAGCAGCGTTCTGAGAAACTGCTTTCTGATGTTTGCATTCAAGTCAAAAGTTGAACACTCCCTTTCATAGAGCAGTCCTGAAACACCCCTTTTGTAGTATCTGGAACTGGACTTTTGGAGCGATTTCAGGGCTAAGGTGAAAAAGGAAATATCTTCCCATAAAAACTGGACAGAAGCATTCTCAGAAACTTGTTTATGCTGTATCTACTCAACTAACAAAGTTGAACCTTTCTTTTGATAGAGCAGTTTTGAAATGCTCTTTTTGTGGAATCTGCAAGTGGATATTTGGCTAGTTTTGAGGATTTCGGTTGGAAGCGGGAATTCATACAAATTGCAGACTGCAGCGTTGTGAGAAACATCTTTGTGATGTTTGTATTCAGGACACAGAGTTGAACATTCCCTATCATAGAGCAGGTTGGAATCACTCCTTTTGTAGTATCTGGAAGTGGACATTTGGAGCGCTTTCAGGCCTATGTTGAAAAAGGAAATATCTTCCCATAACAACTAGGCAGAAGCATTCTCAGAAACTTGTTTGTGATGTGTGCCCTCTACTGACAGAGTTGAACCTTTCTTTTCATAGAGCAGTTTTGAAACACTCTTTTTGTAGAATCTGCAAGAGGATATTTGCATAGCTTTGAGGATTTCGTGGGAAACGGGATTGTCGTCAGGAAAAATCTAGACAGAAGCATTCTCAGAAACTTTTTCGGGATGTTTGCATTCAAGTCACAGAGTAGAACATTCCCTTTGGTAGAGCAGGTTTGAAACACTCTTTTTGTCGTATCTGGAAGTGGACATTTGTTGCGCTTTCAGGCCTATGTTGGAAAGGGAAATATCTTCCCTTAACAACTAGGCAGAAGCATTCTCAGAAACTTATTTGAGATGTGTGTACTCAACTAAGAGAATTGAACCACCGTTTTGAAGGAGCAGTTTGGAAACACTCTTTTTCTGGAATCTGCAAGAGGATATTTGCCTAGCTTTGAGGATTTCGTTGGAAAAGGGATTGTCTTCAGATCAAATCTAGACAGAAGCATTCTCAGAAACTTCTTTGGGATGTTTGCATTCAAGTCACAGAGTAGAGCATTCCCTTTGGTAGAGCAGGTTTGAAACACTCTTTTTGTAGTGTGTGTAAGTGGACATTTGGAGCGCTTTGAGGCCTACGTTGGAAAAGGAAATATCTTCCCATAACAACTAGACAGAAGCATTCTCAGAAACTAGTTTCTGATGTGTGTCCTCAACTAACACAGTTGAACATTTCTTTAGACAGAACAGTTTTGAAACACTCTTTTTGTGGAATCTGCAAGTGGATATTTGGCTAGATTTGAGGATTTCGTTGGAAACGGGATTACATATAAAAAGCAGACAGCAGCATTCTCAGAAAGTTCTTTGTGATGATTGCATTCAAGTCACAGAATTGAACATTCCCTTTCACAGAGCAGGTTTGAAACACTCTTTTTGTAGTGTGTGTAAGTGGACATTTGGAGCACTTTACCGGCCTAAGGTGAAAAAGGAAATATCTTCCCATAAAAACTAGACAGAAGCATTCTCAGAAACTTACTCGTGATGTGTGCCCTCAACTAAAGGAGTAGAACCTTTCTATTCATAGAGAAGTTTTGAAACGCTCTTTTTGTGGAATCTCCAAGTGGATATTTGGGTAGTTTTGAGGATTCCGTTGGAAGCGGGAATTCATACAAATTGCAGACTGCAGCGTTCTGAGAAACATCTTTGTGATGTTTGTATTCAGGACACAGAGTTGAACATTCCCTATCATAGAGCAGGTTTGAATCACTCCTTTTGTAGTATCTGGAAGTGGACATTTGGAGCGCTTTCAGGCCTATGTTGGAAAAGGAAATATCTTCCCATAACAACTAGACAGAAGCATTCTCAGAAACTTATTTGAGATGTGTGTACTCAACTAAGAGAATTGAACCACCGTTTTGAAGGAGCAGTTTTGAAACACTCTTTTTCTGGAATCTGCAAGTGGATATTTGGCTAGCTTTGGGGATTTCGCTGGAGGCGGGAATACATATAAAAAGCACACAGCAGCGTTCTGAGAAACTGCTTTCTGATGTTTGCATTCAAGTCAAAAGTTGAACACTCCCTTTCATAGAGCAGTCTTGAAACACCCCTTTTGTAGTATCTGGAACTGGACTTTTGGAGCGATTTCAGGGCTAAGGTGAAAAAGGAAATATCTTCCCATAAAAACTGGACAGAAGCATTCTCAGAAACTTGTTTATGCTGTATCTACTCAACTAACAAAGTTGAACCTTTCTTTTGATAGAGCAGTTTTGAAATGGTCTTTTTGTGGAATCTGCAAGTGGATATTTGGCTAGTTTTGAGGATTTCGTTGGAAGCGGGAATTCATACAAATTGCAGACTGCAGCGTTCTGAGAAACATCTTTGTGATGTTTGTATTCAGGACAGAGAGTTGAACATTCCCTATCATAGAGCAGGTTGGAATCACTCCTTTTGTAGTATCTGGAAGTGGACATTTGGAGCGCTTTCAGGCCTATGTTGAAAAAGGAAATATCTTCCCATAACAACTAGACACAAGCATTCTCAGAAACTTGTTTGTGATGTGTGCCCTCTACTGACAGAGTTGAACCTTTCTTTTCATAGAGCAGTTTTGAAACACTCTTTTTGTAGAATCTGCAAGAGGATATTTGCATAGCTTTGAGGATTTCGTGGGAAACGGGATTGTCTTCAGGTAAAATCTAGACAGAAGCATTCTCAGAAACTTCTTTGGGATGTTTGCATACAAGTCACAGAGCAGAACATTCCCTTTGGTAGAGCAGGTTTGAAACACTCTTTTTGTAGTATCTGGAAGTGGACATTTGGAGCGCTTTCAGGCCTATGTTGGAAAGGGAAATATCTTCCCGTAACAACTAGGCAGAAGCATTCTCAGAAACTTATTTGAGATGTGTGTACTCAACTAAGAGAATTGAACCACCGTTTTGAAGGAGCAGTTTTGAAACACTCTTTTTCTGGAATCTGCAAGAGGATATTTGCCTAGCCTTGAGGATTTCGTTGGAAACGGGATTGTCTTCAGATCAAATCTAGACAGAAGCATTCTCAGAAACTTCTTTGGGATGTTTGCATTCAAGTCACAGAGTAGAACATTCCCTTTGGTAGAGCAGGTTTGAAACACTCTTTTTTTAGTATATGGAAGTGGACATTTGGAGCGCTTTCAGGCCTACGTTGGAAAAGGAAATATCTTCCCATAACAACTAGACAGAAGCATTCTCAGAAACTAGTTTCTGATGTGTGTCCTCAACTAACACAGTTGAACATTTCTTTAGACAGAACAGTTTTGAAACACTCTTTTTGTGGAATCTGCAAGTGGCTATTTGGCTAGATTTGAGGATTTCGTTGGAAAGGGGATTACATATAAAAAGCAGACAGCAGCATTCTCAGAAACTTCTTTGTGATGATTGCATTCAAGTCACAGAATTGAACATTCCCTTTCACAGAGCAGGTTTGAAACACTCTTTTTGTAGTGTGTGTAAGTGGACATTTGGAGCGCTTTCCGGCCTAAGGTGAACAAGGAAATATCTTCCCATAAAAACTAGACAGAAGCATTCTCAGAAACTTACTCGTGATGTGTGTCCTCAACTAAAGGAGTAGAACCTTTCTTTTCATAGAGAAGTTTTGAAACGCTTTTTGTGGAATCTGCAAGTGGATATTTGGCTAGTTTGGAGGATTTCGTTGGAAGCGGGAATTCATACAAGATGCAGACTGCAGCGTTCTGAGAAACATCTTTGTGATGTTTGTATTCAGGACACAGAGTTGAACATTCCCTATCATAGAGCAGGTTTGAATCACTCCTTTTCTAGTATCTGGAAGTGGACATTTGGAGCGCTTTCAGGCCTATGTTGGAAAAGGAAATATCTTCCCATAACAAATAGACAGAAGCATTCTCAGAAACTTATTTGAGATGTGTGTACTCAACTAAGAGAATTGAACCACCGTTTTGAAGGAGCAGTTTTGAAACACTCTTTTTCTGGAATCTGCAAGTGGATATCTGGCTAGCTTTGGGGATTTCGCTGGAAGCGGGAATACATTTAAAAAGCACACAGCAGCATTCTCAGAAACTTATTTGAGATGTGTGTACTCAACTAAGAGAATTGAACCACCGTTTTGAAGGAGCAGTTTTGAAACACTCTTTTTCTGGAATCTGCAAGTGGATATTTGGCTAGCTTTGGGGATTTCGCTGGAAGCGGGAATACATATAAAAAGCACACAGCAGCGTTCTGAGAAACTGCTTTCTGATGTTTGCATTCAAGTCAAAAGTTGAACACTCCCTTTCATAGAGCAGTCTTGAAACACCCCTTTTGTAGTATCTGGAACTGGACTTTTGGAGCGATTTCAGGGCTAAGGTGAAAAAGGAAATATCTTCCCATAAAAACTGGACAGAAGCATTCTCAGAAACTTGTTTATGCTGTATCTACTCAACTAACAAAGTTGAACCTTTCTTTTGATAGAGCAGTTTTGAAATGGTCTTTTTGTGGAATCTGCAAGTGGATATTTGGCTAGTTTTGAGGATTTCGTTGGAAGCGGGAATTCATACAAATTGCAGACTGCAGCGTTCTGAGAAACATCTTTGTGATGTTTGTATTCAGGACACAGAGTTGAACATTCCCTATCATAGAGCAGGTTGGAATCACTCCTTTTGTAGTATCTGGAAGTGGACATTTGGAGCGCTTTCAGGCCTATTTTGGAAAGGGAAATATCTTCCCGTAACAACTATGCAGAAGCATTCTCAGAAACTTGTTTGTGATGTGTGCCCTCTACTGACAGAGTTGAACCTTTCTTTTCATAGAGCAGTTTTGAAACACTCTTTTTGTAGAATCTGCAAGAGGATATTTGCATAGCTTTGAGGATTTCGTGGGAAACGGGATTGTCTTCAGGTAAAATCTAGACAGAAGCATTCTCAGAAACTTCTTTGGGATGTTTGCATTCAAGTCACAGAGTAGAACATTCCCTTTGGTAGAGCAGGTTTGAAACACTCTTTTTGTAGTATCTGGAAGTGGACATTTGGAGCGCTTTCAGGCCCATGTTGGAAAGGGAAATATCTTCCCGTAACAACTAGGCAGAAGCATTCTCAGAAACTTATTTGAGATGTGTGTACTCAACTAAGAGAATTGAACCACCGTTTTGAAGGAGCAGTTTTGAAACACTCTTTTTCTGGAATCTGCAAGAGTATATTTGCCTAGCCTTGAGGATTTCGTTGGAAACGGGATTGTCTTCAGATCAAATCTAGACAGAAGCATTCTCAGAAACTTCTTTGGGATGTTTGCATTCAAGTCACAGAGTAGAACATTCCCTTTGGTAGAGCAGGTTTGAAACACTCTTTTTTTAGTATATGGAAGTGGACATTTGGAGCGCTTTCAGGCCTACGTTGGAAAAGGAAATATCTTCCCATAACAACTAGACAGAAGTATTCTCAGAAACTAGTTTCTGATGTGTGTCCTCAACTAACACAGTTGAACTTTTCTTTAGACAGAACAGTTTTGAAACACTCTTTTTGTGGAATCTGCAAGTGGCTATTTGGCTAGATTTGAGGATTTCGTTGGAAACGGGATTACATATAAAAAGCAGTCAGCAGCATTCTCAGAAACTTCTTTGTGATGATTGCATTCAAGTCACAGAATTGAACATTCCCTTTCACAGAGCAGGTTTGAAACACTCTTTTTGTAGAGTGTGTAAGTGGACATTTGGAGCACTTTTCGGCCTAAGGTGTACAAGGAAATATCTTCCCATAAGAACTAGACAGAAGCATTCTCAGAAACTTACTCGTGATGTGTGTCCTCAACTAAAGGAGTAGAAACTTTCTTTTCATAGAGAAGTTTTGAAACGCTCTTTTTGTGGACTCTGCAAGTGGATATTTGGCTAGTTTGGAGGATTTCGTTGGAAGCGGGAATTCATACAAATTGCAGACTGCAGCGTTCTGAGAAACATCTTTGTGATGTTTGTATTCAGGACACAGAGTTGAACATTCCCTATCATAGAGCAGGTTGGAATCACTCCTTTTGTAGTATCTGGAAGTGGACATTTGGAGCACTTTCAGGCCTATGTTAGAAAAGGAAATATCTTCCCATAACAACTAGACAGAAGCATTCTCAGAAACTTATTTGAGATGTGTGTACTCAACTAAGAGAATTGAACCACCGTTTTGAAGGAGCAGTTTTGAAACACTCTTTTTCTGGAATCTGCAAGTGGATATTTGGCTAGCTTTGGGGATTTCGCTGGAAGCGGGAATACATATAAAAAGCACACAGCAGCGTTCTGAGAAACTGCTTTCTGATGTTTGCATTCAAGTCAAAAGTTGAACACTCCCTTTCATAGAGCAGTCCTGAAACACCCCTTTTGTAGTATCTGGAACTGGACTTTTGGAGCGATTTCAGGGCTAAGGTGAAAAAGGAAATATCTTCCCATAAAAACTGGACAGAAGCATTCTCAGAAACTTGTTTATGCTGTATCTACTCAACTAACAAAGTTGAACCTTTCTTTTGATAGAGCAGTTTTGAAATGCTCTTTTTGTGGAATCTGCAAGTGGATATTTGGCTAGTTTTGAGGATTTCGTTGGAAGCGGGAATTCATACAAATTGCAGACTGCAGCGTTCTGAGAAACATCTTTGTGATGTTTGTATTCAGGACAGAGAGTTGAACATTCCCTATCATAGAGCAGGTTGGAATCACTCCTTTTGTAGTATCTGGAAGTGGACATTTGGAGCGCTTTCAGGCCGATGTTGAAAAAGGAAATATCTTCCCATAACAACTAGACACAAGCATTCTCAGAAACTTGTTTGTGATGTGTGCCCTCTACTGACAGAGTTGAACCTTTCTTTTCATAGAGCAGTTTTGAAACACTCTTTTTGTAGAATCTGCAAGAGGATATTTGCATAGCTTTGAGGATTTCGTGGGAAACGGGATTGTCTTCAGGTAAAATCTAGACAGAAGCATTCTCAGAAACTTCTTTGGGATGTTTGCATTCAAGACACAGAGTAGAACATTCCCTTTGGTAGAGCAGGTTTCAAACACTCTTTTTGTAGTATCTGGAAGTGGACATTTGGAGCGCTTTCAGGCCCATGTTGGAAAGGGAAATATCTTCCCGTAACAACTAGGCAGAAGCATTCTCAGAAACTTATTTGAGATGTGTGTACTCAACTAAGAGAATTGAACCACCGTTTTGAAGGAGCAGTTTTGAAACACTCTTTTTCTGGATTCTGCAAGAATATATTTGCCTAGCCTTGAGGATTTCGTTGGAAACGGGATTGTCTTCAGATAAAATCTAGACAGAAGCATTCTCAGAAACTTCTTTGGGATGTTTGCATTCAAGTCACAGAGTAGAACATTCCCTTTGGTAGAGCAGGTTTGAAACACTCTTTTTTTAGTATATGGAAGTGGACATTTGGAGCGCTTTCAGGCCTACGTTGGAAAAGGAAATATCTTCCCATAACAACTAGACAGAAGCATTCTCAGAAAGTAGTTTCTGATGTGTGTCCTCAACTAACACAGTTGAACATTTCTTTAGACAGAACAGTTTTGAAACTCTCTTTTTGTGGAATCTGCAAGTGGCTATTTGGCTAGATTTGAGGATTTCGTTGGAAACGGGATTACATATAAAAAGCAGACAGCAGCATTCTCAGAAAGTTCTTTGTGATGATTGCATTCAAGTCACAGAATTGAACATTCCCTTTCACAGAGCAGGTTTGAAACACTCTTTTTGTAGTGTGTGTAAGTGGACATTTGGAGCACTTTCCGGCCTAAGGTGAAAAAGGAAATATCTTCCCATAAAAACTAGACAGAAGCATTCTCAGAAACTTACTCGTGATGTGTGTCCTCAACTAAAGGAGTAGAACCTTTCTATTCATAGAGAAGGTTTGAAACGCTCTTTTTGTGGAATCTCCAAGTGGATATTTGGCTAGTTTTGAGGATTTCGTTGGATGCGGGAATTCATACAAATTGCAGACTGCAGCGTTCTGAGAAACATCTTTGTGATGTTTGTATTCAGGACACAGAGATGAACATTACCTATCATAGAGCAGGTTGGAATCACTCCTTTTGTAGTATCTGGAAGTGGACATTTGGGGCGCTATCAGGCCTATGTTGAAAAAGGAAATATCTTCCCATAACAACTAGACACAAGCATTCTCAGAAACTTATTTGAGATGTGTGTACTCAACTAAGAGAATTGAACCACCGTTTTGAAGGAGCAGTTTTGAAACACTCTTTTTCTGGAATCTGCAAGTGGATATTTGGCTAGCTTTGGGGATTTCGCTGGAAGCGGGAATACATATAAAAAGCACACAGCAGCGTTCTGAGAAACTGCTTTCTGATGTTTGCATTCAAGTCAAAAGTTGAACACTCCCTTTCATAGAGCAGTCTTGAAACACCCCTTTTGTAGTATCTGGAACTGGACTTTTGGAGCGATTTCAGGGCTAAGGTGAAAAAGGAAATATCTTCCCATAAAAACTGGACAGAAGCATTCTCAGAAACTTGGTTATGCTGTATCTACTCAACTAACAAAGTTGAACCTTTCTTTTGATAGAGCAGTTTTGAAATGGTCTTTTTGTGGAATCTGCAAGTGGATATTTGGCTAGTTTTGAGGATTTCGTTGGAAGCGGGAATTCATACAAATTGCAGACTGCAGCGTTCTGAGAAACATCTTTGTGATGTTTGTATTCAGGACACAGAGATGAACATTCCCTATCATAGAGCAGGTTGGAATCACTCCTTTTGTAGTATCTGGAAGTGGACATTTGGAGCGCTTTCAGGCCTATGTTGAAAAAGGAAATATCTTCCCATAACAACTAGACACAAGCATTCTCAGAAACTTGTTTGTGATGTGTGCCCTCTACTGACAGAGTTGAACCTTTCTTTTCATAGAGCAGTTTTGAAACACTCTTTTTGTAGAATCTGCAAGAGGATATTTGCATAGCTTTGAGGATTTCGTGGGAAACGGGATTGCCTTCAGGTAAAATCTAGACAGAAGCATTCTCAGAAACTTCTTTGGGATGTTTGCATTCAAGTCACAGAGTAGAACATTCCCTTTGGTAGAGCAGGTTTGAAACACTCTTTTTGTAGTATCTGGAAGTGGACATTTGGAGCGCTTTCAGGCCCATGTTGGAAAGGGAAATATCTTCCCGTAACAACTAGGCAGAAGCGTTCTCAGAAACTTGTTTGTGATGTGTGCCCTCTACTGACAGAGTTGAACCTTTCTTTTCATAGAGCAGTTTTGAAACACTCTTTTTGTAGAATCTGCAAGAGGATATTTGCATAGCTTTGAGGATTTCGTGGGAAAAGGGATTGTCTTCAGGTAAAATCTAGACAGAAGCATTCTCAGAAACTTCTTTGGGATGTTTGCATTCAAGTCACAGAGTAGAACATTCCCTTTGGTAGAGCAGGTTTGAAACACTCTTTTTTTAGTATATGGAAGTGGACATTTGGAGCGCTTTCAGGCCTACGTTGGAAAAGGAAATATCTTCCCATAACAACTAGACAGAAGCATTCTCAGAAACTAGTTTCTGATGTGTGTCCTCAACTAACACAGTTGAACATTTCTTTAGACAGAACAGTTTTGAAACACTCTTTTTGTGGAATCTGCAAGTGGCTATTTGGCTAGATTTGAGGATTTCGTTGGAAACGGGATTACATATAAAAAGCAGTCAGCAGCATTCTCAGAAAGTTCTTTGTGATGATTGCATTCAAGTCACAGAATTGAACATTCCCTTTCACAGAGCAGGTTTGAAACACTCTTTTTGTAGTGTGTGTAAGTGGACATTTGGAGCACTTACCGGCCTAAGGTGAAAAAGGAAATATCTTCCCATAAAAACTAGACAGAAGCATTCTCAGAAACTTACTCGTGATGTGTGTCCTCAACTAAAGGAGTAGAACCTTTCTTTTCATAGAGAAGTTTTGAAACGCTCTTTTTGTGGAATCTGCAAGTGGATATTTGGCTAGTTTTGAGGATTTCGTTGGAAGCGGGAATTCATACAAATTGCAGACTGCAGCGTTCTGAGAAACATCTTTGTGATGTTTGTATTCAGGACACAGAGTTGAACATTCCCTATCATAGAGCAGGTTTGAATCACTCCTTTTGTAGTATCTGGAAGTGGACATTTGGAGCGCTTTCAGGCCTATGTTGGAAAAGGAAATATCTTCCCATAACAACTAGACAGAAGCATTCTCAGAAACTTATTTGAGATGTGTGTACTCAACTAAGAGAATTGAACCACCGTTTTGAAGGAGCAGTTTTGAAACACTCTTTTTCTGGAATCTGCAAGTGGATATTTGGCTAGCTTTGGGGATTTCGCTGGAAGCGGGAATACATATAAAAAGCACACAGCAGCGTTCTGAGAAACTGCTTTCTGATGTTTGCATTCAAGTCAAAAGTTGAACACTCCCTTTCATAGAGCAGTCCTGAAACACCCCTTTTGTAGTATCTGGAACTGGACTTTTGGAGCGATTTCAGGGCTAAGGTGAAAAAGGAAATATCTTCCCATAAAAACTGGACAGAAGCATTCTCAGAAACTTGTTTATGCTGTATCTACTCAACTAACAAAGTTGAACCTTTCTTTTGATAGAGCAGTTTTGAAATGGTCTTTTTGTGGAATCTGCAAGTGGATATTTGGCTAGTTTTGAGGATTTCGTTGGAAGCGGGAATTCATACAAATTGCAGACTGCAGCGTTCTGAGAAACATCTTTGTGATGTTTGTATTCAGGACACAGAGTTGAACATTCCCTATCATAGAGCAGGTTGGAATCACTCCTTTTGTAGTATCTGGAAGTGGACATTTGGAGCGCTTTCAGGCCTATGTTGAAAAAGGAAATATCTTCCCATAACAACTAGACACAAGCATTCTCAGAAACTTGTTTGTGATGTGTGCCCTCTACTGACAGAGTTGAACCTTTCTTTTCATAGAGCAGTTTTGAAACACTCTTTTTGTAGAATCTGCAAGAGGATATTTGCATAGCTTTGAGGATTTCGTGGGAAACGGGATTGTCTTCAGGTAAAATCTAGACAGAAGCATTCTCAGAAACTTCTTTGGGATGTTTGCATTCAAGTCACAGAGTAGAACATTCCCTTTGGTAGAGCAGGTTTGAAACACTCTTTTTGTAGTATCTGGAAGTGGACATTTGGAGCGCTTTCAGGCCCATGTTGGAAAGGGAAATATCTTCCCGTAACAACTAGGCAGAAGCATTCTCAGAAACTTATTTGAGATGTGTGTACTCAACTAAGAGAATTGAACCACCGTTTTGAAGGAGCAGTTTTGAAACACTCTTTTTCTGGAATCTGCAAGAGGATATTTGCCTAGCCTTGAGGATTTCGTTGGAAACGGGATTGTCTTCAGATCAAATCTAGACAGAAGCATTCTCAGAAACTTCTTTGGGATGTTTGCATTCAAGTCACAGAGTAGAACATTCCCTTTGGTAGAGCAGGTTTGAAACACTCTTTTTTTAGTATATGGAAGTGGACATTTGGAGCGCTTTCAGGCCTACGTTGGAAAAGGAAATATCTTCCCATAACAACTAGACAGAAGCTTTCTCAGAAACTAGTTTCTGATGTGTGTCCTCAACTAACACAGTTGAACATTTCTTTAGACAGAACAGTTTTGAAACTCTCTTTTTGTGGAATCTGCAAGTGGCTATTTGGCTAGATTTGAGGATTTCGTTGGAAACGGGATTACATATAAAAAGCAGACAGCAGCATTCTCAGAAAGTTCTTTGTGATGATTGCATTCAAGTCACAGAATTGAACATTCCCTTTCACAGAGCAGGTTTGAAACACTCTTTTTGTAGTGTGTGCAAGTGGACATTTGGAGCGCTTTCCGGCCTAAGGTGAAAAAGGACATATCTTCCCATAAAAACTAGACAGAAGCATTCTCAGAAACTTACTCGTGATGTGTGTCCTCAACTAAAGGAGTAGAACCTTTCTATTCATGGAGAAGTTTTGAAACGCTCTTTTTGTGGAATCTCCAAGTGGATATTTGGCTAGTTTTGAGGATTTCGTTGGAAGCGGGAATTCATCCAAATTGCAGACTGCAGCGTTCTGAGAAACATCTTTGTGATGTTTGTATTCAAGACACAGAGATGAACATTCCCTATCATAGAGCATGTTGGAATCACTCCTTTTGTAGTATCTGTAAGTGGACATTTGGAGCGCTTTCAGGCCTATGTTGAAAAAGGAAATATCTTCCCATAACAACTAGACACAAGCATTCTCAGAAACTTATTTGAGATGTGTGTACTCAACTAAGAGAATTGAACCACCGTTTTGAAGGAGCAGTTTTGAAACTCTCTTTTTCTGGAATCTGCAAGTGGATATTTGGCTAGCTTTGGGGATTTCGCTGGAAGCGGGAATACATATAAAAAGCACACAGCAGCGTTCTGAGAAACTGCTTTCTGATGTTTGCATTCAAGTCAAAAGTTGAACACTCCCTTTCATAGAGCAGTCCTGAAACACCCCTTTTGTAGTATCTGGAACTGGACTTTTGGAGCGATTTCAGGGCTAAGGTGAAAAAGGAAATATCTTCCCATAAAAACTGGACAGAAGCATTCTCAGAAACTTGTTTATGCTGTATCTACTCAGCTAACAAAGTTGAACCTTTCTTTTGATAGAGCAGTTTTGAAATGCTCTTTTTGTGGAGTCTACAAGTGGATATTTGGCTAGTTTTGAGGATTTCGTTGGAAGCGGGAATTCATATAAATTGCAGACTGCAGCGTTCTGAGAAACATCTTTGTGATGTTTGTATTCAGGACACAGAGTTGAACATTCCCTATCATAGAGGAGGTTGGAATCACTCCTTTTGTAGTATCTGGAAGTGGCCATTTCGAGCGCTTTGAGGCCTATGTTGAAAAAGGAAATATCTTCCCATAACAAGTAGACACAAGCATTCTCAGAAACTTGTTGTGATGTGTGCCCTCTACTGACAGAGTTGAACCTTTCTTTTCATAGAGCAGTTTCGAAACACTCTTTTTGTAGAATCTGCAAGAGGATATTTGCATAGCTTTGAGGATTTCGTGGGAAACGGGATTGTCTTCAGGTAAAATCTAGACAGAAGCATTCTCAGAAAATTCTTCGGGATGTTTGCATTCAAGTCACAGAGTAGAACATTCCCTTTGGTAGAGCAGGTTTGAAACACTCTTTTTGTAGTATCTGGAAGTGGACATTTGGAGCGCTTTCAGGCCTATGTTGGAAAGGGAAATATCTTCCCGTAACAACTAGGCAGAAGCATTCTCAGAAACTTATTTGAGATGTGTGTACTCAACTAAGAGAATTGAACCACCGTTTTGAAGGAGCAGTTTTGAAACACTCTTTTTCTGGAATCTGCAAGAGTATATTTGCCTAGCCTTGAGGATTTCGTTGGAAACGGGATTGTCTTCAGAGAAAATCTAGACAGAAGCATTCTCAGAAACTTCTTTGGGATGTTTGCATTCAAGTCACAGAGTAGAACATTCCCTTTGGTAGAGCAGGTTGGAAACACTCTTTTTTAGTATATGGAAGTGGACATTTGGAGCGCTTTCAGGCCTACGTTGGAAAAGGAAATATCTTCCCATAACAACTAGACAGAAGCATTCTCAGAAACTAGTTTCTGATGTGTGTCCTCAACTAACACAGTTGAACATTTCTTTAGACAGAACAGTTTTGAAACACTCTTTTTGTGGAATCTGCAAGTGGCTATTTGGCTAGATTTGAGGATTTCGTTGGAAACGGGATTACATATAAAAAGCAGACAGCAGCATTCTCAGAAAGTTCTTTGTGATGATTGCATTCAAGTCACAGAATTGAACATTCCCTTTCACAGGGCTGGTTTGAAACACTCTTTTTGTAGTGTGTGTAAGTGGACATTTGGAGCACTTTCCGGCCTAAGGTGAAAAAGGAAATATCTTCCCATAAAAACTAGACAGAAGCATTCTCAGAAACTTACTCGTGATGTGTGTCCTCAACTAAAGGAGTAGAACATTTCTATTCATAGAGAAGTTTTGAAACGCTCTTTTTGTGGAATCTCCAAGTGGATATTTGGCTAGTTTTGAGGATTTCGTTGGAAGCGGGAATTCATACAAATTGCAGACTGCAGCATTCTCAGAAACTTGTTTATGCTGTATCTACTCAACTAACAAAGTTGAACCTTTCTTTTGATAGAGCAGTTTTGAAATGCTCTTTTTGTGGAATCTGCAAGTGGATATTTGGCTAGGTTTGAGGATTTCGTTGGAAGCGGGAATTCATACAAATTGCAGACTGCAGCATTCTCAGAAACTTATTTGAGATGTGTGTACTCAACTAAGAGAATTGAACCACCGTTTTGAAGGAGCAGTTTTGAAACACTCTTTTTCTGGAATCTGCAAGTGGATATTTGGCTAGCTTTGGGGATTTCGCTGGAAGCGGGAATACATATAAAAAGCACACAGCAGCGTTCTGAGAAACTGCTTTCTGATGTTTGCATTCAAGTCAAAAGTTGAACACTCCCTTTCATAGAGCAGTCTTGAAACACCCCTTTTGTAGTATCTGGAACTGGACTTTTGGAGCGATTTCAGGGCTAAGGTGAAAAAGGAAATATCTTCCCATAAAAACTGGACAGAAGCATTCTCAGAAACTTGTTTATGCTGTATCTACTCAACTAACAAAGTTGAACCTTTCTTTTGATAGAGCAGTTTTGAAATGGTCTTTTTGTGGAATCTGCAAGTGGATATTTGGCTAGTTTTGAGGATTTCGTTGGAAGCGGGAATTCATACAAATTGCAGACTGCAGCGTTATGAGAAACATCTTTGTGATGTTTGTATTCAGGACACAGAGATGAACATTCCCTATCATAGAGCAGGTTGGAATCACTAGTTTTGTAGTATCTGGAAGTGGACATTTGGAGTGCTTTCAGGCCTATGTTGAAAAAGGAAATATCTTCCCATAACAACTAGACACAAGCATTCTCAGAAACTTGTTTGTGATGTGTGCCCTCTACTGACAGAGTTGAATCTTTCTTTTCATAGAGCAGTTTTGAAACACTCTTTTTGTAGAATCTGCAAGAGGATATTTGCATAGCTTTGAGGATTTCGTGGGAAACGGGATTGTCTTCAGGTAAAATCTAGACAGAAGCATTCTCAGAAACTTCTTTGGGATGTTTGCATTCAAGTCACAGAGTAGAACATTCCCTTTGGTAGAGCAGGTTTGAAACACTCTTTTTGTAGTATCTGGAAGTGGACATTTGGAGCGCTTTCAGGCCTATGTTGGAAAGGGAAATATCTTCCCGTAACAACTAGGCAGAAGCATTCTCAGAAACTTATTTGAGATGTGTGTACTCAACTAAGAGAATTGAATCACCGTTTTGAAGGAGCAGTTTTGAAACACTCTTTTTCTGGAATCTGCAAGAGTATATTTGCCTAGCCTTGAGGATTTCGTTGGAAAAGGGATTGTCTTTAGATCAAATCTAGACAGAAGCATTCTCAGAAACTTCTTTGGGATGTTTGCATTCAAGTCACAGAGTAGAACATTCCCTTTGGTAGAGCAGGTTTGAAACACTCTTTTTTTAGTATATGGAAGTGGACATTTGGAGCGCTTTCAGGCCTACGTTGGAAAAGGAAATATCTTCCCATAACAACTAGACAGAAGCATTCTCAGAAACTAGTTTCTGATGTGTGTCCTCAACTAACACAGTTGTACATTTCTTTATACAGAACAGTTTTGAAACACTCTTTTTGTGGAATCTGCAAGTGGATATTGGGCTAGATTTGAGGATTTCGTTGGAAACGGGATTACATATAAAAAGCAGTCAGCAGCATTCTCAGAAAGTTCTTTGTGATGATTGCATTCAAGTCACAGAATTGAACATTCCCTTTCACAGAGCAGGTTTGAAAGACTCTTTTTGTAGTGTGTGTAAGTGGACATTTGGAGCACTTACCGGCCTAAGGTGAAAAAGGAAATATCTTCCCATAAAAACTAGACAGAAGCATTCTCAGAAACTTACTCGTGATGTGTGTCCTCAACTAAAGGAGTAGAACCTTTCTATTCATAGAGAAGTTTTGAAACCCTCTTTTTGTGGAATCTCCAAGTGGATATTTGGCTAGTTTTGAGGATTTCGTTGGAAGCGGGAATTCATACAAATTGCAGACTGCAGCATTCTCAGAAACTTATTTGAGATGTGTGTACTCAACTAAGAGAATTGAACCACCGTTTTGAAGGAGCAGTTTTGAAACACTCTTTTTCTGGAATCTGCAAGTGGATATTTGGCTAGCTTTGGGGATTTCGCTGGAAGCGGGAATACATATAAAAAGCACACAGCAGCGTTCTGAGAAACTGCTTTCTGATGTTTGCATTCAAGTCAAAAGTTGAACACTCCCTTTCATAGAGCAGTCTTGAAACACCCCTTTTGTAGTATCTGGAACTGGACTTTTGGAGCGATTTCAGGGCTAAGGTGAAAAAGGAAATATCTTCCCATAAAAACTGGACAGAAGCATTCTCAGAAACTTGGTTATGCTGTATCTACTCAACTAACAAAGTTGAACCTTTCTTTTGATAGAGCAGTTTTGAAATGGTCTTTTTGTGGAATCTGCAAGTGGATATTTGGCTAGTTTTGAGGATTTCGTTGGAAGCGGGAATTCATACAAATTGCAGACTGCAGCGTTCTGAGAAACATCTTTGTGATGTTTGTATTCAGGACACAGGGTTGAACATTACCTATCGTAGAGCAGGTTGGAATCACTCCTTTTGTAGTATCTGGAAGTGGCCATTTGGAGTGCTTTCAGGCCTATGTTGAAAAAGGAAATATCTTCCCAAAACAACTAGACAGAAGCATTCTCAGAAACTTGTTTGTGATGTGTGCCCTCTACTGACAGAGTTGAACCTTTCCTTTCATAGAGCAGTTTCGAAACACTCTTTGTGTAGAATCTGCAAGAGGATATTTGCATAAGTTTGAGGATTTCGTTGGAAACGGGATTGTCTTCAGGTAAAATCAAGACAGAAGCATTCTCAGAAACTTCTTTGGGATGTTTGCATTCAAGTCACAGAGGAGAACATTCCCTTTGGTAGAGCAGGTTTGAAACACTCTTTTTGTAGTATCTGGAAGTGGACATTTGGAGCGCTTCCAGTCCTACGTTGGAAAAGGAAATATCTTCCCATAACAACTAGACAGAAGCCTTCTCAGAAACTAGTTTCTGAGGTGTGTCCTCAACTAACAGAGTTGAACCTTTCTTTTGACAGACCAGTTTTGAAACACTCTTTTTGAGGAATCTGCAAGTGGATATTTGGCTAGATTTGAGGATTTCGTTGGACACGGGATTACGAATAAAAAGCAGACAGCAGCATTCTCAGAAACTTCTTTGTGGTGATTGCATTCAAGTCACAGAATTGAACATTCCCTTTCACAGAGCAGGTTTGAAACACTCTTTTGTAGTGTCTGTAAGTGGACATTTGGAGCGCTTTCCGGCCTCAGGTGAAAAAGGAAATATCTTCCCATAAAAACTAGACAGAAGCATTCTCAGAAACTTACTCGTGATGGGTGTCCTCAACTAAAGGAGTAGAACCTTTCTTTTCATAGAGAAGTTTTGAAACGCTCTTTTTGTGGAATCTGCAAGTGGATATTTGGCTAGTTTTGAGGATTTCGTTGGAAGCGGGAATTCATGCAAATTGCAGACTGCAGCGTTCTGAGAAACATCTTTGTGATGTTTGTATTTAGGACACAGAGTTGAACATTCCCTATCATAGAGCAGGTTGGAATCACTCCTTTTGTGGTATCTGGAAGTGGACGTTTGGAGCGCTTTCAGGCCTATGTTGGAAAAGGAAATATCCTCCCATAACAGCTAGACAGAAGCATTCTCAGAAACCTATTTGAGATGTGTGTACTCAACTAGGAGAATTGAACCGCCGTTTTGAAGGAGCAGTTTTGAAACACTCGTTTTCTGGAATCTGCAAGTGGATATTTGGCTAGCTTTGGGGATTTCGCTGGAAGCGGGAATACATATAAAAAGCACACAGCAGCGTTCTGAGAAACTGCTTTCTGATGTTTGCATTCAAGTCAAAAGTTGAACACTCCCTTTCATAGAGCAGGCCTGAAACACCCCTTTTGTAGAATCTGGAAGTGGACATTTGGAGCGCTTTCAGGGCTAAGGTGAAAAAGGAAATATCTTCCCATAAAAACTGGACAGAAGCATTCTCAGAAACTTGGTTATGCTGTATCTACTCAACTAACAAAGTTGAACCTTTCTTTTGATAGAGCAGTTTTGAAATGGTCTTTTTGTGGAATCTGCAAGTGGATATTTGGCTAGTTTTGAGGATTTCGTTGGAAGCGGGAATTCATACAAATTGCAGACTGCAGCGTTCTGAGAAACATCTTTGTGATGTTTGTATTCAGGACAGAGAGTTGAACATTCCCTATCATAGAGCAGGTTGGAATCACTCCTTTTGTAGTATCTGGAAGTGGACATTTGGAGCGCTTTCAGGCCTATGTTGAAAAAGGAAATATCTTCCCATAACAACTAGACACAAGCATTCTCAGAAACTTGTTTGTGATGTGTGCCCTCTACTGACAGAGTTGAACCTTTCTTTTCATAGAGCAGTTTTGAAACACTCTTTTTGTAGAATCTGCAAGAGGATATTTGCATAGCTTTGAGGATTTCGTGGGAAACGGGATTGTCTTCAGGTAAAATCTAGACAGAAGCATTCTCAGAAACTTCTTTGGGATGTTTGCATTCAAGTCACAGAGTAGAACATTCCCTTTGGTAGAGCAGGTTTGAAACCCTCTTTTTGTAGTATCTGGAAGTGGACATTTGGAGCGCTTTCAGGCCCATGTTGGAAAGGGAAATATCTTCCCGTAACAACTAGGCAGAAGCATTCTCAGAAACTTATTTGAGATGTGTGTACTCAACTAAGAGAATTTAACCAACGTTTTGAAGGAGCAGTTTTGAAACACTCTTTTTCTGGAATCTGCAAGAGTATATTTGCCTAGCCTTGAGAATTTCGTTGGAAACGGGATTGTCTTCAGATAAAATCTAGACAGAAGCATTCTCAGAAACTTCTTTGGGATGTTTGCATTCAAGTCACAGAGTAGAACATTCCCTTTGGTAGAGCAGGTTTGAAACACTCTTTTTTTAGTATATGGAAGTGGACATTTGGAGCGCTTTCAGGCCTACGTTGGAAAAGGAAATATCTTCCCATAACAACTAGACAGAAGCATTCTCAGAAACTAGTTTCTGATGTGTGTCCTCAACTAACACAGTTGAACTTTTCTTTAGACAGAACAGTTTTGAAACACTCTTTTTGTGGAATCTGCAAGTGGATATTTGGCTAGATTTGAGGATTTCGTTGGAAACGGGATTACATATAAAAAGCAGACAGCAGCATTCTCAGAAAGTTCTTTGTGATGATTGCATTCAAGTCACAGAATTGAACATTCCCTTTCACAGAGCAGGTTTGAAACCCTCTTTTTGTAGTGTGTGTAAGTGGACATTTGGAGCACTTTCCGGCCTAAGGTGAAAAAGGAAATATCTTCCCATAAAAACTAGACAGAAGCATTCTCAGAAACTTACTCGTGATGTGTGTCCTCAACTAAAGGAGTAGAACCTTTCTTTTCATAGAGAAGTTTTGAAACGCTCTTTTTGTGGAATCTGCAAGTGGATATTTGGCTAGTTTGGAGGATTTCGTTGGAAGCGGGAATTCATACAAATTGCAGACTGCAGCGTTCTGAGAAACATCTTTGTGATGTTTGTATTCAGGACACAGAGTTGAACATTCCCTATCATAGAGCAGGTTTGAATCACTCCTTTTGTAGTATCTGGAAGTGGACATTTGGAGCGCTTTCAGGCCTATGTTGGAAAAGGAAATATCTTCCCATAACAACTAGACAGAAGCATTCTCAGAAACTTATTTGAGATGTGTGTACTCAACTAAGAGAATTGAACCACCGTTTTGAAGGAGCAGTTTTGAAACACTCTTTTTCTGGAATCTGCAAGTGGATATTTGGCTAGCTTTGGGGATTTCGCTGGAAGCGGGAATACATATAAAAAGCACACAGCAGCGTTCTGAGAAACTGCTTTCTGATGTTTGCATTCAAGTCAAAAGTTGAACACTCCCTTTCATAGAGCAGTCTTGAAACACCCCTTTTGTAGTATCTGGAACTGGACATTTGGAGCGCTTTCAGGGTTAAGGTGAAAAAGGAAATATCTTCCCATAAAAACTGGACAGAAGCATTCTCAGAAACTTGTTTATGCTGTATCTACTCAACTAACAAAGTTGAACCTTTCTTTTGATAGAGCAGTTTTGAAATGCTCTTTTTGTGGAATCTGCAAGTGGATATTTGGCTAGGTTTGAGGATTTCGTTGGAAGCGGGAATTCATACAAATTGCAGACTGCAGCGTTCTGAGAAACATCTTTGTGATGTTTGTATTCAGGACACAGAGTTGAACATTCCCTATCATCGAGCAGGTTGGAATCACTCCTTTTGTAGTATCTGGAAGTGGACATTTGGAGCGCTTTCAGGCCTATGTTGAAAAAGGAAATATCTTCCCATAACAACTAGGCAGAAGCGTTCTGAGAAACTGCTTTCTGATGTTTGCATTCAAGTCAAAAGTTGAACACTCCCTTTCATAGAGCAGTCCTGAAACACCCCTTTTGTAGTATCTGGAACTGGACTTTTGGAGCGATTTCAGGGCTAAGGTGAAAAAGGAAATATCTTCCCATAAAAACTGGACAGAAGCATTCTCAGAAACTTGTTTATGCTGTATCTACTCAACTAACAAAGTTGAACCTTTCTTTTGATAGAGCAGTTTTGAAATGGTCTTTTTGTGGAATCTGCAAGTGGATATTTGGCTAGTTTTGAGGATTTCGTTGGAAGCGGGAATTCATACAAATTGCAGACTGCAGCGTTCTGAGAAACATCTTTGTGATGTTTGTATTCAGGACACAGAGTTGAACATTCCCTATCATAGAGCAGGTTGGAATCACTCCTTTTGTAGTATCTGGAAGTGGACATTTGGAGCGCTTTCAGGCCTATGTTGAAAAAGGAAATATCTTCCCATAACAAGTAGACACAAGCATTCTCAGAAACTTGTTTGTGATGTGTGCCCTCTACTGACAGAGTTGAACCTTTCTTTTCATAGAGCAGTTTCGAAACACTCTTTTTGTAGAATCTGCAAGAGGATATTTGCATAGCTTTGAGGATTTCGTGGGAAACGGGATTGTCTTCAGGTAAAATCTGGAGAGAAGCATTCTCAGAAACTTCTTTGGGATGTTTGCATTCAAGTCACAGAGTAGAACATTCCCTTTGGTAGAGCAGGTTTGAAACCCTCTTTTTGTAGTATCTGGAAGTGGACATTTGGAGCGCTTTCAGGCCCATGTTGGAATGGGAAATATCTTCCCGTAACAACTAGGCAGAAGCATTCTCAGAAACTTATTTGAGATGTGTGTACTCAACTAAGAGAATTGAACCACCGTTTTGAAGGAGCAGTTTTGAAACACTCTTTTTCTGGAATCTGCAAGAGTATATTTGCCTAGCCTTGAGGATTTCGTTGGAAACGGGATTGTCTTCAGAGAAAATCTAGACAGAAGCATTCTCAGAAACTTCTTTGGGATGCTTGCATTCAAGTCACAGAGTAGAACATTCCCTTTGGTAGAGCAGGTTTGAAACACTCTTTTTGTAGTATCTGGAAGTGGACATTTGGAGCGCTTTCAGGCCTACGTTGGAAAAGGAAATATCTTCCCATAACAACTAGACAGAAGCATTCTCAGAAACTAGTTTCTGATGTGTGTCCTCAACTAACACAGTTGAACATTTCTTTAGACAGAACAGTTTTGAAACACTCTTTTTGTGGAATCTGCAAGTGGCTATTTGGCTAGATTTGAGGATTTCGTTGGAAACGGGATTACATATAAAAAGCAGTCAGCAGCATTCTCAGAAACTTCTTTGTGATGATTGCATTCAAGTCACAGAATTGAACATTCCCTTTCACAGAGCAGGTTTGAAACACTCTTTTTGTAGTGTGTGTAAGTGGACATTTGGAGCACTTTCCGGCCTAAGGTGAAAAAGGAAATATCTTCCCATAAAAACTAGACAGAAGCACTCTCAGAAACTTACTCGTGATGTGTGTCCTCAACTAAAGGAGTAGAACCTTTCTTTTCATAGAGAAGTTTTGAAACGCTCTTTTTGTGGAATCTGCAAGTGGATATTTGGCTAGTTTGGAGGATTTCGTTGGAAGCGGGAATTCATACAAATTGCAGACTGCAGCGTTCTGAGAAACATCTTTGTGATGTTTGTATTCAGGACACAGAGTTGAACATTCCCTATCATAGAGCAGGTTTGAATCACTCCTTTTGTAGTATCTGGAAGTGGACATTTGGAGCGCTTTCAGGCCTATGTTGGAAAAGGAAATATCTTCCCATAACAACTAGACAGAAGCATTCTCAGAAACTTATTTGAGATGTGTGTACTCAACTAAGAGAATTGAACCACCGTTTTGAAGGAGCAGTTTTGAAACACTCTTTTTCTGGAATCTGCAAGTGGATATTTGGCTAGCTTTGGGGATTTCGCTGGAGGCGGGAATACATATAAAAAGCACACAGCAGCGTTCTGAGAAATTGCTTTCTGATGTTTGCATTCAAGTCAAAAGTTGAACACTCCCTTTCATAGAGCAGTCCTGAAACACTCCTTTTGTAGTATCTGGAACTGGACTTTTGGAGCGCTTTCAGGGCTAAAGTGAAAAAGGAAATATCTTCCCATAAAAACTGGACAGAAGCATTCTCAGAAACTTGTTTATGCTGTATCTACTCAACTAACAAAGTTGAACCTTTCTTTTGATAGAGCAGTTTTGAAATGCTCTTTTTGTGGAATCTGCAAGTGGATATTTGGCTAGTTTTGAGGATTTCGTTGGAAGCGGGAATTCATACAAATTGCAGACTGCAGCGTTCTGAGAAACATCTTTGTGATGTTTGTATTCAGGACAGAGAGTTGAACATTCCCTATCATAGAGCAGGTTGGAATCACTCCTTTTGTAGTATCTGGAAGTGGACATTTGGAGCGCTTTCAGGCCTATGTTGAAAAAAGAAATATCTTCCCATAACAACTAGACACAAGCATTCTCAGAAACTTGTTTGTGATGTGTGCCCTCTACTGACAGAGTTGAACCTTTCTTTTCATAGAGCAGTTTTGAAACACTCTTTTTGTAGAATCTGCAAGAGGATATTTGCATAGCTTTGAGGATTTCGTGGGAAACGGGATTGTCTTCAGGTAAAATCTAGACAGAAGCATTCTCAGAAACTTCTTCGGGATGTTTGCATTCAAGTCACAGAGTAGAACATTCCCTTTGGTAGAGCAGGTTTGAAACACTCTTTTTGTCGTATCTGGAAGTGGACATTTGTTGCGCTTTCAGGCCTATGTTGGAAAGGGAAATATCTTCCCGTAACAACTAGGCAGAAGCATTCTCAGAAACTTATTTGAGATGGGTGTACTCAACTAAGAGAATTGAACCACCCTTTTCAAGGAGCAGTTTTGAAACACTCTTTTTCTGGAATCTGCAAGAGTATATTTGCCTAGCTTTGAGGATTTCGTTGGAAACGGGATTGTCTTCAGATAAAATCTAGACAGAAGCATTCTCAGAAACTTCTTTGGGATGTTTGCATTCAAGTCACAGAGTAGAACATTCCCTTTGGTAGAGCAGGTTTGAAACACTCTTTTTTTAGTATATGGAAGTGGACATTTGGATCGCTTTCAGGCCTACGTTGGAAAAGGAAATATCTTCCCATAACAACTAGACAGAAGCATTCTCAGAAACTAGTTTCTGATGTGTGTCCTCAACTAACACAGTTGAACATTTCTATAGACAGAACAGTTTTGAAACACTCTTTTTGTGGAATCTGCAAGTGGCTATTTGGCTAGATTTGAGGATTTCGTTGGAAACGGGATTACATATAAAAAGCAGTCAGCAGCATTCTCAGAAAGTTCTTTGTGATGATTGCATTCAAGTCACAGAATTGAACATTCCCTTTCACAGAGCAGGTTTGAAACACTCTTTTTGTAGTGTGTGTAAGTGGACATTTGGAGCGCTTTCCGGCCTAAGGTGAAAAAGGAAATATCTTCCCATAAAAACTAGACAGAAGCATTCTCAGAAACTTACTCGTGATGTGTGTCCTCAACTAAAGGAGTAGAACCTTTCTATTCATAGAGAAGTTTTGAAACGCTCTTTTTGTGGAATCTCCAAGTGGATATTTGGCTAGTTTTGAGGATTTCGTTGGAAGCGGGAATTCATACAAATTGCAGACTGCAGCGTTCTGAGAAACATCTTTGAAATGTTTGTATTCAAGACAGAGAGATGAACATTCCCTATCATAGAGCATGTTGGAATCACTCCTTTTGTAGTATCTGGAAGTGGACATTTGGAGCGCTTTCAGGCCTATGTTGAAAAAGGAAATATCTTCCCATAACAACTAGACACAAGCATTCTCAGAAACTTGTTTGTGATGTGTGCCCTCTACTGACAGAGTTGAACCTTTCTTTTCATAGAGCAGTTTTGAAACACTCTTTTATAGAATCCGCAAGAGGATATTTGCATAGCTTTGAGGATTTCGTGGGAAACGGGATTGTCTTCAGGTAAAATCTAGACAGAAGCATTCTCAGAAACTTCTTTGGGATGTTTGCATTCAAGTCACAGAGTAGAACATTCCCTTTGGTAGAGCAGGTTTGAAACACTCTTTTTGTAGTATCTGGAAGTGGACATTTGGAGCGCTTTCAGGCCCATGTTGGAAAGGGAAATATCTTCCCGTAACAACTAGGCAGAAGCATTCTCAGAAACTTATTTGAGATGTGTGTACTCAACTAAGAGAATTGAACCACCGTTTTGAAGGAGCAGTTTTGAAACACTCTTTTTCTGGAATCTGCAAGAGTATATTTGCCTAGCCTTGAGGATTTCGTTGGAAACGGGATTGTCTTCAGAGAAAATCTAGACAGAAGCATTCTCAGAAACTTCTTTGGGATGCTTGCATTCAAGTCACAGAGTAGAACATTCCCTTTGGTAGAGCAGGTTTGAAACACTCTTTTTTTAGTATATGGAAGTGGACATTTGGAGCGCTTTCAGGCCTACGTTGGAAAAGGAAATATCTTCCCATAACAACTAGACAGAAGCATTCTCAGAAACTAGTTTCTGATGTGTGTCCTCAACTAACACAGTTGAACATTTCTTTAGACAGAACAGTTTTGAAACACTCTTTTTGTGGAATCTGCAAGTGGCTATTTGGCTAGATTTGAGGATTTCGTTGGAAACGGGATTACATATAAAAAGCAGTCAGCAGCATTCTCAGAAAGTTCTTTGTGATGATTGCATTCAAGTCACAGAATTGAACATTCCCTTTCACAGAGCAGGTTTGAAACACTCTTTTTGTAGTGTGTGTAAGTGGACATTTGGAGCACTTACCGGCCTAAGGTGAAAAAGGAAATATCTTCCCATAAAAACTAGACAGAAGCATTCTCAGAAACTTACTCGTGATGTGTGTCCTCAACTAAAGGAGTAGAACCTTTCTTTTCATAGAGAAGTTTTGAAACGCTCTTTTTGTGGAATCTGCAAGTGGATATTTGGCTAGTTTTGAGGATTTCGTTGGAAGCGGGAATTCATACAAATTGCAGACTGGCAGCGTTCTGAGAAACATCTTTGTGATGTTTGTATTCAGGACACAGAGTTGAACATTCCCTATCATAGAGCAGGTTGGAATCACTCCTTTTGTAGTATCTGGAAGTGGACATTTGGAGCGCTTTCAGGCCCTATGTTGGAAAAGGAAATATCTTCCCATAACAACTAGACAGAAGCATTCTCAGAAACTTATTTGAGATGTGTGTACTCAACTAAGAGAATTGAACCACCGTTTTGAAGGAGCAGTTTTGAAACACTCTTTTTCTGGAATCTGCAAGTGGATATTTGGCTAGCTTTGGGGATTTCGCTGGAAGCGGGAATACATATAAAAAGCACACAGCAGCGTTCTGAGAAACTGCTTTCTGATGTTTGCATTCAAGTCAAAAGTTGAACACTCCCTTTCATAGAGCAGTCCTGAAACACTCCTTTTGTAGTATCTGGAACTGGACTTTTGGAGCGCTTTCAGGGCTAAGGTGAAAAAGGAAATATCTTCCCATAAAAACTGGACAGAAGCATTCTCAGAAACTTGTTTATGCTGTATCTACTCAACTAACAAAGTTGAACCTTTCTTTTGATAGAGCAGTTTTGAAATGGTCTTTTTGTGGAATCTGCAAGTGGATATTTGGCTAGTTTTGAGGATTTCGTTGGAAGCGGGAATTCATACAAATTGCAGACTGCAGCGTTCTGAGAAACAACTTTGTGATGTTTGTATTCAGGACACAGAGTTGAACATTCCCTATCATAGAGCAGGTTTGAATCACTCCTTTTGTAGTATCTGGAAGTGGACATTTGGAGCGCTTTCAGGCCTATGTTGGAAAAGGAAATATCTTCCCATAACAACTAGACAGAAGCATTCTCAGAAACTTATTTGAGATGTGTGTACTCAACTAAGAGAATTGAACCACCGTTTTGAAGGAGCAGTTTTGAAACTCTCTTTTTCTGGAATCTGCAAGTGGATATTTGGCTAGCTTTGGGGATTTCGCTGGAAGCGGGAATACATATAAAAAGCACACAGCAGCGTTCTGAGAAACTGCTTTCTGATGTTTGCATTCAAGTCAAAAGTTGAACACTACCTTTCATAGAGCAGTCCTGAAACACTCCTTTTGTAGTATCTGGAACTGGACTTTTGGAGCGCTTTCAGGGCTAAGGTGAAAAAGGAAATATCTTCCCATAAAAACTGGACAGAAGCATTCTCAGAAACTTGTTTATGCTGTATCTACTCAACTAACAAAGTTGAACCTTTCTTTTGATAGAGCAGTTTTGAAATGCTCTTTTTGTGGAATCTGCAAGTGGATATTTGGCTAGTTTTGAGGATTTCGTTGGAAGCGGGAATTCATACAAATTGCAGACTGCAGCGTTCTGAGAAACATCTTTGTGATGTTTGTATTCAGGACAGAGAGTTGAACATTCCCTATCATAGAGCAGGTTGGAATCACTCCTTTTGTAGTATCTGGAAGTGGACATTTGGAGCGCTTTCAGGCCTATGTTGAAAAAGGAAATATCTTCCCATAACAACTAGACACAAGCATTCTCAGAAACTTGTTTGTGATGTGTGCCCTCTACTGACAGAGTTGAACCTTTCTTTTCATAGAGCAGTTTTGAAACACTCTTTTTGTAGAATCTGCAAGAGGATATTTGCATAGCTTTGAGGATTTCGTGGGAAACGGGATTGTCTTCAGGTAAAATCTAGACAGAAGCATTCTCAGAAACTTCTTTGGGATGTTTGCATTCAAGTCACAGAGTAGAACATTCCCTTTGGTAGAGCAGGTTTGAAACACTCTTTTTGTAGTATCTGGAAGTGGACATTTGGAGCGCTTTCAGGCCCATGCTGGAAAGGGAAATATCTTCCCGTAACAACTAGGCAGAAGCATTCTCAGAAACTTATTTGAGATGTGTGTACTCAACTAAGAGAATTGAACCACCGTTTTGAAGGAGCAGTTTTGAAACACTCTTTTTCTGGAATCTGCAAGAGTATATTTGCCTAGCCTTGAGGATTTCGTTGGAAACGGGATTGTCTTCAGATAAAATCTAGACAGAAGCATTCTCAGAAACTTCTTTGGGATGTTTGCATTCAAGTCACAGAGTAGAACATTCCCTTTGGTAGAGCAGGTGTGAAACACTCTTTTTTTAGTATATGGAAGTGGACATTTGGAGCGCTTTCAGGCCCTACGTTGGAAAAGGAAATATCTTCCCATAACAACTAGACAGAAGCATTCTCAGAAACTAGTTTCTGATGTGTGTCCTCAACTAACACAGTTGAACTTTTCTTTAGACAGAACAGTTTTGAAACACTCTTTTTGTGGAATCTGCAAGTGGATATTTGGCTAGATTTGAGGATTTCGTTGGAAACGGGATTACATATAAAAAGCAGACAGCAGCATTCTCAGAAAGTTCTTTGTGATGATTGCATTCAAGTCACAGAATTGAACATTCCCTTTCACAGAGCAGGTTTGAAACACTCTTTTTGTAGTGTGTGTAAGTGGACATTTGGAGCGCTTTCCGGCCTAAGGTGAAAAAGGAAATATCTTCCCATAAAAACTAGACAGAAGCATTCTCAGAAACTTACTCGTGATGTGTGTCCTCAACTAAAGGAGTAGAACCTTTCTATTCATAGAGAAGTTTTGAAACCCTCTTTTTGTGGAATCTCCAAGTGGATATTTTGCTAGTTTTGAAGATTTCGTTGGAAGCGGGAATTCATACAAATTGCAGACTGCAGCGTTCTGAGAAACATCTTTGTGATGTTTGTATTCGGGACACAGAGATGAACATTCCCTATCATAGAGCAGGTTGGAATCACTCCTTTTGTAGTATCTGGAAGTGGACATTTGGAGCGCTTTCAGGCCTATGTTGAAAAAGGAAATATCTTCCCATAACAACTAGACACAAGCATTCTCAGAAACTTATTTGAGATGTGTGTACTCAACTAAGAGAATTGAACCACCGTTTTGAAGGAGCAGTTTTGAAACACTCTTTTTCTGGAATCTGCAAGTGGATATTTGGCTAGCTTTGGGGATTTCGCTGGAAGCGGGAATACATATAAAAAGCACACAGCCAGCGTTCTGAGAAACTGCTTTCTGATGTTTGCATTCAAGTCAAAAGTTGAACACTCCCTTTCATAGAGCAGTCTTGAAACACCCCTTTTGTAGTATCTGGAACTGGACTTTTGGAGCGATTTCAGGGCTAAGGTGAAAAAGGAAATATCTTCCCATAAAAACTGGACAGAGCATTCTCAGAAACTTGTTTATGCTGTATCTACTCAACTAACAAAGTTGAACCTTTCTTTTGATAGAGCAGTTTTGAAATGGTCTTTTTGTGGAATCTGCAAGTGGATATTTGGCTAGTTTTGAGGATTTCGTTGGAAGCGGGAATTCATACAAATTGCAGACTGCAGCGTTCTGAGAAACATCTTTGTGATGTTTGTATTCAGGACACAGAGTTGAACATTCCCTATCATAGAGCAGGTTGGAATCACTCCTTTTGTAGTATCTGGAAGTGGACATTTGGAGCGCTTTCAGGCCTATGTTGGAAAAGGAAATATCTTCCCATAACAACTAGACAGAAGCATTCTCAGAAACTTGTTTGTGATGTGTGCCCTCTACTGACACAGTTGAACTTTTCTTTTCATAGAGCACTTTCGAAACACTCTTTTTGTAGAATCTGCAAGAGGATATTTGCATAGCTTTGAGGATTTTGTGGGAAACGGGATTGTCTTCAGGTAAAATCTAGACAGAAGCATTCTCAGAAACTTCTTTGGGATGTTTGCATTCAAGTCACAGAGTAGAACATTCCCTTTGGTAGAGCAGGTTTGAAACACTCTTTTTATAGTATCTGGAAGTGGACATTTGGAGCGCTTTCAGGCCTATGTTGGAAAGGGAAATATCTTCCCGTAACAACTAGGCAGAAGCATTCTCAGAAACTTATTTGAGATGTGTGTACTCAACTAAGAGAATTGAACCACCGTTTTGAAGGAGCAGTTTTGAAACACTCTTTTTCTGGAATCTGCAAGAGGATATTTGCCTAGCTTTGAGGATTTCGTTGGAAACGGGATTGTGTTCAGATCAAATCTAGACAGAAAGCATTCTCAGAAACTTCTTTGGGATGTTTGCATTCAAGTCACAGAGTAGAACATTCCCTTTGGTAGAGCAGGTTTGAAACACTCTTTTTTTAGTATATGGAAGGACATTTGGAGCGCTTTCAGGCCTACGTTGGAAAAGGAAATATCTTCCCATAACAACTAGACAGAGCATTCTCAGAAACTAGTTTCTGATGTGTGTCCTCAACTAACACAGTTGAACTTTTCTTTAGACAGAACAGTTTTGAAACACTCTTTTTGTGGAATCTGCAAGTGGATATTGGGCTAGATTTGAGGATTTCGTTGGAAACGGGATTACATATAAAAAGCAGAAAGCAGCATTCTCAGAAAGTTCTTTGTGATGATTGCATTCAAGTCACAGAATTGAACATTCCCTTTCACAGAGCAGGTTTGAAACACTCTTTTTGTAGTGTGTGTAAGTGGACATTTGGAGCGCTTTCCGGCCTAAGGTGAAAAAGGACATATCTTCCCATAAAAACTAGACAGAAGCATTCTCAGAAACTTACTCGTGATGTGTGTCCTCAACTAAAGGAGTAGAACCTTTCTTTTCATAGAGAAGTTTTGAAACGCTCTTTTTGTGGAATCTGCAAGTGGATATTTGGCTAGTTTTGAGGATTTCGTTGGAAGCGGGAATTCATACAAATTGCAGACTGCAGCGTTCTGAGAAACTGCTTTCTGATGTTTGCATTCAAGTCAAAAGTTGAACACCCCCTTTCATAGAGCAGTCTTGAAACACCCCTTTTGTAGTATCTGGAACTGGACATTTGGAGCGCTTTCAGGGCTAAGGTGAAAAAGGAAATATCTTCCCATAAAAACTGGACAGAAGCATTCTCAGAAACTGGTTTATGCTGTATCTACTCAACTAACAAAGTTGAACCTTTCTTTGATAGAGCAGTTTTGAAATGCTCTTTTTGTGGAATCTGCAAGTGGATATTTGGCTAGGTTTGAGGATTTCGTTGGAAGCGGGAATTCATACAAATTGCAGACTGCAGCGTTCTGAGAAACTGCTTTCTGATGTTTGCATTCAAGTCAAAAGTTGAACACTCCCTTTCATAGAGCAGTCCTGAAACACCCCTTTTGTAGTATCTGGAACTGGACTTTTGGAGCGATTTCAGGGCTAAGGTGAAAAAGGAAATATCTTCCCATAAAAACTGGACAGAAGCATTCTCAGAAACTTGTTTATGCTGTATCTACTCCACTAACAAAGTTGAACCTTTCCTTTGATAGAGCAGTTTTGAAATGCTCTTTTTGTGGAATCTGCAAGTGGATATTTGGCTAGTTTTGAGGATTTCGTTGGAAGCTGGAATTCATACAAATTGCAGACTGCAGCGTTCTGAGAAACATCTTTGTGATGTTTGTATTCAGGACACAGAGTTGAACATTCCCTATCATAGAGCAGGTTGGAATCACTCCTTTTGTAGTATCTGGAAGTGGACATTTGGAGCGCTTTCAGGCCTATTTTGGAAAGGGAAATATCTTCCCGTAACAACTATGCAGAAGCATTCTCAGAAACTTGTTTGTGATGTGTGCCCTCTACTGACAGAGTTGAACCTTTCTTTTCATAGAGCAGTTTTGAAACACTCTTTTTGTAGAATCTGCAAGAGGATATTTGCATAGCTTTGAGGATTTCGTGGGAAACGGGATTGTCTTCAGGTAAAATCTAGACAGAAGCATTCTCAGAAACTTCTTTGGGATGTTTGCATTCAAGTCACAGAATAGAACATTCCCTTTGGTAGAGCAGGTTTCAAACACTCTTTTTGTAGTATCTGGAAGTGGACATTTGGAGCGCTTTCAGGCCTATGTTGGAAAGGGAAATATCTTCCCGTAACAACTAGGCAGAAGCATTCTCAGAAACTTATTTGAGATGTGTGTACTCAACTAAGAGAATTGAACCACCGTTTTGAAGGACCAGTTTTGAAACACACTTTTTCTGGAATCTGCTAGAGGATATTTGCCTAGCTTTGAGGATTTCGTTGGAAACGGGATTGTCTTCAGATAAAATCTAGACAGAAGCATTCTCAGAAACTTCTTTGGGATGTTTGCATTCAAGTCACAGAGTAGAACATTCCCTTTGGTAGAGCAGGTTTGAAACACTCTTTTTTTAGTATATGGAAGTGGACATTTGGAGCGCTTTCAGGCCTACGTTGGAAAAGGAAATATCTTCCCATAACAACTAGACAGAAGCATTCTCAGAAACTAGTTTCTGATGTGTGTCCTCAACTAACACAGTTGAACATTTCTTTAGACAGAACAGTTTTGAAACACTCTTTTTGTGGAATCTGCAAGTGGCTATTTGGCTAGATTTGAGGATTTCGTTGGAAACGGGATTACATATAAAAAGCAGTCAGCAGCATTCTCAGAAAGTTCTTTGTGATGATTGCATTCAAGTCACAGAATTGAACATTCCCTTTCACAGAGCAGGATTGAAACACTCTTTTTGTAGTGTGTGTAAGTGGACATTTGGAGCGCTTTCCGGCCTAAGGTGAAAAACGAAATATCTTCCCATAAAAACTAGACAGAAGCATTCTCAGAAACTTACTCGTGATGTGTGTCCTCAACTAAAGGAGTAGAACCTTTCTATTCATAGAGAAGTTTTGAAACGCTCTTTTTGTGGAATCTCCAAGTGGATATTTGGCTAGTTTTGAGGATTTCGTTGGAAGCGGGAATTCATACAAATTGCAGACTGCAGCGTTCTGAGAAACATCTTTGTGATGTTTGTATTCAGGACACAGAGATGAACATTCCCTATCATAGAGAAGGTTGGAATCACTCCTTTTGTAGTATCTGGAAGTGGACATTTGGAGCGCTTTCAGGCCTATGTTGAAAAAGGAAATATCTTCCCATAACAACTAGACACAAGCATTCTCAGAAACTTGTTTGTGATGTGTGCCCTCTACTGACAGAGTTGAACCTTTCTTTTCATAGAGCAGTTTTGAAACACTCTTTTTGTAGAATCTGCAAGAGGATATTTGCATAGCTTTGAGGATTTCGTGGGAAACGGGATTGTCTTCAGGTAAAATCTAGACAGAAGCATTCTCAGAAACTTCTTTGGGATGTTTGCATTCAAGTCACAGAGTAGAACATTCCCTTTGGTAGAGTAGGTTTGAAACACTCTTTTTGTAGTATTTGGAAGTGGACATTTGGAGCGCTTTCAGGCCTATGTTGGAAAGGGAAATATCTTCCCGTAACAACTAGGCAGAAGCATTCTCAGAAACTTATTTGAGATGTGTGTACTCAACTAAGAGAATTGAACCACCGTTTTGAAGGAGCAGTTTTGAAACACTCTTTTTCTGGAATCTGCAAGAGGATATTTGCCTAGCCTTGAGGATTTCGTTGGAAACGGGATTGTCTTCAGATCAAATCTAGACAGAAGCATTCTCAGAAACTTCTTTGGGATGTTTGCATTCAAGTCACAGAGTAGAACATTCCCTTTGGTAGAGCAGGTTTGAAACACTCTTTTTTTAGTATATGGAAGTGGACATTTGGAGCGCTTTCAGGCCTACGTTGGAAAAGGAAATATCTTCCCATAACAACTAGACAGAAGCATTCTCAGAAACTAGTTTCTGATGTGTGTCCTCAACTAACACAGTTGAACTTTTCTTTAGACAGAACAGTTTTGAAACACTCTTTTTGTGGAATCTGCAAGTGGATATTTGGCTAGATTTGAGGATTTCGTTGGAAACGGGATTACATATAAAAAGCAGACAGCAGCATTCTCAGAAAGTTCTTTGTGATGATTGCATTCAAGTCACAGAATTGAACATTCCCTTTCACAGAGCAGGTTTGAAACACTCTTTTTGTAGTGTGTGTAAGTGGACATTTGGAGCGCTTTCCGGCCTAAGGTGAAAAAGGACATATCTTACCATAAAAACCAGACAGAAGCATTCTCAGAAACTTACTCGTGATGTGTGTCCTCAACTAAAGGAGTAGAACCTTTCTTTTCATAGAGAAGTTTTGAAACGCTCTTTTTGTGGAATCTGCAAGTGGATATTTGGCTAGTTTGGAGGATTTCGTTGGAAGCGGGAATTCATACAAGATGCAGACTGCAGCGTTCTGAGAAACATCTTTGTGATGTTTGTATTCAGGACACAGAGTTGAACATTCCCTATCATAGAACAGGTTTGAATCACTCCTTTTGTAGTATCTGGAAGTGGACATTTGGAGCGCTTTCAGGCCTATGTTGGAAAAGGAAATATCTTCCCATAACAACTAGACAGAAGCATTCCCAGAAACTTATTGGAGATGTGTGTACTCAACTATGAGAATTGAACCACCGTTTTGAAGGAGCAGTTTGGAAACACTCTTTTTCTGGAATCTGCAAGTGGATATTTGGCTAGCTTTGGGGATTTCGCTGTAAGCGGGAATACATATAAAAAGCACACAGCAGCGTTCTGAGAAACTGCTTTCTGATGTTTGCATTCAAGTCAAAAGTTGAACACTCCCTTTCATAGAGCAGTCTTGAAACACCCCTTTTGTAGTATCTGGAACTGGACTTTTGGAGCGATTTCAGGGCTAAGGTGAAAAAGGAAATATCTTCCCATAAAAACTGGACAGAAGCATTCTCAGAAACTTGGTTATGCTGTATCTACTCAACTAACAAAGTTGAACCTTTCTTTTGATAGAGCAGTTTTGAAATGGTCTTTTTGTGGAATCTGCAAGTGGATATTTGGCTAGTTTTGAGGATTTCGTTGGAAGCGGGAATTCATACAAATTGCAGACTGCAGCGTTCTGAGAAACATCTTTGTGATGTTTGTATTCAGGACACAGAGTTGAACATTCCCTATCATAGAGCAGGTTGGAATCACTCCTTTTGTAGTATCTGGAAGTGGACATTTGGAGCGCTTTCTGGCCTATGTTGAAAAAGGAAATATCTTCCCATAACAACTAGACACAAGCATTCTCAGAAACTTGTTTGTGATGTGTGCCCTCTACTGACAGAGTTGAACCTTTCTTTTCATAGAGCAGTTTTGAAACACTCTTTTTGTAGAATCTGCAAGAGGATATTTGCATAGCTTTGAGGATTTCGTGGGAAACGGGATTGTCTTCAGGTAAAATCTAGACAGAAGCATTCTCAGAAACTTCTTTGGGATGTTTGCATTCAAGTCACAGAGTAGAACATTCCCTTTGGTAGAGCAGGTTTGAAACACTCTTTTTGTAGTATCTGGAAGTGGACATTTGGAGCGCTTTCAGGCCTATGTTGGAAAGGGAAATATCTTCCCGTAACAACTAGGCAGAAGCATTCTCAGAAACTTATTTGAGATGTGTGTACTCAACTAAGAGAATTGAACCACCGTTTTGAAGGAGCAGTTTGGAAACACTCTTTTTCTGGAATCTGCAAGAGGATATTTGCCTAGCTTTGAGGATTTCTTTGGAAACGGGATTGTCTTCAGATCTAATCTAGACAGAAGCATTCTCAGAAACTTCTTTGGGATGTTTGCATTCAAGTCACAGAGTAGAACATTCCCTTTGGTAGAGCAGGTTTGAAACACTCTTTTTTTAGTATATGGAAGTGGACATTTGGAGCGCTTTCAGGCCTACGTTGGAAAAGGAAATATCTTCCCATAACAACTAGACAGAAGCATTCTCAGAAACTAGTTTCTGATGTGTGTCCTCAACTAACACAGTTGAACATTTCTTTAGACAGAACAGTTTTGAAACACTCATTTTGTGGAATCTGCAAGTGGATATTTGGCTAGATTTGAGGATTTCGTTGGAAACGGGATTACGTATAAAAAGCAGACAGCAGCATTCTCAGAAACTTCTTTGTGATGATTGCATTCAAGTCACAGAATTGAACATTCCCTTTCACAGTAGCAGGTTTGAAACACTCTTTTTGTAGTGTGTGTAAGTGGACATTTGGAGCGCTTTCCGGCCTAAGGTGAACAAGGAAATATCTTCCCATAAAAACTAGACAGAAGCATTCTCAGAAACTTACTCGTGATGTGTGTCCTCAACTAAAGGAGTAGAACCTTTCTTTTCATAGAGAAGTTTTGAAACGCTCTTTTTGTGGAATCTGCAAGTGGATATTTGGCTAGTTTGGAGGATTTCGTTGGAAGCGGGAATTCATACAAATTGCAGACTGCAGCGTTCTGAGAAACATCTTTGTGATGTTTGTATTCAGGACACAGAGTTGAACATTCCCTATCATAGAGCAGGTTGGAATCACTCCTTTTGTAGTATCTGGAAGTGGACATTTGGAGCGCTTTCAGGCCTATGTTGAAAAAGGAAATATCTTCCCATAACAACTAGACACAAGCATTCTCAGAAACTTGTTTGTGATGTGTGCCCTCTACTGACAGAGTTGAACCTTTCTTTTCATAGAGCAGTTTTGAAACACTCTTTTTGTAGAATCTGCAAGAGGATATTTGCATAGCTTTGAGGATTTCGTGGGAAACGGGATTGTCTTCAGGTAAAATCTAGACAGAAGCATTCTCAGAAACTTCTTTGGGATGTTTGCATTCAAGTCACAGAGTAGAACATTCCCTTTGGTAGAGCAGGTTTGAAACACTCTTTTTGTAGTATCTGGAAGTGGACATTTGGAGCGCTTTCAGGCCCATGTTGGAAAGGGAAATATCTTCCCGTAACAACTAGGCAGAAGCATTCTCAGAAACTTATTTGAGATGTGTGTACTCAACTAAGAGAATTGAACCACCGTTTTGAAGGAGCAGTTTTGAAACACTCTTTTTCTGGAATCTTCAAGAGGATATTTGCCTAGCTTTGAGGATTTCGTTGGAAACGGGATTGTGTTCAGATCAAATCTAGACAGAAGCATTCTCAGAAACTTCTTTGGGATGCTTGCATTCAAGTCACAGAGTAGAACATTCCCTTTGGTAGAGCAGGTTTGAAACACTCTTTTTGTAGTATCTGGAAGTGGACATTTGGAGCGCTTTCAGGCCTACGTTGGAAAAGGAAATATCTTCCCATAACAACTAGACAGAAGCATTCTCAGAAACTAGTTTCTGATGTGTGTCCTCAACTAACACAGTTGAACATTTCTTTAGACAGAACAGTTTTGAAACACTCTTTTTGTGGAATCTGCAAGTGGCTATTTGGCTAGATTTGAGGATTTCGTTGGAAACGGGATTACATATAAAAAGCAGTCAGCAGCATTCTCAGAAAGTTCTTTGTGATGATTGCATTCAAGTCACAGAATTGAACATTCCCTTTCACAGAGCAGGTTTGAAACACTCTTTTTGTAGTGTGTGTAAGTGGACATTTGGAGCACTTACCGGCCTAAGGTGAAAAAGGAAATATCTTCCCATAAAAACTAGACAGAAGCATTCTCAGAAACTTACTCGTGATGTGTGTCCTCAACTAAAGGAGTAGAACCTTTCTTTTCATAGAGAAGTTTTGAAACGCTCTTTTTGTGGAATCTGCAAGTGGATATTTGGCTAGTTTTGAGGATTTCGTTGGAAGCGGGAATTCATACAAATTGCAGACTGCAGCGTTCTGAGAAACTGCTTTCTGATGTTTGCATTCAAGTCAAAAGTTGAACACTCCCTTTCATAGAGCAGTCTTGAAACACCCCTTTTGTAGTATCTGGAACTGGACTTTTGAAGCGCTTTCAGGGCTAAGGTGAAAAAGGAAATATCTTCCCATAAAAACTGGACAGAAGCATTCTCAGAAACTTGTTTATGCTGTATCTACTCAACTAACAAAGTTGAACCTTTCTTTTGATAGAGCAGTTTTGAAATGCTCTTTTTGTGGAATCTGCAAGTGGATATTTGGCTAGTTTTGAGGATTTCGTTGGAAGCGGGAATTCATACAAATTGCAGACTGCAGCGTTCTGAGAAACATCTTTGTGATGTTTGTATTCAGGACAGAGAGTTGAACATTCCCTATCACAGAGCAGGTTGGAATCACTCCTTTTGTAGTATCTGGAAGTGGACATTTGGAGCGCTTTCAGGCCTATGTTGAAAAAGGAAATATCTTCCCATAACAACTAGACACAAGCATTCTCAGAAACTTGTTTGTGATGTGTGCCCTCTACTGACAGAGTTGAACCTTTCTTTTCATAGAGCAGTTTTGAAACACTCTTTTTGTAGAATCTGCAAGAGGATATTTGCATAGCTTTGAGGATTTCGTGGGAAACGGGATTGTCTTCAGGTAAAATCTAGACAGAAGCATTCTCAGAAACTTCTTTGGGATGTTTGCATTCAAGTCACAGAGTAGAACATTCCCTTTGGTAGAGCAGGTTTGAAACACTCTTTTTGTAGTATCTGGAAGTGGACATTTGGAGCGCTTTCAGGCCCATGTTGGAAAGGGAAATATCTTCCCGTAACAACTAGGCAGAAGCATTCTCAGAAACTTATTTGAGATGTGTGTACTCAACTAAGAGAATTGAACCACCGTTTTGAAGGAGCAGTTTGGAAACACTCTTTTTCTGGAATCTGCAAGAGGATATTTGCCTAGCTTTGAGGATTTCGTTGGAAAAGGGATTGTCTTCAGATCAAATCTAGACAGAAGCATTCTCAGAAACTTCTTTGGGATGTTTGCATTCAAGTCACAGAGTAGAACATTCCTTTGGTAGAGCAGGTTTGAAACACTCTTTTTTTAGTATATGGAAGTGGACATTTGGAGCGCTTTCAGGCCTACGTTGGAAAAGGAAATATCTTCCCATAACAACTAGACAGAAGCATTCTCAGAAACTAGTTTCTGATGTGTGTCCTCAACTAACACAGTTGAACATTTCTTTAGACAGAACAGTTTTGAAACACTCTTTTTGTGGAATCTGCAAGTGGATATTTGGCTAGATTTGAGGATTTCGTTGGAAACGGGATTACAAATAAAAAGCAGACAGCAGCATTCTCAGAAACTTCTTTGTGATGATTGCATTCAAGTCACAGAATTGAACATTCCCTTTCACAGAGCAGGTTTGAAACACTCTTTTTCTAGTGTGTGTAAGTGGACATTTGGAGCGCTTTCCGGCCTAAGGTGAACAAGGAAATATCTTCCCATAAAAACTAGACAGAAGCATTCTCAGAAACTTACTCGTGATGTGTGTCCTCAACTAAAGGAGTAGAACCTTTCTTTTCATAGAGAAGTTTTGAAACGCTCTTTTTGTGGAATCTGCAAGTGGATATTTGGCTAGTTTGGAGGATTTCGTTGGAAGCGGGAATTCATACAAATTGCAGACTGCAGCGTTCTGAGAAACATCTTTGTGATGTTTGTATTCAGGACACAGAGTTGAACATTCCCTATCATAGAGCAGGTTTGAATCACTCCTTTTGTAGTATCTGGAAGTGGACATTTGGAGCGCTTTCAGGCCTATGTTGGAAAAGGAAATATCTTCCCATAACAACTAGACAGAAGCATTCTCAGAAACTTATTTGAGATGTGTGTACTCAACTAAGAGAATTGAACCACCGTTTTGAAGGAGCAGTTTTGAAACTCTCTTTTTCTGGAATCTGCAAGTGGATATTTGGCTAGCTTTGGGGATTTCGCTGGAAGCGGGAATACATATAAAAAGCACACAGCAGCGTTCTGAGAAACTGCTTTCTGATGTTTGCATTCAAGTCAAAAGTTGAACACTCCCTTTCATAGAGCAGTCTTGAAACACCCCTTTTGTAGTATCTGGAACTGGACTTTTGGAGCGATTTCAGGGCTAAGGTGAAAAAGGAAATATCTTCCCATAAAAACTGGACAGAAAGCATTCTCAGTAAACTTGGTTATGCTGTATCTACTCAACTAACAAAGTTGAACCTTTCTTTTGATAGAGCAGTTTTGAAATGGTCTTTTTGTGGAATCTGCAAGTGGATATTTGGCTAGTTTTGAGGATTTCGTTGGAAGCGGGAATTCATACAAATTGCAGACTGCAGCGTTCTGAGTAAACATCTTTGTGATGTTTGTATTCAGGACACAGAGATGAACATTCCCTATCATAGAGCAGGTTGGAATCACTCCTTTTGTAGTATCTGGAAGTGGACATTTGGAGCGCTTTCAGGCCTATGTTGAAAAAGGAAATATGTTCCCATAACAACTAGACACAAGCATTCTCAGAAACTTGTTTGTGATGTGTGCCCTCTACTGACAGAGTTGAACCTTTCTTTTCATAGAGCAGTTTTGAAACACTCTTTTTGTAGAATCTGCAAGAGGATATTTGCATAGCTTTGAGGATTTCGTGGGAAACGGGATTGTCTTCAGGTAAAATCTAGACAGAAGCATTCTCAGAAACTTCTTTGGGATGTTTGCATTCAAGTCACAGAGTAGAACATTCCCTTTGGTAGAGCAGGTTTGAAACACTCTTTTTGTAGTATCTGGAAGTGGACATTTGGAGCGCTTTCAGGCCTATGTTGGAAAGGGAAATATCTTCCCGTAACAACTAGGCAGAAGCATTCTCAGAAACTTATTTGAGATGTGTGTACTCAACTAAGAGAAATGAACCACCGTTTTGAAGGAGCAGTTTTGAAACACTCTTTTTCTGGAATCTGCAAGAGTATATTTGCCTAGCCTTGAGGATTTCGTTGGAAACGGGATTGTCTTCAGATAAAATCTAGACAGAAGCATTCTCAGAAACTTCTTTGGGATGTTTGCATTCAAGTCACAGAGTAGAACATTCCCTTTGGTAGAGCAGGTTTGAAACACCCTTTTTTTAGTATATGGAAGTGGACATTTGGAGCGCTTTCAGGCCTACGTTGGAAAAGGAAATATCTTCCCATAACAACTAGACAGAAGCATTCTCAGAAACTAGTTTCTGATGTGTGTCCTCAACTAACACAGTTGAACATTTCTTTAGACAGAACAGTTTTGAAACACTCTTTTTGTGGAATCTGCAAGTGGCTATTTGGCTAGATTTGAGGATTTCGTTGGAAACGGGATTACATATAAAAAGCAGTCAGCAGCATTCTCAGAAAGTTATTTGTGATGATTGCATTCAAGTCACAGAATTGAACATTCCCTTTCACAGAGCAGGTTTGAAACACTCTTTTTGTAGTGTGTGTAAGTGGACATTTGGAGCACTTACCGGCCTAAGGTGAAAAAGGAAATATCTTCCCATAAAAACTAGACAGAAGCATTCTCAGAAACTTACTCGTGATGTGTGTCCTCAACTAAAGGAGTAGAACCTTTCTTTTCATAGAGAAGTTTTGAAACGCTCTTTTTGTGGAATCTGCAAGTGGATATTTGGCTAGTTTTGAGGATTTCGTTGGAAGCGGGAATTCATACAAATTGCAGACTGCAGCGTTCTGAGAAACATCTTTGTGATGTTTGTATTCAAGACACAGAGATGAACATTCCCTATCATAGAGCAGGTTGGAATCACTCCTTTTGTAGTATCTGGAAGTGGACATTTGGAGCGCTTTCAGGCCTATGTTGAAAAAGGAAATATCTTCCCATAACAACTAGACACAAGCATTCTCAGAAACTTATTTGAGATGTGTCTACTCAACTAAGAGAATTGAACCACCGTTTTGAAGGAGCAGTTTTGAAACACTCTTTTTCTGGAATCTGCAAGTGGATATTTGGCTAGCTTTGGGGATTTCGCTGGAAGCGGGAATACATATAAAAAGCACAAAGCAGCGTTCTGAGTAAACTGCTTTCTGATGTTTGCATTCAAGTCAAAAGTTGAACACTCCCTTTCATAGAGCAGTCCTGAAACACCCCTTTTGTAGTATCTGGAACTGGACTTTTGGAGCGATTTCAGGGCTAAGGTGAAAAAGGAAATATCTTCCCATAAAAACTGGACAGAAGCATTCTCAGAAACTTGTTTATGCTGTATCTACTCAACTAACAAAGTTGAACCTTTCTTTTGATAGAGCAGTTTTGAAATGGTCTTTTTGTGGAATCTGCAAGTGGATATTTGGCTAGTTTTGAGGATTTCGTTGGAAGCGGGAATTCATACAAATTGCAGACTGCAGCGTTCTGAGTAAACATCTTTGTGATGTTTGTATTCAGGACACAGAGTTGAACATTCCCTATCATAGAGCAGGTTGGAATCACTCCTTTTGTAGTATCTGGAAGTGGACATTTGGAGCGCTTTCAGGCCTATTTTGGAAAGGGAAATATCTTCCCGTAACAACTATGCAGAAGCATTCTCAGAAACTTGTTTGTGATGTGTGCCCTCTACTGACAGAGTTGAACCTTTCTTTTCATAGAGCAGTTTTGAAACACTCTTTTTGTAGAATCTGCAAGAGGATATTTGCATAGCTTTGAGGATTTCGTGGGAAACGGGATTGTCTTCAGGTAAAATCTAGACAGAAGCATTCTCAGAAACTTCTTTGGGATGTTTGCATTCAAGTCACAGAGTAGAACATTCCCTTTGGTAGAGCAGGTTTGAAACACTCTTTTTGTAGTATCTGGAAGTGGACATTTGGAGCGCTTTCAGGCCTATGTTGGAAAGGGAAATATCTTCCCTTAACAACTAGGCAGAAGCATTCTCAGAAACTTATTTGAGATGTGTGTACTCAACTAAGAGAATTGAACCACCGTTTTGAAGGAGCAGTTTTGAAACACTCTTTTTCTGGAATCTGCAAGAGTATATTTGCCTAGCCTTGAGGATTTCGTTGGAAACGGGATTGTCTTCAGAGAAAATCTAGACAGAAGCATTCTCAGAAACTTCTTTGGGATGTTTGCATTCAAGTCACAGAGTAGAACATTCCCTTTGTTAGAGCAGGTTTGAAACACTCTTTTTTTAGTATATGGAAGTGGACATTTGGAGCGCTTTCAGGCCTACGTTGGAAAAGGAAATATCTTCCCATAACAACTAGACAGAAGCATTCTCAGAAACTAGTTTCTGATGTGTGTCCTCAACTAACACAGTTGAACATTTCTTTAGACAGAACAGTTTTGAAACACTCTTTTTGTGGAATCTGCAAGTGGCTATTTGGCTAGATTTGAGGATTTCGTTGGAAACGGGATTACATATAAAAAGCAGTCAGCAGCATTCTCAGAAAGTTCTTTGTGATGATTGCATTCAAGTCACAGAATTGAACATTCCCTTTCACAGAGCAGGTTTGAAACACTCTTTTTGTAGTGTGTGTAAGTGGACATTTGGAGCACTTACCGGCCTAAGGTGAAAAAGGAAATATCTTCCCATAAAAACTAGACAGAAGCATTCTCAGAAACTTACTCGTGATGTGTGTCCTCAACTAAAGGAGTAGAACCTTTCTTTTCATAGAGAAGTTTTGAAACGCTCTTTTTGTGGAATCTGCAAGTGGATATTTGGCTAGTTTTGAGGATTTCGTTGGAAGCGGGAATTCATACAAATTGCAGACTGCAGCGTTCTGAGAAACTGCTTTCTGATGTTTGCATTCAAGTCAAAAGTTGAACACTCCCTTTCATAGAGCAGTCCTGAAACACTCCTTTTGTAGTATCTGGAACTGGACTTTTGGAGCGCTTTCAGGGCTAAGGTGAAAAAGGAAATATCTTCCCATAAAAACTGGACAGAAGCATTCTCAGAAACTTGTTTATGCTGTATCTACTCAACTAACAAAGTTGAACCTTTCTTTTGACAGAGCAGTTTTGAAATGCTCTTTTTGTGGAATCTGCAAGTGGATATTTGGCTAGTTTTGAGGATTTCGTTGGAAGCGGGAATTCATACAAATTGCAGACTGCAGCGTTCTGAGAAACATCTTTGTGATGTTTGTATTCAGGACAGAGAGTTGAACATTCCCTATCATAGAGCAGGTTGGAATCACTCCTTTTGTAGTATCTGGAAGTGGACATTTGGAGCGCTTTCAGGCCTATGTTGAAAAAGGAAATATCTTCCCATAACAACTAGACACAAGCATTCTCAGAAACTTGTTTGTGATGTGTGCCCTCTACTGACAGAGTTGAACCTTTCTTTTCATAGAGCAGTTTTGAAACACTCTTTTTGTAGAATCTGCAAGAGGATATTTGCATAGCTTTGAGGATTTCGTGGGAAACGGGATTGTCTTCAGGTAAAATCTAGACAGAAGCATTCTCAGAAACTTCTTTGGGATGTTTGCATTCAAGTCACAGAGTAGAACATTCCCTTTGGTAGAGCAGGTTTGAAACACTCTTATTGTAGTATCTGGAAGTCGACATTTGGAGCGCTTTCAGGCCCATGCTGGAAAGGGAAATATCTTCCCGTAACAACTAGACAGAAGCATTCTCAGCAAACTTATTTGAGATGTGTGTACTCAACTAAGAGAATTGAACCACCGTTTTGAAGGAGCAGTTTTGAAACACTCTTTTTCTGGAATCTGCAAGAGTATATTTGCCTAGCCTTGAGGATTTCGTTGGAAACGGGATTGTCTTCAGATCAAATCTAGACAGAAGCATTCTCAGAAACTTCTTTGGGATGTTTGCATTCAAGTCACAGAGTAGAACATTCCCTTTGGTAGAGCAGGTTTGAAACACTCTTTTTTTAGTATATAGAAGTGGACATTTGGAGCGCTTTCAGGCCTACGTTGGAAAAGGAAATATCTTCCCATAACAACTAGACAGAAGCATTCTCAGAAACTAGTTTCTGATGTGTGTCCTCAACTAACACAGTTGAACATTTCTTTAGACAGAACAGTTTTGAAACACTCTTTTTGTGGTATCTGCAAGTGGCTATTTGGCTAGATTTGAGGATTTCGTTGGAAACGGGATTACATATAAAAAGCAGACAGCAGCATTCTCAGAAACTTCTTTGTGATGATTGCATTCAAGTCACAGAATTGAACATTCCCTTTCACAGAGCAGGTTTGAAACACTCTTTTTGTAGTGTGTGTAAGTGGACATTTGGAGCACTTTCCGGCCTAAGGTGAAAAAGGAAATATCTTCCCATAAAAACTAGACAGAAGCATTCTCAGAAACTTACTCGTGATGTGTGTCCTCAACTAAAGGAGTAGAACCTTTGTTTTCATAGAGAAGTTTTGAAACGCTCTTTTTGTGGAATCTGCAAGTGGATATTTGGCTAGTTTGGAGGATTTCGTTGGAAGCGGGAATTCATACAAATTGCAGACTGCAGCGTTCTGAGAAACTGCTTTCTGATGTTTGCATTCAAGTCAAAAGTTGAACACTCCCTTTCATAGAGCAGTCCTGAAACACTCCTTTTGTAGTATCTGGAACTGGACTTTTGGAGCGCTTTCAGGGCTAAGGTAAAAAAGGAAATATCTTCCCATAAAAACTGGACAGAAGCATTCTCAGAAACTTATTTGAGATGTGTGTACTCAACTAAGAGAATTGAACCACCGTTTTGAAGGAGCAGTTTTGAAACACTCTTTTTCTGGAATCTGCAAGTGGATATTTGGCTAGCTTTGGGGATTTCGCTGGAAGCGGGAATACATATAAAAAGCACACAGCAGCGTTCTGAGAAACTGCTTTCTGATGTTTGCATTCAAGTCAAAAGTTGAACACTCCCTTTCATAGAGCAGTCCTGAAACACCCCTTTTGTAGTATCTGGAACTGGACTTTTGGAGCGATTTCAGGGCTAAGGTGAAAAAGGAAATATCTTCCCATAAAAACTGGACAGAAGCATTCTCAGAAACTTGTTTATGCTGTATCTACTCAACTAACAAAGTTGAACCTTTCTTTTGATAGAGCAGTTTTGAAATGGTCTTTTTGTGGAATCTGCAAGTGGATATTTGGCTAGTTTTGAGGATTTCGTTGGAAGCGGGAATTCATACAAATTGCAGACTGCAGCGTTCTGAGAAACATCTTTGTGACGTTTGTATTCAGGACACAGAGTTGAACATTCCCTATCATAGAGCAAGTTGGAATCACTCCTTTTGTAGTATCTGGAAGTGGACATTTGGAGCGCTTTCAGGCCTATGTTGAAAAAGGAAATATCTTCCCATAACAACTAGACAGAAGCATTCTCAGAAACTTGTTTGTGATGTGTGCCCTCTACTGACAGAGTTGAACCTTTCTTTTCATAGAGCACTTTTGAAACACTCTTTTTGTAGAATCTGCAAGAGGATATTTGCATAGCTTTGAGGATTTCGTGGGAAACGGGATTGTCTTCAGGTAAAATCTAGACAGAAGCATTCTCAGAAACTTCTTTGGGATGTTTGCATTCAAGTCACAGAGTAGAACATTCCCTTTGGTAGAGCAGGTTTGAAACACTCTTTTTGTAGTATCTGGAAGTGGACATTTGGAGCACTTTCAGGCCCATGTTGGAAAGGGAAATATCTTCCCGTAACAACTAGGCAGAAGCATTCTCAGAAACTTATTTGAGATGTGTGTACTCAACTAAGAGAATTGAACCACCGTTTTGAAGGAGCAGTTTTGAAACACTCTTTTTCTGGAATCTGCAAGAGTATATTTGCCTAGCCTTGACGATTTCGTTGGAAACGGGATTGTCTTCAGATCAAATCTAGACAGAAGCATTCTCAGAAACTTCTTTGGGATGTTTGCATTCAAGTCACAGAGTAGAACATTCCCTTTGGTAGAGCAGGTTTGAAACACTCTTTTTTTAGTATATGGAAGGACATTTGGAGCGCTTTCAGGCCTACGTTGGAAAAGGAAATCTCTTCCCATAACAACTAGACAGAAGCATTCTCAGAAACTAGTTTCTGATGTGTGTCCTCAACTAACACAGTTGAACATTTCTTTAGACAGAACAGTTTTGAAACTCTCTTTTTGTGGAATCTGCAAGTGGCTATTTGGCTAGATTTGAGGATTTCGTTGGAAACGGGATTACATATAAAAAGCAGACAGCAGCATTCTCAGAAAGTTCTTTGTGATGATTGCATTCAAGTCACAGAATTGAACATTCCCTTTCACAGAGCAGGTTTGAAACACTCTTTTTATAGTGTGTGTAAGTGGACATTTGGAGCACTTTCCGGCCTAAGGTGAAAAAGGAAATATCTTCCCATAAAAACTAGACAGAAGCATTCTCAGAAACTTACTCGTGATGTGTGTCCTCAACTAAAGGAGTAGAACCTTTGTTTTCATAGAGAAGTTTTGAAACGCTCTTTTTGTGGAATCTGCAAGTGGATATTTGGCTAGTTTTGAGGATTTCGTTGGAAGCGGGAATTCATACAAATTGCAGACTGCAGCGTTCTGAGAAACATCTTTGTGATGTTTGTATTCAGGACACAGAGTTGAACATTCCCTATCATAGAGCAGGTTTGAATCACTCCTTTTGTAGTATCTGGAAGTGGACATTTGGAGCGCTTTCAGGCCTATGTTGGAAAAGGAAATATCTTCCCATAACAACTAGACAGAAGCATTCTCAGAAACTTATTTGAGATGTGTGTACTCAACTAAGAGAATTGAACCACCGTTTTGAAGGAGCAGTTTTGAAACACTCTTTTTCTGGAATCTGCAAGTGGATATTTGGCTAGCTTTGGGGATTTCGCTGGAAGCGGGAATACATATAAAAAGCACACAGCAGCGTTCTGAGAAACTGCTTTCTGATGTTTGCATTCAAGTCAAAAGTTGAACACTCCCTTTCATAGAGCAGTCCTGAAACACTCCTTTTGTAGTATCTGGAACTGGACTTTTGGAGCGCTTTCAGGGCTAAGGTGAAAAAGGAAATATCTTCCCATAAAAACTGGACAGAAGCATTCTCAGAAACTTGTTTATGCTGTATCTACTCAACTAACATAGTTGAACCTTTCTTTTGATAGAGCAGTTTTGAAATGCTCTTTTTGTGGAATCTGCAAGTGGATATTTGGCTAGTTTTGAGGATTTCGTTGGAAGCGGGAATTCATACAAATTGCAGACTGCAGCGTTCTGAGAAACATCTTTGTGATGTTTGTATTCAGGACACAGTAGGATGAACATTCCCTATCATAGAGCAGGTTGGAATCACTCCTTTTGTAGTATCTGGAAGTGGACATTTGGAGCGCTTTCAGGCCTATGTTGAAAAAGGAAATATCTTCCCATAACAACTAGACACAAGCATTCTCAGAAACTAGTTTCTGATGTGTGTCCTCAACTAACACAGTTGAACATTTCTTTAGACAGAACAGTTTTGAAACACTCTTTTTGTGGAATCTGCAAGTAGATATTTGGCTAGATTTGAGCATTTCGTTGGAAACGGGATTACATATAAAAAGCAGACAGCAGCATTCTCAGAAACTTCTTTGGGATGTTTGCATTCAAGTCACAGAGTAGAACATTCCCTTTGGTAGAGCAGGTTTGAAACCCTCTTTTTGTAGTATCTGGAAGTGGACATTTGGAGCGCTTTCAGGCCCATGTTGGAAAGGGAAATATCTTCCCGTAACAACTAGGCAGAAGCATTCTCAGAAACTTATTTGAGATGTGTGTACTCAACTAAGAGAATTGAACCACCGTTTTGAAGGAGCAGTTTTGAAACACTCTTTTTCTGGAATCTGCAAGAGTATATTTGCCTAGCCTTGAGGATTTCGTTGGAAACGGGATTGTCTTCAGAGAAAATCTAGACAGAAGCATTCTCAGAAACTTCTTTGGGATGCTTGCATTCAAGTCACAGAGTAGAACATTCCCTTTGGTAGAGCAGGTTTGAAACACTCTTTTTGTAGTATCTGGAAGTGGACATTTGGAGCGCTTTCAGGCCTACGTTGGAAAAGGAAATATCTTCCCATAACAACTAGACAGAAGCATTCTCAGAAACTAGTTTCTGATGTGTGTCCTCAACTAACACAGTTGAACATTTCTTTAGACAGAACAGTTTTGAAACACTCTTTTTGTGGAATCTGCAAGTGGCTATTTGGCTAGATTTGAGGATTTCGTTGGAAACGGGATTACATATAAAAAGCAGTCAGCAGCATTCTCAGAAAGTTCTTTGTGATGATTGCATTCAAGTCACAGAATTGAACATTCCCTTTCACAGAGCAGGTTTGAAACACTCTTTTTGTAGTGTGTGTAAGTGGACATTTGGAGCACTTTCCGGCCTAAGGTGAGAAAGGAAATATCTTCCCATAAAAACTAGACAGAAGCATTCTCAGAAACTTACTCGTGATGTGTGTCCTCAACTAAAGGAGTAGAACCTTTCTTTCGCAGAGAAGTTTTGAAACGCTCTTTTTGTGGAATCTGCAAGTGGATATTTGGCTAGTTTGGAGGATTTCGTTGGAAGCGGGAATTCATACAAATTGCAGACTGCAGCGTTCTGAGAAACATCTTTGTGATGTTTGTATTCAGGACACAGAGTTGAACATTCCCTATCATAGAGCAGGTTGGAATCACTCCTTTTGTAGTATCTGGAAGTGGACATTTGGAGCGCTTTCAGGCCTATGTTGGAAAAGGAAATATCTTCCCATAACAACTAGACAGAAGCATTCTCAGAAACTTATTTGAGATGTGTGTACTCAACTAAGAGAATTGAACCACCGTTTTGAAGGAGCAGTTTTGAAACACTCTTTTTCTGGAATCTGCAAGTGGATATTTGGCTAGCTTTGGGGATTTCGCTGGAAGCGGGAATACATATAAAAAGCACACAGCAGCGTTCTGAGAAACTGCTTTCTGATGTTTGCATTCAAGTCAAAAGTTGAACACTCCCTTTCATAGAGCAGTCTTGAAACACCCCTTTTGTAGTATCTGGAACTGGACTTTTGGAGCGATTTCAGGGCTAAGGTGAAAAAGGAAATATCTTCCCATAAAAACTGGACAGAAGCATTCTCAGAAACTTGTTTATGCTGTATCTACTCAACTAACAAAGTTGAACCTTTCTTTTGATAGAGCAGTTTTGAAATGGTCTTTTTGTGGAATCTGCAAGTGGATATTTGGCTAGTTTTGAGGATTTCGTTGGAAGCGGGAATTCATACAAATTGCAGACTGCAGCGTTCTGAGAAACATCTTTGTGATGTTTGTATTCAGGACAGAGAGTTGAACATTCCCTATCATAGAGCAGGTTGGAATCACTCCTTTTGTAGTATCTGGAAGTGGACATTTGGAGCGCTTTCAGGCCTATGTTGAAAAAGGAAATATCTTCCCATAACAACTAGACACAAGCATTCTCAGAAACTTGTTTGTGATGTGTGCCCTCTACTGACAGAGTTGAACCTTTCTTTTCATAGAGCAGTTTTGAAACACTCTTTTTGTAGAATCTGCAAGAGGATATTTGCATAGCTTTGAGGATTTCGTGGGAAACGGGATTGTCTTCAGGTAAAATCTAGACAGAAGCATTCTCAGAAACTTCTTTGGGATGTTTGCATTCAAGTCACAGAGTAGAACATTCCCTTTGGTAGAGCAGGTTTGAAACACTCTTTTTGTAGTATCTGGAAGTGGACATTTGGAGCGCTTTCAGGCCTATGTTGGAAAGGGAAATATCTTCCCGTAACAACTAGGCAGAAGCATTCTCAGAAACTTATTTGAGATGTGTGTACTCAACTAAGAGAATTGAACCACCGTTTTGAAGGAGCAGTTTTGAAACACTCTTTTTCCGGAATCTGCAAGAGGATATTTGCCTAGCCTTGAGGATTTCGTTGGAAACGGGATTGTCTTCAGATCAAATCTAGACAGAAGCATTCTCAGAAACTTCTTTGGGATGTTTGCATTCAAGTCACAGAGTAGAACATTCCCTTTGGTAGAGCAGGTTTGAAACACTCTTTTTTTAGTATATGGAAGTGGACATTTGGAGCGCTTTCAGGCCTACGTTGGAAAAGGAAATATCTTCCCATAACAACTAGACAGAAGCATTCTCAGAAACTAGTTTCTGATGTGTGTCCTCAACTAACACAGTTGAACATTTCTTTAGACAGAACAGTTTTGAAACACTCTTTTTGTGGTATCTGCAAGTGGCTATTTGGCCAGATTTGAGGATTTCGTTGGAAACGGGATTACATATAAAAAGCAGACAGCAGCATTCTCAGAAACTTCTTTGTGATGATTGCATTCAAGTCACAGTATTGAACATTCCCTTTCACAGAGCAGGTTTGAAACACTCTTTGTATAGTGTGTGTAAGTGGACATTTGGAGCACTTTCCGGCCTAAGGTGAAAAAGGAAATATCTTCCCATAAAAACTAGACAGAAGCATTCTCAGAAACTTACTCGTGATGTGTGTCCTCAACTAAAGGAGTAGAACCTTTCTTTTCATAGAGAAGTTTTGAAACGCTCTTTTTGTGGAATCTGCAAGTGGATATTTGGCTAGTTTTGAGGATTTCGTTGGAAGCGGGAATTCATACAAGATGCAGACTGCAGCGTTCTGAGAAACATCTTTGTGATGTTTGTATTCAGGACACAGAGTTGCACATTCCCTATCATAGAGCAGGTTTGAATCACTCCTTTTGTAGTATCTGGAAGTGGACATTTGGAGCGCTTTCAGGCCTATGTTGGAAAAGGAAATATCTTCCCATAACAACTAGACAGAAGCATTCCCAGAAACTTATTTGAGATGTGTGTACTCAACTAAGAGAATTGAACCACCGTTTTGAAGGAGCAGTTTGGAAACACTCTTTTTCTGGAATCTGCAAGTGGATATTTGGCTAGCTTTGGGGATTTCGCTGGAAGCGGGAATACATATAAAAAGCACACAGCAGCGTTCTGAGAAACTGCTTTCTGATGTTTGCATTCAAGTCAAAAGTTGAACACTCCCTTTCATAGAGCAGTCTTGAAACACCCCTTTTGTAGTATCTGGAACTGCACATTTGGAGCGCTTTCAGGGCTAAGGTGAAAAAGGAAATATCTTCCCATAAAAACTGGACAGAAGCATTCTCAGAAACTTGTTTATGCTGTATCTGCTCAACTAACAAAGTTGAACCTTTCTTTTGATAGAGCAGTTTTGAAATGCTCTTTTTGTGGAATCTGCAAGTGGATATTTGGCTAGTTTTGAGGATTTCGTTGGAAGCGGGAATTCATACAAATTGCAGACTGCAGCGTTCTGAGAAACATCTTTGTGATGTTTGTATTCAGGACACAGAGTTGAACATTCCCTATCATAGAGCAGGTTGGGATCACTCCTTTTGTAGTATCTGGAAGTGGACATTTGGAGCGCTTTCAGGCCTATGTTGAAAAAGGAAAAATCTTCCCATAACAACTAGACAGAAGCATTCTCAGAAACTTGTTGGTGATGTGTTTCCTCTACTGACAGAGTTGAACCTTTCTTTTCATAGAGCAGTTTCGAAACACTCTTTTTGTAGAATCTGCAAGAGGATATTTGCATAGCTCTGAGGATTTCGTGGGAAACGGGATTGTCTTCAGGTAAAATCTAGACAGAAGCATTCTCAGAAACTTCTTTGGGATGTTTGCATTCAAGTCACAGAGTAGAACATTCCCTTTGGTAGAGCAGGTTTGAAACACTCTTTTTGTAGTATCTGGAAGTGGACATTTGGAGCGCTTTCAGGCCTATGTTGGAAAGGGAAATATCTTCCCGTAACAACTAGGCAGAAGCATTCTCAGAAACTTATTTGAGATGTGTGTACTCAACTAAGAGAATTGAACCACCGTTTTGAAGGAGCAGTTTTGAAACACTCTTTTTCTGGAATCTGCAAGAGGATATTTGCCTAGCCTTGAGGATTTCGTTGGAAACGGGATTGTCTTCAGAGAAAATCTAGACAGGAAAGCATTCTCAGAAACTTCTTTGGGATGTTTGCATTCAAGTCACAGCAGTAGAACATTCCCTTTGGTAGAGCAGGTTTGAAACACTCTTTTTGTAGTATCTGGAAGTGGACATTTGGAGCGCTTTCAGGCCTACGTTGGAAAAGGAAATATCTTCCCATAACAACTAGACAGAAGCATTCTCAGAAACTAGTTTCTGATGTGTGTCCTCAACTAACACAGTTGAACATTTCTTTAGACAGAACAGTTTTGAAACACTCTCTTTGTGGAATCTGCAAGTGGATATTTGGCTAGATTTGAGGATTTCGTTGGAAACGGGATTACATATAAAAAGCAGACAGCAGCATTCTCAGAAAGTTCTTTGTGATGATTGCATTCAAGTCACAGAATTGAACATTCCCTTTCACAGAGCAGGTTTGAAACACTCTTTTTGTAGTGTGTGTAAGTGGACATTTGGAGCGCTTTCCGGCCTAAGGTGAAAAAGGACATATCTTCCCATAAAAACTAGACAGAAGCATTCTCAGAAACTTACTCGTGATGTGTGTCCTCAACTAAAGGAGTAGAACCTTTCTATTCATAGAGAAGTTTTGAAATGCTCTTTTTGTGGAATCTCCAAGTGGATATTTGGCTAGTTTTGAGGATTTCGTTGGAAGCGGGAATTCATACAAATTGCAGACTGCAGCGTTCTGAGAAACATCTTTGTGATGTTTGTATTCAGGACACAGAGATGAACATTCCCTATGATAGAGCAGGTTGGAATCACTCCTTTTGTAGTATCTGGAAGTGGACATTTGGAGCGCTTTCAGGCCTATGTTGAAAAAGGAAATATCTTCCCATAACAACTAGACACAAGCATTCTCAGAAACTTATTTGAGATGTGTGTACTCAACTAAGAGAATTGAACCACCGTTTTGAAGGAGCAGTTTTGAAACACTCTTTTTCTGGAATCTGCAAGTGGATATTTGGCTAGCTTTGGGGATTTCGCTGGAAGCGGGAATACATATAAAAAGCACACAGCAGCGTTCTGAGAAACTGCTTTCTGATGTTTGCATTCAAGTCAAAAGTTGAACACTCCCTTTCATAGAGCAGTCCTGAAACACCCCTTTTGTAGTATCTGGAACTGGACTTTTGGAGCGATTTCAGGGCTAAGGTGAAAAAGGAAATATCTTCCCATAAAAACTGGACAGAAGCATTCTCAGAAACTTGTTTATGCTGTATCTACTCAACTAACAAAGTTGAACCTTTCTTTTGATAGAGCAGTTTTGAAATGCTCTTTTTGTGGAATCTGCAAGTGGATATTTGGCTAGTTTTGAGGATTTCGGTTGGAAGCGGGAATTCATACAAATTGCAGACTGCAGCGTTCTGAGAAACATCTTTGTGATGTTTGTATTCAGGACACAGAGTTGAACATTCCCTATCATAGAGCAGGTTGGAATCACTCCTTTTGTAGTATCTGGAAGTGGACATTTGGAGCGCTTTCAGGCCTATGTTGAAAAAGGAAATATCTTCCCATAACAACTAGACACAAGCATTCTCAGAAACTTGTTTGTGATGTGTGCCCTCTACTGACAGAGTTGAACCTTTCTTTTCATAGAGCAGTTTTGAAACACTCTTTTTGTAGAATCTGCAAGAGGATATTTGCATAGCTTTGAGGATTTCGTGGGAAACGGGATTGTCTTCAGGTAAAATCTAGACAGAAGCATTCTCAGAAACTTCTTTGGGATGTTTGCATTCAAGTCACAGAGTAGAACATTCCCTTTGGTAGAGCAGGTTTGAAACACTCTTTTTGTAGTATCTGGAAGTGGACATTTGGAGCGCTTTCAGGCCTATGTTGGAAAGGGAAATATCTTCCCGTAACAACTAGGCAGAAGCATTCTCAGAAACTTATTTGAGATGTGTGTACTCAACTAAGAGAATTGAACCACCGTTTTGAAGGAGCAGTTTTGAAACACTCTTTTTCTGGAATCTGCAAGAGTATATTTGCCTAGCCTTGAGGATTTCGTTGGAAACGGGATTGTCTTCAGATCAAATCTAGACAGAAGCATTCTCAGAAACTTCTTTGGGATGTTTGCATTCATGTCACAGAGTAGAACATTCCCTTTGGTAGAGCAGGTTTGAAACACTCTTTTTTAAGTATATGGAAGTGGACATTTGGAGCGCTTTCAGGCCTACGTTGGAAAAGGAAATATCTTCCCATAACAACTAGACAGAAGCATTCTCAGAAACTAGTTTCTGATGTGTGTCCTCAACTAACACAGTTGTACATTTCTTTAGACAGAATAGTTTTGAAACACTCTTTTTGTGGAATCTGCAAGTGGATATTGGGCTAGATTTGAGGATTTCGTTGGAAACGGGATTACATATAAAAAGCAGTCAGCAGCATTCTCAGAAAGTTCTTTGTGATGATTGCATTCAAGTCACAGAATTGAACATTCCCTTTCACAGAGCAGGTTTGAAACACTCTTTTTGTAGTGTGTGTAAGTGGACATTTGGAGTGCTTTCCGGCCTAAGGTGAAAAAGGACATATCTTCCCATAAAAACTAGACAGAAGCATTCTCAGAAACTTACTCGTGATGTGTGTCCTCAACTAAAGGAGTAGAACCTTTCTATTCATAGAGAAGTTTTGAAACGCTCTTTTTGTGGAATCTCCAAGTGGATATTTGGCTAGTGTTGAGGATTTCGTTGGAAGCGGGAATTCATACAAATTGCAGACTGCAGCGTTCTGAGAAACATCTTTGTGATGTTTGTATTCAGGACACAGAGTTGAACATTCCCTATCATAGAGCAGGTTGGAATCACTCCTTTTGTAGTATCTGGAAGTGGACATTTGGAGCGCTTTCAGGCCTATGTTGGAAAAGGAAATATCTTCCCATAACAACTAGACAGAAGCATTCTCAGAAACTTATTTGAGATGTGTGTACTCAACTAAGAGAATTGAACCACCGTTTTAAAGGAGCAGTTTTGAAACACTCTTTTTCTGGAATCTGCAAGTGGATATTTGGCTAGCTTTGGGGATTTCGCTGGAAGCGGGAATACATATAAAAAGCACACAGCAGCGTTCTGAGAAACTGCTTTCTGATGTTTGCATTCAAGTCAAAAGTTGAACACTCCCTTTCATAGAGCAGTCTTGAAACACCCCTTTTGTAGTATCTGGAACTGGACTTTTGGAGCGATTTCAGGGCTAAGGTGAAAAAGGAAATATCTTCCCATAAAAACTGGACAGAAGCATTCTCAGAAACTTGGTTATGCTGTATCTACTCAACTAACAAAGTTGAACCTTTCTTTTGATAGAGCAGTTTTGAAATGGTCTTTTTGTGGAATCTGCAAGTGGATATTTGGCTAGTTTTGAGGATTTCGTTGGAAGCGGGAATTCATACAAATTGCAGACTGCAGCGTTCTGAGAAACATCTTTGTGATGTTTGTATTCAGGACAGAGAGTTGAACATTCCCTATCATAGAGCAGGTTGGAATCACTCCTTTTGTAGTATCTGGAAGTGGACATTTGGAGCGCTTTCAGGCCTATGTTGAAAAAGGAAATATCTTCCCATAACAACTAGACACAAGCATTCTCAGAAACTTGTTTGTGATGTGTGCCCTCTACTGACAGAGTTGAACCTTTCTTTTCATAGAGCAGTTTTGAAACACTCTTTTTGTAGAATCTGCAAGAGGATATTTGCATAGCTTTGAGGATTTCGTGGGAAACGGGATTGTCTTCAGGTAAAATCTAGACAGAAGCATTCTCAGAAACTTCTTTGGGATGTTTGCATTCAAGTCACAGAGCAGAACATTCCCTTTGGTAGAGCAGGTTTGAAACACTCTTTTTGTAGTATCTGGAAGTGGACATTTGGAGCGCTTTCAGGCCTATGTTGGAAAGGGAAATATCTTCCCGTAACAACTAGGCAGAAGCATTCTCAGAAACTTATTTGAGATGTGTGTACTCAACTAAGAGAAATGAACCACCGTTTTGAAGGAGCAGTTTTGAACCACTCTTTTTCTGGAATCTGCAAGAGTATATTTGCCTAGCCTTGAGGATTTCGTTGGAAACGGGATTGTCTTCAGATAAAATCTAGACAGAAGCATTCTCAGAAACTTCTTTGGGATGTTTGCATTCAAGTCACAGAGTAGAACATTCCCTTTGGTAGAGCAGGTTTGAAACACTCTTTTTTTAGTATATGGAAGTGGACATTTGGAGCGCTTTCAGGCCTACGTTGGAAAAGGAAATATCTTCCCATAACAACTAGACAGAAGCATTCTCAGAAACTAGTTTCTGATGTGTGTCCTCAACTAACACAGTTGAACATTTCTTTAGACAGAACAGTTTTGAAACACTCTTTTTGTGGAATCTGCAAGTGGATATTTGGCTAGATTTGAGGATTTCGTTGGAAACGGGATTACATATAAAAAGCAGACAGCAGCATTCTCAGAAAGTTCTTTGTGATGATTGCATTCAAGTCACAGAATTGAACATTCCCTTTCACAGAGCAGGTTTGAAACACTCTTTTTGTAGTGTGTGTAAGTGGACATTTGGAGCACTTTCCGGCCTAAGGTGAAAAAGGAAATATCTTCCCTTAAAAACTAGACAGAAGCATTCTCAGAAACTTACTCGTGATGTGTGTCCTCAACTAAAGGAGTAGAACCTTTCTTTTCATAGAGAAGTTTTGAAACGCTCTTTTTGTGGAATCTGCAAGTGGATATTTGGCTAGTTTTGAGGATTTCGTTGGAAGCGGGAATTCATACAAATTGCAGACTGCAGCATTCTGAGAAACATCTTTGTGATGTTTGTATTCAGGACACAGAGATGAACATTCCCTATCATAGAGCAGGTTGGAATCACTCCTTTTGTAGTATCTGGAAGAGGACATTTGGAGCGCTTTCAGGCCTATGTTGAAAAAGGAAATATCTTCCCATAACAACTAGACACAAGCATTCTCAGAAACTTATTTGAGATGTGTGTACTCAACTAAGAGAATTGAACCACCGTTTTGAAGGAGCAGATTTGAAACACTCTTTTTCTGGAATCTGCAAGAGGATATTTGGCTAGCTTTGCGGATTTCGCTGGAAGAGGGAATACATATAAAAAGCACACAGCAGCGTTCTGAGAAACTGCTTTCTGATGTTTGCATTCAAGTCAAAAGTTGAACACTCCCTTTCATAGAGCAGTCTTGAAACACCCCTTTTGTAGTATCTGGAACTGGACTTTTGGAGCGATTTCAGGGCTAAGGTGAAAAAGGAAATATCTTCCCATAAAAACTGGACAGAAGCATTCTCAGAAACTTGGTTATGCTGTATCTACTCAACTAACAAAGTTGAACCTTTCTTTTGATAGAGCAGTTTTGAAATGGTCTTTTTGTGGAATCTGCAAGTTTATATTTGGCTAGTTTTGAGGATTTCGTTGGAAGCGGGAATTCATACAAATTGCAGACTGCAGCGTTCTGAGAAACATCTTTGTGATGTTTGTATTCAGGACACAGAGTTGAACATTCCCTATCATAGAGCAGGTTGGAATCACTCCTTTTGTAGTATCTGGAAGTGGACATTTGGAGCGCTTTCAGGCCTATTTTGGAAAGGGAAATATCTTCCCGTAACAACTATGCAGAAGCATTCTCAGAAACTTGTTTGTGATGTGTGCCCTCTACTGACAGAGTTGAACCTTTCTTTTCATAGAGCAGTTTTGAAACACTCTTTTTGTAGAATCTGCAAGAGGATATTTGCATAGCTTTGAGGATTTCGTGGGAAACGGGATTGTCTTCAGGTAAAATCTAGACAGAAGCATTCTCAGAAACTTCTTTGGGATGTTTGCATTCAAGTCACAGAGTAGAACATTCCCTTTGGTAGAGCAGGTTTGAAACACTCTTTTTGTAGTATCTGGAAGTGGACATTTGGAGCGCTTTCAGGCCTATGTTGGAAAGGGAAATATCTTCCCGTAACAACTAGGCAGAAGCATTCTCAGAAACTTATTTGAGATGTGTGTACTCAACTAAGAGAATTGAACCACCGTTTTGAAGGAGCAGTTTTGAAACACTCTTTTTCTGGAATCTGCAAGAGGATATTTGCCTAGCCTTGAGGATTTCGTTGGAAACGGGATTGTCTTCAGATCAAATCTAGACAGAAGCATTCTCAGAAACTTCTTTGGGATGTTTGCATTCAAGTCACAGAGTAGAACATTCCCTTTGGTAGAGCAGGTTTGAAACACTCTTTTTTTAGTATATGGAAGTGGACATTTGGAGCGCTTTCAGGCCTACGTTGGAAAAGGATATATGTTCCCATAACAACTAGACAGAAGCATTCTCAGAAACTAGTTTCTGATGTGTGTCCTCAACTAACACAGTTGAACATTTCTTTAGACAGAACAGTTTTGAAACACTCTTTTTGTGGAATCTGCAAGTGGCTATTTGGCTAGATTTGAGGATTTCGTTGGAAACGGGATTACATATAAAAAGCAGTCAGCAGCATTCTCAGAAAGTTCTTTGTGATGATTGCATTCAAGTCACAGAATTGAACATTCCCTTTCACAGAGCAGGTTTGAAACACTCTTTTTGTAGTGTGTGTAAGTGGACCTTTGGAGCACTTACCGGCCTAAGGTGAAAAGGGAAATATCTTCCCATAAAAACTAGACAGAAGCATTCTCAGAAACTTACTCGTGATGTGTGTCCTCAACTAAAGGAGTAGAACCTTTCTTTTCATAGAGAAGTTTTGAAACGCTCTTTTTGTGGAATCTGCAAGTGGATATTTGGCTAGTTTTGAGGATTTCGTTGGAAGCGGGAATTCATACAAATTGCAGACTGCAGCGTTCTGAGAAACATCTTTGTGATGTTTGTATTCAGGACACAGAGTTGAACATTCCCTATCATAGAGCAGGTTGGAATCACTCCTTTTGTAGTATCTGGAAGTGGACATTTGGAGCGCTTTCACGCCTATGTTGGAAAAGGAAATATCTTCCCATAACAACTAGACAGAAGCATTCTCAGAAACTTATTTGAGATGTGTGTACTCAACTAAGAGAATTGAACCACCGTTTTGAAGGAGCAGTTTTGAAACACTCTTTTTCTGGAATCTGCAAGTGGATATTTGGCTAGCTTTGGGGATTTCGCTGGAAGCGGGAATACATATAAAAAGCACACAGCAGCGTTCTGAGAAACTGCTTTCTGATGTTTGCATTCAAGTCAAAAGTTGAACACTCCCTTTCATAGAGCAGTCCTGAAACACCCCTTTTGTAGTATCTGGAACTGGACTTTTGGAGCGATTTCAGGGCTAAGGTGAAAAAGGAAATATCTTCCCATAAAAACTGGACAGAAGCATTCTCAGAAACTTGTTTATGCTGTATCTACTCAACTAACAAAGTTGAACCTTTCTTTTGATAGAGCAGTTTTGAAATGGTCTTTTTGTGGAATCTGCAAGTGGATATTTGGCTAGTTTTGAGGATTTCGTTGGAAGCGGGAATTCATACAAATTGCAGACTGCAGCGTTCTGAGAAACATCTTTGTGATGTTTGTATTCAGGACACAGAGTTGAACATTCCCTATCATAGAGCAGGTTGGAATCACTCCTTTTGTAGTATCTGGAAGTGGACATTTGGAGCGCTTTCAGGCCTATTTTGGAAAGGGAAATATCTTCCCGTAACAACTATGCAGAAGCATTCTCAGAAACTTGTTTGTGATGTGTGCCCTCTACTGACAGAGTTGGAACCTTTCTTTTCATAGAGCAGTTTTGAAACACTCTTTTTGTAGAATCTGCAAGAGGATATTTGCATAGCTTTGAGGATTTCGTGGGAAACGGGATTGTCTTCAGGTAAAATCTAGACAGAAGCATTCTCAGAAACTTCTTTGGGATGTTTGCATTCAAGTCACAGAGTAGAACATTCCCTTTGGTAGAGCAGGTTTGAAACACTCTTTTTGTAGTATCTGGAAGTGGACATTTGGAGCGCTTTCAGGCCCATGTTGGAAAGGGAAATATCTTCCCGTAACAACTAGGCAGAAGCATTCTCAGAAACTTATTTGAGATGTGTGTACTCAACTAAGAGAATTGAACCACCGTTTTGAAGGAGCAGTTTGGAAACACTCTTTTTCTGGAATCTGCAAGAGGATATTTGCCTAGCTTTGAGGATTTCGTTGGAAAAGGGATTGTCTTCAGATCAAATCTAGACAGAAGCATTCTCAGAAACTTCTTTGGGATGTTTGCATTCAAGTCACAGAGTAGAACATTCCTTTGGTAGAGCAGGTTTGAAACACTCTTTTTTTAGTATATGGAAGTGGACATTTGGAGCGCTTTCAGGCCTACGTTGGAAAAGGAAATATCTTCCCATAACACCTAGACGGAAGCATTCTCAGAAACTAGTTTCTGATGTGTGTCCTCAACTGACACAGTTGAACATTTCTTTAGACAGAACAGTTTTGAAACACTCTTTTTGTGGAATCTGCAAGTGGATATTTGGCTAGATTTGAGGATTTCGTTGGAAACGGGATTACATATAAAAAGCAGACAGCAGCATTCTCAGAAAGTTCTTTGTGATGATTGCATTCAAGTCACAGAATTGAACATTCCCTTTCACAGAGCAGGTTTGAAACACTCTTTTTGTAGTGTGTGTAAGTGGACATTTGGAGCACTTTCCGGCCTAAGGTGAAAAAGGAAATATCTTCCCATAAAAACTAGACAGAAGCATTCTCAGAAACTTACTCGTGATGTGTGTCCTCAACTAAAGGAGTAGAAACTTTCTATTCATAGAGAAGTTTTGAAACGCTCTTTTTGTGGAATCTCCAAGTGGATATTTGGCTAGTTTTGAGGATTTCGTTGGAAGCGGGAATTCATACAAATTGCAGACTGCAGCGTTCTGAGAAACATCTTTGTGATGTTTGTATTCAGGACACAGAGATGAACATTCCCTATCATAGAGCAGGTTGGAATCACTCCTTTTGTAGTATCTGGAAGTGGACATTTGGAGCGCTTTCAGGCCTATGTTGAAAAAGGAAATATCTTCCCATAACAACTAGACACAAGCATTCTCAGAAACTTATTTGAGATGTGTGTACTCAACTAAGAGAATTGAACCACCGTTTTGAAGGAGCAGTTTTGAAACACTCTTTTTCTGGAATCTGCAAGTGGATATTTGGCTAGCTTTGGGGATTTCGCTGGAAGCGGGAATACATATAAAAAGCACACAGCAGCGTTCTGAGAAACTGCTTTCTGATGTTTGCATTCAAGTCAAAAGTTGAACACTCCCTTTCATAGAGCAGTCTTGAAACACCCCTTTTGTAGTATCTGGAACTGGACTTTTGGAGCGATTTCAGGGCTAAGGTGAAAAAGGAAATATCTTCCCATAAAAACTGGACAGAAGCATTCTCAGAAACTTGTTTATGCTGTATCTACTCAACTAACAAAGTTGAACCTTTCTTTTGATAGAGCAGTTTTGAAATGGTCTTTTTGTGGAATCTGCAAGTGGATATTTGGCTAGTTTTGAGGATTTCGTTGGAAGCGGGAATTCATACAAATTGCAGACTGCAGCGTTCTGAGAAACATCTTTGTGATGTTTGTATTCAGGACAGAGAGTTGAACATTCCCTATCATAGAGCAGGTTGGAATCACTCCTTTTGTAGTATCTGGAAGTGGACATTTGGAGCGCTTTCTGGCCTATGTTGAAAAAGGAAATATCTTCCCATAACAACTAGACACAAGCATTCTCAGAAACTTGTTTGTGATGTGTGCCCTCTACTGACAGAGTTGAACCTTTCTTTTCATAGAGCAGTTTTGAAACACTCTTTTTGTAGAATCTGCAAGAGGATATTTGCATAGCTTTGAGGATTTCGTGGGAAACGGGATTGTCTTCAGGTAAAATCTAGACAGAAGCATTCTCAGAAACTTCTTTGGGATGTTTGCATTCAAGTCACAGAGTAGAACATTCCCTTTGGTAGAGCAGGTTTGAAACACTCTTTTTGTAGTATCTGGAAGTGGACATTTGGAGCGCTTTCAGGCCTATGTTGGAAAGGGAAATATCTTCCGGTAACAACTAGGCAGAAGCATTCTCAGAAACTTATTTGAGATGTGTGTACTCAACTAAGAGAATTGAACCACCGTTTTGAAGGAGCAGTTTTGAAACACTCTTTTTCTGGAATCTGCAAGAGTATATTTGCCTAGCCTTGAGGATTTCGTTGGAAACGGGATTGTCTTCAGAGAAAATCTAGACAGAAGCATTCTCAGAAACTTCTTTGGGATGTTTGCATTCAAGTCACAGAGTAGAACATTCCCTTTGGTAGAGCAGGTTTGAAACACTCTTTTTGTAGTATATGGAAGGACATTTGGAGCGCTTTCAGGCCTACGTTGGAAAAGGAAATCTCTTCCCATAACAACTAGACAGAAGCATTCTCAGAAACTAGTTTCTGATGTGTGTCCTCAACTAACACAGTTGAACTTTTCTTTAGACAGAACAGTTTTGAAACACTCTTTTTGTGGAATCTGCAAGTGGATATTGGGCTAGATTTGAGGATTTCGTTGGAAACGGGATTACATATAAAAAGCAGACAGCAGCATTCTCAGAAAGTTCTTTGTGATGATTGCATTCAAGTCACAGAATTGAACATTCCCTTTCACAGAGCAGGTTTGAAACACTCTTTTTGTAGTGTGTGTAAGTGGACATTTGGAGCGCTTTCCGGCCTAAGGTGAAAAAAGAAATATCTTCCCATAAAAACTAGACAGAAGCATTCTCAGAAACTTACTCGTGATGTGTGTCCTCAACTAAAGGAGTAGAACCTTTCTTTTCATAGAGAAGTTTTGAAACGCTCTTTTTGTGGAATCTGCAAGTGGATATTTGGCTAGTTTTGAGGATTTCGTTGGAAGCGGGAATTCATACAAATTGCAGACTGCAAGCATTCTCAGAAACTTATTTGAGATGTGTGTACTCAACTAAGAGAATTGAACCACCGTTTTGAAGGAGCAGTTTTGAAACACTCTTTTTCTGGAATCTGCAAGTGGATATTTGGCTAGCTTTGGGGATTTCGCTGGAAGCGGGAATACATATAAAAAGCACACAGCAGCATTCTCAGAAACTTATTTGAGATGTGTGTACTCAACTAAGAGAATTGAACCACCGTTTTGAAGGAGCAGTTTTGAAACACTCTTTTTCTGGAATCTGCAAGTGGATATTTGGCTAGCTTTGGGGATTTCGCTGGAAGCGGGAATACATATAAAAAGCACACAGCAGCGTTCTGAGAAACTGCTTTCTGATGTTTGCATTCAAGTCAAAAGTTGAACACTCCCTTTCATAGAGCAGTCTTGAAACACCCCTTTTGTAGTATCTGGAACTGGACTTTTGGAGCGATTTCAGGGCTAAGGTGAAAAAGGAAATATCTTCCCATAAAAACTGGACAGAAGCATTCTCAGAAACTTGTTTATGCTGTATCTACTCAACTAACAAAGTTGAACCTTTCTTTTGATAGAGCAGTTTTGAAATGGTCTTTTTGTGGAATCTGCAAGTGGATATTTGGCTAGTTTTGAGGATTTCGTTGGAAGCGGGAATTCATACAAATTGCAGACTGCAGCGTTCTGAGAAACATCTTTGTGATGTTTGTATTCAGGACACAGAGATGAACATTCCCTATCATAGAGCAGGTTGGAATCACTCCTTTTGTAGTATCTGGAAGTGGACATTTGGAGCGCTTTCAGGCCTATGTTGAAAAAGGAAATATCTTCCCATAACAACTAGACACAAGCATTCTCAGAAACTTGTTTGTGATGTGTGCCCTCTACTGACAGAGTTGAACCTTTCTTTTCATAGAGCAGTTTTGAAACACTCTTTTTGTAGAATCTGCAAGAGGATATTTGCATAGCTTTGAGGATTTCGTGGGAAACGGGATTGTCTTCAGGTAAAATCTAGACAGAAGCATTCTCAGAAACTTCTTTGGGATGTTTGCATTCAAGTCACAGAGTAGAACATTCCCTTTGGTAGAGCAGGTTTGAAACACTCTTTTTGTAGTATCTGGAAGTGGACATTTGGAGCGCTTTCAGGCCCATGTTGGAAAGGGAAATATCTTCCCGTAACAACTAGGCAGAAGCATTCTCAGAAACTTATTTGAGATGTGTGTACTCAACTAAGAGAATTGAACCACCGTTTTGAAGGAGCAGTTTTGAAACACTCTTTTTCTGGAATCTGCAAGAGTATATTTGCCTAGCCTTGAGGATTTCGTTGGAAACGGGATTGTCTTCAGATAAAATCTAGACAGAAGCATTCTCAGAAACTTCTTTGGGATGTTTGCATTCAAGTCACAGAGTAGAACATTCCCTTTGGTAGAGCAGGTTTGAAACACTCTTTTTTTAGTATATGGAAGTGGACATTTGGAGCGCTTTCAGGCCTACGTTGGAAAAGGAAATATCTTCCCATAACAACTAGACAGAAGCATTCTCAGAAACTAGTTTCTGATGTGTGTCCTCAACTAACACAGTTGTACATTTCTTTAGACAGAACAGTTTTGAAACACTCTTTTTGTGGAATCTACAAGTGGATATTGGGCTAGATTTGAGGATTTCGTTGGAAACGGGATTACATATAAAAAGCAGTCAGCAGCATTCTCAGAAAGTTCTTTGTGATGATTGCATTCAAGTCACAGAATTGAACATTCCCTTTCACAGAGCAGGTTTGAAACACTCTTTTTGTAGTGTGTGTAAGTGGACATTTGGAGCGCTTTCCGGCCTAAGGTGAAAAAGGACATATCTTACCATAAAAACCAGACAGAAGCATTCTCAGAAACTTACTCGTGATGTGTGTCCTCAACTAAAGGAGTAGAACCTTTCTTTTCATAGAGAAGTTTTGAAACGCTCTTTTTGTGGAATCTGCAAGTGGATATTTGGCTAGTTTTGAGGATTTCGTTGGAAGCGGGAATTCATACAAATTGCAGACTGCAGCGTTCTGAGAAACATCTTTGTGATGTTTGTATTCAGGACACAGAGTTGAACATTCCCTATCATAGAGCAGGTTTGAATCACTCATTTTGTAGTATCTGGAAGTGGACATTTGGAGCGCTTTCAGGCCTATGTTAGAAAAGGAAATATCTTCCCATAACAACTAGACAGAAGCATTCTCAGAAACTTATTTGAGATGTGTGTACTCAACTAAGAGAATTGAACCACCGTTTTGAAGGAGCAGTTTTGAAACACTCTTTTTCTGGAATCTGCAAGTGGATATTTGGCTAGCTTTGGGGATTTCGCTGGAAGCGGGAATACATATAAAAAGCACACAGCAGCGTTCTGAGAAACTGCTTTCTGATGTTTGCATTCAAGTCAAAAGTTGAACACTCCCTTTCATAGAGCAGTCTTGAAACACCCCTTTTGTAGTATCTGGAACTGGACTTTTGGAGCGATTTCAGGGCTAAGGTGAAAAAGGAAATATCTTCCCATAAAAACTGGACAGAAGCATTCTCAGAAACTTGTTTATGCTGTATCTACTCAACTAACAAAGTTGAACCTTTCTTTTGATAGAGCAGTTTTGAAATGGTCTTTTTGTGGAATCTGCAAGTGGATATTTGGCTAGTTTTGAGGATTTCGTTGGAAGCGGGAATTCATACAAATTGCAGACTGCAGCGTTCTGAGAATCATCTTTGTGATGTTTGTATTCAGGACACAGAGTTGAACATTCCCTATCATAGAGCAGGTTTGAATCACTCCTTTTGTAATATCTGGAAGTGGACATTTGGAGCGCTTTCAGGCCTATGTTGGAAAAGGAAATATCTTCCCATAACAACTAGACAGAAGCATTCTCAGAAACTTGTTTGTGATGTGTGCCCTCTACTGACAGAGTTGAACCTTTCTTTTCATAGAGCAGTTTTGAAACACTCTTTTTGTAGAATCTGCAAGAGGATATTTGCATAGCTTTGAGGATTTCGTGGGAAACGGGATTGTCTTCAGGTAAAATCTAGACAGAAGCATTCTCAGAAACTTCTTTGGGATGTTTGCATTCAAGTCACAGAGTAGAACATTCCCTTTGGTAGAGCAGGTTTGCAACACTCTTTTTGTAGTATCTGGAAGTGGACATTTGGAGCGCTTTCAGGCCTATGTTGGAAAGGGAAATATCTTCCCGTAACAACTAGGCAGAAGCATTCTCAGAAACTTATTTGAGATGTGTGTACTCAACTAAGAGAATTGAACCACCGTTTTGAAGGAGCAGTTTTGAAACACTCTTTTTCTGGAATCTGCTAGAGTATATTTGCCTAGCTTTGAGGATTTCGTTGGAAACGGGATTGTCTTCAGCTAAAATCTAGACAGAAGCATTCTCAGAAACTTCTTTGGGATGTTTCTATTCAAGTCACAGAGTAGAACATTCCCTTTGGTAGAGCAGGTTTGAAACACTCTTTTTTTAGTATATGGAAGTGGACATTTGGAGCGCTTTCAGGCCTACGTTGGAAAAGGAAATATCTTCCCATAACAACTAGACAGAAGCATTCTCAGAAACTAGTTTCTGATGTGTGTCCTCAACTAACACAGTTGAACATTTCTTTAGACAGAACAGTTTTGAAACACTCTTTTTGTGGAATCTGCAAGTGGCTATTTGGCTAGATTTGAGGATTTCTTTGGAAACGGGATTACATATAAAAAGCTGACAGCAGCATTCTCAGAAAGTTCTTTGTGATGATTGCATTCAAGTCACAGAATTGAACATTCCCTTTCACAGAGCAGGTTTGAAACACTCTTTTTGTAGTGTGTGTAAGTGGACATTTGGAGCACTTTCCGGCCTAAGGTGAAAAAGGACATATCTTCCCATAAAAACTAGACAGATAAGCATTCTCAGCAAACTTACTCGTGATGTGTGTCCTCAACTAAAGGAGTAGAACCTTTCTTTTCATAGAGAAGTTTTGAAACGCTCTTTTTGTGGAATCTGCAAGTGGATATTTGGCTAGTTTTGAGGATTTCGTTGGAAGCGGGAATTCATACAAATTGCAGACTGCAGCGTTCTGAGAAACATCTTTGTGATGTTTGTATTCAGGACACAGAGTTGAACATTCCCTATCATAGAGCAGGTTTGAATCACTCCTTTTGTAGTATCTGGAAGAGGACATTTGGAGCGCTTTCAGGCCTATGTTGGAAAAGGAAATATCTTCCCATAACAACTAGACAGAAGCATTCTCAGAAACTTATTTGAGATGTGTGTACTCAACTAAGAGAATTGAACCACCGTTTTGAAGGAGCAGTTTTGAAACACTCTTTTTCTGGAATCTGCAAGTGGATATTTGGCTAGCTTTGGGGACTTCGCTGGAGGCGGGAATACATATAAAAAGCACACAGCAGCGTTCTGAGAAACTGCTTTCTGATGTTTGCATTCAAGTCAAAAGTTGAACACTCCCTTTCATAGAGCAGTCCTGAAACACTCCTTTTGTAGTATCTGGAACTGGACTTTTGGAGCGCTTTCAGGGCTAAGGTGAAAAAGGAAATATCTTCCCATAAAAACTGGACAGAAGCATTCTCAGAAACTTGTTTATGCTGTATCTACTCAACTAACAAAGTTGAACCTTTCTTTTGATAGAGCAGTTTTGAAATGCTCTTTTTGTGGAATCTGCAAGTGGATATTTGGCTAGTTTTGAGGATTTCGTTGGAAGCGGGAATTCATACAAATTGCAGACTGCAGCGTTCTGAGAAACATCTTTGTGATGTTTGTATTCAGGACAGAGAGTTGAACATTCCCTATCATAGAGCAGGTTGGAATCACTCCTTTTGTAGTATCTGGAAGTGGACATTTGGAGCGCTTTCAGGCCTATGTTGAAAAAGGAAATATCTTCCCATAACAACTAGACACAAGCATTCTCAGAAACTTGTTTGTGATGTGTGCCCTCTACTGACAGAGTTGAACCTTTCTTTTCATAGAGCAGTTTTGAAACACTCTTTTTGTAGAATCTGCAAGAGGATATTTGCATAGCTTTGAGGATTTCGTGGGAAACGGGATTGTCTTCAGGTAAAAATCTAGACAGAAGCATTCTCAGAAACTTCTTTGGGATGTTTGCATTCAAGTCACAGAGTAGAACATTCCCTTTGGTAGAGCAGGTTTGAAACACTCTTTTTGTAGTATCTGGAAGTGGACATTTGGAGCGCTTTCAGGCCTATGTTGGAAAGGGAAATATCTTCCCGTAACAACTAGGCAGAAGCATTCTCAGAAACTTATTTGAGATGTGTGTACTCAACTAAGAGAATTGAACCACCCTTTTGAAGGAGCAGTTTTGAAACACTCTTTTTCTGGAATCTGCAAGAGGATATTTGCCTAGCCTTGAGGATTTCGTTGGAAACGGGATTGTCTTCAGATCAAATCTAGACAGAAGCATTCTCAGAAACTTCTTTGGGATGTTTGCATTCAAGTCACAGAGTAGAACATTCCCTTTGGTAGAGCAGGTTTGAAACACTCTTTTTTTAGTATATGGAAGTGGACATTTGGAGCGCTTTCAGGCCTACGTTGGAAAAGGAAATATCTTCCCATAACAACTAGACAGAAGCATTCTCAGAAACTAGTTTCTGATGTGTGTCCTCAACTAACACAGTTGAACATTTCTTTAGACAGAACAGTTTTGAAACACTCTTTTTGTGGAATCTGCAAGTGGCTATTTGGCTAGATTTGAGGATTTCGTTGGAAACGGGATTACATATAAAAAGCAGTCAGCAGCATTCTCAGAAAGTTCTTTGTGATGATTGCATTCAAGTCACAGAATTGAACATTCCCTTTCACAGAGCAGGTTTGAAACACTCTTTTTGTAGTGTGTGTAAGTGGACATTTGGAGCACTTACCGGCCTAAGGTGAAAAAGGAAATATCTTCCCATAAAAACTAGACAGAAGCATTCTCAGAAACTTACTCGTGATCTGTGTCCTCAACTAAAGGAGTAGAACCTTTCTTTTCATAGAGAAGTTTTGAAACGCTCTTTTTGTGGAATCTGCAAGTGGATATTTGGCTAGTTTTGAGGATTTCGTTGGAAGCGGGAATTCATACAAATTGCAGACTGCAGCATTCTCAGAAACTTATTTGAGATGTGTGTACTCAACTAAGAGAATTGAACCACCGTTTTGAAGGAGCAGTTTTGAAACACTCTTTTTCTGGAATCTGCAAGTGGATATTTGGCTAGATTTGGGGATTTCGCTGGAAGCGGGAATACATATAAAAAGCACACAGCAGCGTTCTGAGAAACTGCTTTCTGATGTTTGCATTCAAGTCAAAAGTTGAACACTCCCTTTCATAGAGCAGTCCTGAAACACTCCTTTTGTAGTATCTGGAACTGGACTTTTGGAGCGCTTTCAGGGCTAAGGTGAAAAAGGAAATATCTTCCCATAAAAACTGGACAGAAGCATTCTCAGAAACTTGTTCATGCTGTATCTACTCTACTAAAAAAGTTGAACCTTTCTTTTGATAGAGCAGTTTTGAAATGCTCTTTTTGTGGAATCTGCAAGTGGATATTTGGCTAGATTTGAGGATTTCGTTGGAAGCTGGAATACAAACAAATTGCAGACTGCAGCGTTCTGAGAAACATCTTTGTGATGTTTGCATTCAGGACACAGAGTTGAACATTCCCTATCATAGAGCAGGTTGGGATCACTCCTTTTGTAGTATCTGGAAGTGGACATTTGGAGCGCTTTCAGGCCTATGTTGAAAAAGGAAATATCTTCCCATAACAACTAGACAGAAGCATTCTCAGAAACTTGTTTGAGATATGTGCCCTCTACTGACACAGTTGAACCTTTCTTTTCATAGAGCAGTTTCGAAACACTCTTTTTGTAGAATCTGCAAGAGGATATTTGCATAGCTTTGAGGATTTCGTGGGAAACGGGATTGTCTTCAGATAAAATCTAGACAGAAGCATTCTCAGAAACTTCTTTGGGATGTTTGCATTCAAGTCACAGAGTAGAACATTCCCTTTGGTAGAGCAGGTTTGAAACACTCTTTTTTTAGTATATGGAAGAGGACATTTGGAGCGCTTTCAGGCCTACGTTGGAAAAGGAAATATCTTCCCATAACAACTAGACAGAAGCATTCTCAGAAACTAGTTTCTGATGTGTGTCCTCAACTAACACAGTTGAACATTTATTTAGACAGAACAGTTTTGAAACACTCTTTTTGTGGAATCTGCAAGTGGATATTTGGCTAGATTTGAGGATTTCGTTGGAAACGGGAATACATATAAAAAGCAGACAGCAGCATTCTCAGAAACTTGTTTGTGATGATTGCATTCAAGTCACAAAATTGAACATTCCCTTTCACAGAGCAGGTTTGAAACACTCTTTTTGTAGTGTGTGTAAGTGGACATTTGGAGCGCTTTCCGGCCTAAGGTGAACGAGGAAATATCTTCCCATAAAAACTAGACAGAAGCATTCTCAGAAACTTACTCGTGATGTGTGTCCTCAACTAAAGGAGTAGAACCTTTCTTTTCATAGAGAAGTTTTGAAACGCTCTTTTTGTGGAATCTGCAAGTGGATATTTGGCTAGTTTTGAGGATTTCGTTGGAAGCGGGAATTCATACAAATTGCAGACTGCAGCGTTCTGAGAAACATCTTTGTGATGTTTGTATTCAGGACACAGAGTGGAACATTCCCTATCATAGAGCAGGTTTGAATCACTCCTTTTGTAGTATCTGGAAGTGGACATTTGGAGCGCTTTCAGGCCTATGTTGGAAAAGGAAATATCTTCCCATAACAACTAGACAGAAGCATTCTCAGAAACTTATTTGAGATGTGTGTACTCAACTAAGAGAATTGAACCACCGTTTTGAAGGAGCAGTTTTGAAACACTCTTTTTCTGGAATCTGCAAGTGGATATTTGGCTAGCTTTGGGGATTTCGCTGGAAGCGGGAATACATATAAAAAGCACACAGCAGCGTTCTGAGAAACTGCTTTCTGATGTTTGCATTCAAGTCAAAAGTTGAACACTCCCTTTCATAGAGCAGTCCTGAAACACTCCTTTTGTAGTATCTGGAACTGGACTTTTGGAGCGCTTTCAGGGCTAAGGTGAAAAAGGAAATATCTTCCCATAAAAACTGGACAGAAGCATTCTCAGAAACTTGTTTATGCTGTATCTACTCAACTAACAAAGTTGAACCTTTCTTTTGATAGAGCAGTTTTGAAATGCTCTTTTTGTGGAATCTGCAAGTGGATATTTGGCTAGTTTTGAGGATTTCGTTGGAAGCGGGAATTCATACAAATTGCAGACTGCAGCGTTCTGAGAAACATCTTTGTGATGTTTGTATTCAGGACACAGAGTTGAACATTCCCTATCATAGAGCAGGTTGGAATCACTCCTTTTGTAGTATCTGGAAGTGGACATTTGGAGCGCTTTCAGGCCTATTTTGGAAAGGGAAATATCTTCCCGTAACAACTATGCAGAAGCATTCTCAGAAACTTGTTTGTGATGTGTGCCCTCTACTGACAGAGTTGAACCTTTCTTTTCATAGAGCAGTTTTGAAACACTCTTTTTGTAGAATCCGCAAGAGGATATTTGCATAGCTTTGAGGATTTCGTGGGAAACGGGATTGTCTTCAGGTAAAATCTAGACAGAAGCATTCTCAGAAACTTCTTTGGGATGTTTGCATTCAAGTCACAGAGTAGAACATTCCCTTTGGTAGAGCAGGTTTGAAACACTCTTTTTGTAGTATCTGGAAGTGGACATTTGGAGCGCTTTCAGGCCCATGTTGGAAAGGGAAATATCTTCCCGTAACAACTAGGCAGAAGCATTCTCAGAAACTTATTTGAGATGTGTGTACTCAACTAAGAGAATTGAACCACCGTTTTGAAGGAGCAGTTTTGAAACACTCTTTTTCTGGAATCTGCAAGAGTATATTTGCCTAGCCTTGAGGATTTCGTTGGAAACGGGATTGTCTTCAGAGAAAATCTAGACAGAAGCATTCTCAGAAACTTCTTTGGGATGTTTGCATTCAAGTCACAGAGTAGAACATTCCCTTTGGTAGAGCAGGTTTGAAACACTCTTTTTTTAGTATATGGAAGTGGACATTTGGATCGCTTTCAGGCCTACGTTGGAAAAGGAAATATCTTCCCATAACAACTAGACAGAAGCATTCTCAGAAACTAGTTTCTGATGTGTGTCCTCAACTAACACAGTTGAACATTTCTTTAGACAGAACAGTTTTGAAACACTCTTTTTGTGGAATCTGCAAGTGGCTATTTGGCTAGATTTGAGGATTTCGTTGGAAACGGGATTACATATAAAAAGCAGTCAGCAGCATTCTCAGAAAGTTCTTTGTGATGATTGCATTCAAGTCACAGAATTGAACATTCCCTTTCACAGAGCAGGTTTGAAACACTCTTTTTGTAGTGTGTGTAAGTGGACATTTGGAGCACTTACCGGCCTAAGGTGAAAAAGGAAATATCTTCCCATAAAAACTAGACAGAAGCATTCTCAGAAACTTACTCGTGATGTGTGTCCTCAACTAAAGGAGTAGAACCTTTCTTTTCATAGAGAAGTTTTGAAACGCTCTTTTTGTGGAATCTGCAAGTGGATATTTGGCTAGTTTTGAGGATTTCGTTGGAAGCGGGAATTCATACAAATTGCAGACTGCAGCGTTCTGAGAAACATCTTTGTGATGTTTGTATTCAGGACACAGAGTTGAACATTCCCTATCATAGAGCAGGTTTGAATCACTCCTTTTGTAGTATCTGGAAGTGGACATTTGGAGCGCTTTCAGGCCTATGTTGGAAAAGGAAATATCTTCCCATAACAACTAGACAGAAGCATTCTCAGAAACTTATTTGAGATGTGTGTACTCAACTAAGAGAATTTGAACCACCGTTTTGAAGGAGCAGTTTTGAAACACTCTTTTTCTGGAATCTGCAAGTGGATATTTGGCTAGCTTTGGGGATTTCGCTGGAAGCGGGAATACATATAAAAAGCACACAGCAGCGTTCTGAGAAACTTCTTGGTGATGTTTGCATTCAAGTCAAAAGTTGAACACTCCCTTTCATAGAGCAGTCTTGAAACTCCCCTTTTCTGGTATCTGGAAGTGGACATTTGGAGTGCTTTCAGGGCTAAGGTGAAAAAGGAAATATCTTCCCATAAAAACTGGACAGAAGCATTCTCAGAAACTTGTTTATGCTGTATCTACTCAGCTAACAAAGTTGAACCTTTCTTTTGATAGAGCAGTTTTGAAATGCTCTTTTTGTGGAGTCTGCAAGTGGATATTTGGTTAGTTTTGAGGATTGCGTTGGAAGCGGGAATTCATACAAATTGCAGACTGCAGCGTTCTGAGAAACATCTTTGTGATGTTTGTATTCAGGACACAGAGTTGAACATTCCCTATCATAGAGCAGGTTTGAATCACTCCTTTTGTAGTATCTGGAAGTGGACATTTGGAGCGCTTTCCGGCCTCAGGTGAAAAAGGAAATATCTTCCCATAAAAACTAGACAGAAGCATTCTCAGAAACTTACTCGTGATGTGTGTCCTCAACTAAAGGGGTAGAACCTTTCTTTTCATAGAGCAGTTTTGAAACACTCTTTTTGTAGAATCTGCAAGTGGATATTTCGATAGCTTTGTGGATTTCGTTGGAAACGGGAATATCTTCATATAAAATCTAGAGAGAAGCGTTCTGAGAAACATCTTTGTGATGTTTGTATTCAGGACACAGAGTTGAACATTCCCTATCATAGAGCAGGTTTGAATCACTCCTTTTGTAGTATCTGGAAGTGGACATTTGGAGCGCTTTCAGGCCTATGTTGGAAAAGGAAATATCTTCCCATAACAACTAGACAGAAGCATTCTCAGAAACTTATTTGAGATGTGTGTACTCAACTAAGAGAATTGAACCACCGTTTTGAAGGAGCAGTTTTGAAACACTCTTTTTCTGGAATCTGCAAGTGGATATTTGGCTAGCTTTGGGGATTTCGCTGGAAGCGGGAATACATATAAAAAGCACACAGCCAGCGTTCTGAGCAAACTGCTTTCTGATGTTTGCATTCAAGTCAAAAGTTGAACACTCCCTTTCATAGAGCAGTCTTGAAACACCCCTTTTGTAGTATCTGGAACTGGACTTTTGGAGCGATTTCAGGGCTAAGGTGAAAAAGGAAATATCTTCCCATAAAAACTGGACAGAAGCATTCTCAGAAACATGTTTATGCTGTATCTACTCAACTAACAAAGTTGAACCTTTCTTTTGATAGAGCAGTTTTGAAATGCTCTTTTTGTGGAATCTGCAAGTGGATATTTGGCTAGTTTTGAGGATTTCATTGGAAGCGGGAATTCATACAAATTGCAGACTGCAGCGTTCTGAGAAACGTCTTTGTGATGTTTGTATTCAGGACACAGAGTTGAACATTCCCTATCATAGAGAAGGCTGGAATCACTCCTTTTGTAGTATCTGGAAGTCGACATTTGGAGCGCTTTCAGGCCTATGTTGAAAAAGGAAATATCTTCCCATAACAACTAGGCAGAAGCATTCTCAGAAACTTGTTTGTGATGTGTGCCCTCTACTGACAGAGTTGAACCTTTCTTTTCATAGAGCAGTTTCGAAACACTCTTTTTGTAGAATCTACAAGAGGATATTTGCATAGCTTTGAGGATTTCGTGGGAAACGGGATTGTCTTCAGGTAAAATCTAGACAGAAGCATTCTCAGAAACTTCTTTGGGATGTTTGCATTCAAGTCACAGAGTAGAACATTCCCTTTGGTAGAGCAGGTTTGAAACACTCTTTTTGTAGTATCTGGAAGTGGACATTTGGAGCGCTTTCAGGCCCATGTTGGAAAGGGAAATATCTTCCCGTAACAACTAGGCAGAAGCATTCTCAGAAACTTATTTGAGATGTGTGTACTCAACTAAGAGAATTGAACCACCGTTTTGAAGGAGCAGTTTTGAAACACTCTTTTTCTGGAATCTGCAAGAGGATATTTGCCTAGCCTTGAGGATTTCGTTGGAAACGGGATTGTCTTCAGATCAAATCTAGACAGAAGCATTCTCAGAAACTTCTTTGGGATGCTTGCATTCAAGTCACAGAGTAGAACATTCCCTTTGGTAGAGCAGGTTTGAAACACTCTTTTTGTAGTATCTGGAAGTGGACATTTGGAGCGCTTTCAGGCCTACGTTGGAAAAGGAAATATCTTCCCATAACAACTAGACAGAAGCATTCTCAGAAACTAGTTTCTGATGTGTGTCCTCAACTAACACAGTTGAACATTTCTTTAGACAGAACAGTTTTGAAACACTCTTTTTGTGGAATCTGCAAGTGGCTATTTGGCTAGATTTGAGGATTTCGTTGGAAACGGGATTACATATAAAAAGCAGACAGCAGCATTCTCAGAAACTTCTTTGTGATGATTGCATTCAAGTCACAGAATTGAACATTCCCTTTCACAGAGCAGGTTTGAAACACTCTTTTTGTAGTGTGTGTAAGTGGACATTTGGAGCACTTTCCGGCCTAAGGTGAAAAAGGAAATATCTTTCCATAAAAACTAGACAGAAGCATTCTCAGAAACTTACTCGTGATGTGTGTCCTCAACTAAAGGAGTAGAACCTTCCTTTTCATAGAGAAGTTTTGAAACGCTCTTTTTGTGGAATCTGCAAGTGGATATTTGGCTAGTTTTGAGGATTTCGTTGGAAGCGGGAATTCATACAAATTGCAGACTGCAGCGTTCTGAGAAACATCTTTGTGATGTTTGTATTCAGGACACAGAGTTGAACATTCCCTATCATAGAGCAGGTTTGAATCACTCCTTTTGTAGTATCTGGAAGTGGACATTTGGAGCGCTTTCAGGCCTATGTTGGAAAAGGAAATATCTTCCCATAACAACTAGACAGATAAGCATTCTCAGAAAACTTATTTGAGATGTGTGTACTCAACTAAGAGAATTGAACCACCGTTTTGAAGGAGCAGTTTTGAAACTCTCTTTTTCTGGAATCTGCAAGTGGATATTTGGCTAGCTTTGGGGATTTCGCTGGAAGCGGGAATACATATAAAAAGCACACAGCAGCGTTCTGAGAAACTGCTTTCTGATGTTTGCATTCAAGTCAAAAGTTGAACACTCCCTTTCATAGAGCAGTCTTGAAACACCCCTTTTGTAGTATCTGGAACTGGACTTTTGGAGCGATTTCAGGGCTAAGGTGAAAAAGGAAATATCTTCCCATAAAAACTGGACAGAAGCATTCTCAGAAACTTGGTTATGCTGTATCTACTCAACTAACAAAGTTGAACCTTTCTTTTGATAGAGCAGTTTTGAAATGGTCTTTTTGTGGAATCTGCAAGTGGATATTTGGCTAGTTTTGAGGATTTCGTTGGAAGCGGGAATTCATACAAATTGCAGACTGCAGCGTTCTGAGAAACATCTTTGTGATGTTTGTATTCAGGACAGAGAGTTGAACATTCCCTATCATAGAGCAGGTTGGAATCACTCCTTTTGTAGTATCTGGAAGTGGACATTTGGAGCGCTTTCAGGCCTATGTTGAAAAAGGAAATATCTTCCCATAACAACTAGACACAAGCATTCTCACAAACTTGTTTGTGATGTGTGCCCTCTACTGACAGAGTTGAACCTTTCTTTTCATAGAGCAGTTTTGAAACACTCTTTTTGTAGAATCTGCAAGAGGATATTTGCATAGCTTTGAGGATTTCGTGGGAAACGGGATTGTCTTCAGGTAAAATCTAGACAGAAGCATTCTCAGAAACTTCTTTGGGATGTTTGCATTCAAGTCACAGAGCAGAACATTCCCTTTGGTAGAGCAGGTTTGAAACACTCTTTTTGTAGTATCTGGAAGTGGACATTTGGAGCGCTTTCAGGCCTATGTTGGAAAGGGAAATATCTTCCCGTAACAACTAGGCAGAAGCATTCTCAGAAACTTATTTGAGATGTGTGTACTCAACTAAGAGAATTGAACCACCGTTTTGAAGGAGCAGTTTTGAAACACTCTTTTTCTGGAATCTGCAAGAGTATATTTGCCTAGCCTTGAGGATTTCGTTGGAAACGGGATTGTCTTCAGAGAAAATCTAGACAGAAGCATTCTCAGAAACTTCTTTGGGATGTTTGCATTCAAGTCACAGAGTAGAACATTCCCTTTGGTAGAGCAGGTTTGAAACACTCTTTTTTTAGTATATGGAAGTGGACATTTGGAGCGCTTTCAGGCCTACGTTGGAAAAGGAAATATCTTCCCATAACAACTAGACAGAAGCATTCTCAGAAACTAGTTTCTGATGTGTGTCCTCAACTAACACAGTTGAACATTTCTTTAGACAGAACAGTTTTGAAACACTCTTTTTGTGGAATCTGCAAGTGGCTATTTGGCTAGATTTGAGGATTTCGTTGGAAACGGGATTACATATAAAAAGCAGTCAGCAGCATTGTCAGAAAGTTCTTTGTGATGATTGCATTCAAGTCACAGAATTGAACATTCCCTTTCACAGAGCAGGTTTGAAACACTCTTTTTGTAGTGTGTGTAAGTGGACATTTGGAGCGATTTCCGGCCTAAGGTGAAAAAGGAAATATCTTCCCATAAAAACTAGACAGAAGCATTCTCAGAAACTTACTCGTGATGTGTGTCCTCAACTAAAGAAGTAGAACCTTTCTATTCATAGAGAAGTTTTGAAATGCTCTTTTTGTGGAATCTCCAAGTGGATATTTGGCTAGTTTTGAGGATTTCGTTGGAAGCGGGAATTCATACAAATTGCAGACTGCAGCGTTCTGAGAAACATCTTTGTGATGTTTGTATTCAGGACACAGAGATGAACATTCCCTATCATAGAGCAGGTTGGAATCACTCCTTTTGTAGTATCTGGAAGTGGACATTTGGAGCGCTTTCAGGCCTATGTTGAAAAAGGAAATATCTTCCCATAACAACTAGACACAAGCATTCTCAGAAACTTATTTGAGATGTGTGTACTCAACTAAGAGAATTGAACCACCGTTTTGAAGGAGCAGTTTTGAAACTCTCTTTTTCTGGAATCTGCAAGTGGATATTTGGCTAGCTTTGGGGATTTCGCTGGAAGCGGGAATACATATAAAAAGCACACAGCAGCGTTCTGAGAAACTGCTTTCTGATGTTTGCATTCAAGTCAAAAGTTGAACACTCCCTTTCATAGAGCAGTCTTGAAACACCCCTTTTGTAGTATCTGGAACTGGACTTTTGGAGCGATTTCAGGGCTAAGGTGAAAAAGGAAATATCTTCCCATAAAAACTGGACAGAAGCATTCTCAGAAATTTGTTTATGCTGTATGTACTCAACTAACAAAGTTGAACCTTTCTTTTGATAGAGCAGTTTTGAAATGCTCTTTTTGTGGAATCTGCAAGTGGATATTTGGCTAGGTTTGAGGATTTCGTTGGAAGCGGGAATTCATACAAATTGCAGACTGCAGCATTCTGAGAAACATCTTTGTGATGTTTGTATTCAGGACACAGAGATGAACATTCCCTATCATAGAGCAGGTTGGAATCACTCCTTTTGTAGTATCTGGAAGAGGACATTTGGAGCGCTTTCAGGCCTATGTTGAAAAAGGAAATATCTTCCCATAACAACTAGACACAAGCATTCTCAGAAACTTGTTTGTGATGTGTGCCCTCTGCTGACAGAGTTGAACCTTTCTTTTCATAGAGCAGTTTTGAAACACTCTTTTTGTAGAATCTGCAAGAGGATATTTGCATAGCTTTGAGGATTTCGTGGGAAACGGGATTGTCTTCAGGTAAAATCTAGACAGAAGCATTCTCAGAAACTTCTTTGGGATGTTTGCATTCAAGTCACAGAGTAGAACATTCCCTTTGGTAGAGCAGGTTTGAAACACTCTTTTTGTAGTATCTGGAAGTGGACATTTGGAGCGCTTTCAGGCCCATGTTGGAAAGGGAAATATCTTCCCGTAACAACTAGGCAGAAGCATTCTCAGAAACTTATTTGAGATGTGTGTACTCAACTAAGAGAATTGAACCACCGTTTTGAAGGAGCAGTTTTGAAACACTCTTTTTCTGGAATCTGCAAGAGTATATTTGCCTAGCCTTGAGGATTTCGTTGGAAACGGGATTGTCTTCAGAGAAAATCTAGACAGAAGCATTCTCAGAAACTTCTTTGGGATGTTTGCATTCAAGTCACAGAGTAGAACATTCCCTTTGGTAGAGCAGGTTTGAAACACTCTTTTTTTAGTATATGGAAGTGGACATTTGGAGCGCTTTCAGGCCTACGTTGGAAAAGGAAATATCTTCCCATAACAACTAGACAGAAGCATTCTCAGAAACTAATTTCTGATGTGTTTCCTCAACTAACACAGTTGAACATTTCTTTAGACAGAACAGTTTTGAAACACTCTTTTTGTGGAATCTGCAAGTGGCTATTTGGCTAGATTTGAGGATTTCGTTGGAAACGGGATTACATATAAAAAGCAGACAGCAGCATTCTCAGAAAGTTCTTTGTGATGATTGCATTCAAGTCACAGAATTGAACATTCCCTTTCACAGAGCAGGTTTGAAACACTCTTTTTGTAGTGTGTGTAAGTGGACATTTGGAGCGCTTTCCGGCCTAAGGTGAAAAAGGACATATCTTCCCATAAAAACTAGACAGAAGCATTCTCAGAAACTTACTCGTGATGTGTGTCCTCAACTAAAGGAGTAGAACCTTTCTATTCATAGAGAAGTTTTGAAACGCTCTTTTTGTGGAATCTCCAAGTGGATATTTGGCTAGTTTTGAGGATTTCGTTGGAAGCGGGAATTCATACAAATTGCAGACTGCAGCGTTCTGAGAAACATCTTTGTGATGTTTGTATTCAAGACACAGAGATGAACATTCCCTCTCATAGAGCATGTTGGAATCACTCCTTTTGTAGTATCTGGAAGTGGACATTTGGAGCGCTTTCAGGCCTATGTTGAAAAAGGAAATATCTTCCCATAACAACTAGACACAAGCATTCTCAGAAACTTATTTGAGATGTGTGTACTCAACTAAGAGAATTGAACCACCGTTTTGAAGGAGCAGTTTTGAAACACTCTTTTTCTGGAATCTGCAAGTGGATATTTGGCTAGCTTTGGGGATTTCGCTGGAAGCGGGAATACATATAAAAAGCACACAGCAGCGTTCTGAGAAACTGCTTTCTGATGTTTGCATTCAAGTCAAAAGTTGAACACTCCCTTTCATAGAGCAGTCCTGAAACACCCCTTTTGTAGTATCTGGAACTGGACTTTTGGAGCGATTTCAGGGCTAAGGTGAAAAAGGAAATATCTTCCCATAAAAACTGGACAGAAGCATTCTCAGAAACTTGTTTATGCTGTATCTACTCAACTAACAAAGTTGAACCTTTCTTTTGATAGAGCAGTTTTGAAATGCTCTTTTTGTGGAATCTGCAAGTGGATATTTGGCTAGTTTTGAGGATTTCGTTGGAAGCGGGAATTCATACAAATTGCAGACTGCAGCGTTCTGAGAAACATCTTTGTGATGTTTGTATTCAGGACAGAGAGTTGAACATTCCCTATCATAGAGCAGGTTGGAATCACTCCTTTTGTAGTATCTGGAAGTGGACATTTGGAGCGCTTTCAGGCCTATGTTGAAAAAGGAAATATCTTCCCATAACAACTAGACACAAGCATTCTCAGAAACTTGTTTGTGATGTGTGCCCTCTACTGACAGAGTTGAACCTTTCTTTTCATAGAGCAGTTTTGAAACACTCTTTTTGTAGAATCTGCAAGAGGATATTTGCATAGCTTTGAGGATTTCGTGGGAAACGGGATTGTCTTCAGGTAAAATCTAGACAGAAGCATTCTCAGAAACTTCTTTGGGATGTTTGCATTCAAGTCACAGAGTAGAACATTCCCTTTGGTAGAGCAGGTTTGAAACACTCTTTTTGTAGTATCTGGAAGTGGACATTTGGAGCGCTTTCAGGCCTATGTTGGAAAGGGAAATATCTTCCCGTAACAACTAGGCAGAAGCATTCTCAGAAACTTATTTGAGATGTGTGTACTCAACTAAGAGAATTGAACCACCGTTTTGAAGGAGCAGTTTTGAAACACTCTTTTTCTGGAATCTGCAAGAGGATATTTGCCTAGCTTTGAGGATTTCGTTGGAAACGGGATTGTGTTCAGATCAAATCTAGACAGAAGCATTCTCAGAAACTTCTTTGGGATGTTTGCATTCAAGTCACAGAGTAGAACATTCCCTTTGGTAGAGCAGGTTTGAAACACTCTTTTTTTAGTATATGGAAGTGGACATTTGGAGCGCTTTCAGGCCTACGTTGGAAAAGGAAATATCTTCCCATAACAACTAGACAGAAGCATTCTCAAAAACTTGTTTCTGATGTGTGTCCTCAACTAACACAGTTGAACATTTCTTTAGACAGAAGAGTTTTGAAACACTCTTTTTGTGGAATCTACAAGTGGATATTTGGCTAGATTTGAGGATTTCGTTGGAAACGGGATTACATATAAAAAGCAGACAGCAGCATTCTCAGTAAAGTTCTTTGTGATGATTGCATTCAAGTCACAGAATTGAACATTCCCTTTCACAGAGCAGGTTTGAAACACTCTTTTTGTAGTGTGTGTAAGTGGACATTTGGAGCGCTTTCCGGCCTAAGGTGAAAAAGGACATATCTTCCCATAAAAACTAGACAGAAGCATTCTCAGAAACTTACTCGTGATGTGTGTCCTCAACTAAAGGAGTAGAACCTTTCTTTTCATAGAGAAGTTTTGAAACGCTCTTTTTGTGGAATCTGCAAGTGGATATTTGGCTAGTTTTGAGGATTTCGTTGGAAGCGGGAATTCATACAAATTGCAGACTGCAGCGTTCTGAGAAACATCTTTGTGATGTTTGTATTCAGGACACAGAGTTGAACATTCCCTATCATAGAGCAGGTTGGAATCACTCCTTTTGTAGTATCTGGAAGTGGACATTTGGAGCGCTTTCAGGCCTATGTTGGAAAAGGAAATATCTTCCCATAACAACTAGACAGAAGCATTCTCAGAAACTTATTTGAGATGTGTGTACTCAACTAAGAGAATTGAACCACCGTTTTGAAGGAGCAGTTTTGAAACACTCTTTTTCTGGAATCTGCAAGTGGATATTTGGCTAGCTTTGGGGATTTCGCTGGAAGCGGGAATACATATAAAAAGCACACAGCAGCGTTCTGAGAAACTGCTTTCTGATGTTTGCATTCAAGTCAAAAGTTGAACACTCCCTTTCATAGAGCAGTCTTGAAACACCCCTTTTGTAGTATCTGGAACTGGACTTTTGGAGCGATTTCAGGGCTAAGGTGAAAAAGGAAATATCTTCCCATAAAAACTGGACAGAAGCATTCTCAGAAACTTGTTTATGCTGTATCTACTCTACTAACAAAGTTGAACCTTTCTTTTGATAGAGCAGTTTTGAAATGCTCTTTTTGTGGAATCTGCAAGTGGATATTTGGCTAGTTTTGAGGATTTCGTTGGAAGCTGGAATTCATACAAATTGCAGACTGCAGCGTTCTGAGAAACATCTTTGTGATGTTTGTATTCAGGACAGAGAGTTGAACATTCCCTATCATAGAGCAGGTTGGAATCACTCCTTTTGTAGTATCTGGAAGTGGACATTTGGAGCGCTTTCAGGCCTATTTTGGAAAGGGAAATATCTTCCCGTAACAACTATGCAGAAGCATTCTCAGAAACTTGTTTGTGATGTGTGCCCTCTACTGACAGAGTTGAACCTTTCTTTTCATAGAGCAGTTTTGAAACACTCTTTTTGTAGAATCTGCAAGAGGATATTTGCATAGCTTTGAGGATTTCGTGGGAAACGGGATTGTCTTCAGGTAAAATCTAGACAGAAGCATTCTCAGAAACTTCTTCGGGATGTTTGCATTCAAGTCACAGAGTAGAACATTCCCTTCGGTAGAGCAGGTTTGAAACACTCTTTTTGTAGTATCTGGAAGTGGACATTTGTTGCGCTTTCAGGTCTATGTTGGAAACGGAAATATCTTCCCGTAACAACTAGGCAGAAGCATTCTCAGAAACTTATTTGAGATGTGTGTACTCAACTAAGAGAATTGAACCACCGTTTTGAAGGAGCAGTTTGGAAACACTCTTTTTCTGGAATCTGCAAGAGGATATTTGCCTAGCTTTGAGGATTTCGTTGGAAAAGGGATTGTCTTCAGATCAAATCTAGACAGAAGCATTCTCAGAAACTTCTTTGGGATGCTTGCATTCAAGTCACAGAGTAGAACATTCCCTTTGGTAGAGCAGGTTTGAAACACTCTTTTTTTAGTATCTGGAAGTGGACATTTGGAGCGCTTTCAGGCCTACGTTGGAAAAGGAAATATCTTCCCATAACAACTAGACAGAAGCATTCTCAGAAACTAGTTTCTGATGTGTGTCCTCAACTAACACAGTTGAACATTTCTTTAGACAGAACAGTTTTGAAACACTCTTTTTGTGGAATCTGCAAGTGGCTATTTGGCTAGATTTGAGGATTTCGTTGGAAACGGGATTACATATAAAAAGCAGACAGCAGCATTCTCAGAAACTTCTTTGTGATGATTGCATTCAAGTCACAGAATTGAACATTCCCTTTCACAGAGCAGGTTTGAAACACTCTTTTTGTAGTGTGTGTAAGTGGACATTTGGAGCACTTTCCGGCCTAAGGTGAAAAAGGAAATATCTTCCCATAAAAACTAGACAGAAGCATTCTCAGAAACTTACTCGTGATGTGTGTCCTCAACTAAAGGAGTAGAACCTTTCTTTTCATAGAGAAGTTTTGAAACGCTCTTTTTGTGGAATCTGCAAGTGGATATTTGGCTAGTTTGGAGGATTTCGTTGGAAGCGGGAATTCATACAAATTGCAGACTGCAGCGTTCTGAGAAACATCTTTGTGATGTTTGTATTCAGGACACAGAGATGAACATTCCCTATCATAGAGCAGGTTGGAATCACTCCTTTTGTAGTATCTGGAAGTGGACATTTGGAGCGCTTTCAGGCCTATGTTGAAAAAGGAAATATCTTCCCATAACAACTAGACACAAGCATTCTCAGAAACTTATTTGAGATGTGTGTACTCAACTAAGAGAATTGAACCACCGTTTTGAAGGAGCAGTTTTGAAACACTCTTTTTCTGGAATCTGCAAGTGGATATTTGGCTAGCTTTGGGGATTTCGCTGGAAGCGGGAATACATATAAAAAGCACACAGCAGCGTTCTGAGAAACTGCTTTCTGATGTTTGCATTCAAGTCAAAAGTTGAACACTCCCTTTCATAGTGCAGTCCTGAAACACTCCTTTTGTAGTATCTGGAACTGGACTTTTGGAGCGCTTTCAGGGCTAAGGTGAAAAAGGAAATATCTTCCCATAAAAACTGGACAGAAGCATTCTCAGAAACTTGTTTATGCTGTATCTACTCAACTAACAAAGTTGAACCTTTCTTTTGATAGAGCAGTTTTGAAATGCTCTTTTTGTGGAATCTGCAAGTGGATATTTGGCTAGTTTTGAGGATTTCGTTGGAAGCGGGAATTCATACAAATTGCAGACTGCAGCGTTCTGAGAAACATCTTTGTGATGTTTGTATTCAGGACACAGAGTTGAACATTCCCTATCATAGAGCAGGTTTGAATCACTCCTTTTGTAGTATCTGGAAGTGGACATTTGGAGCGCTTTCAGGCCTATGTTGGAAAAGGAAATATCTTCCCATAACAACTAGACAGAAGCATTCCCAGAAACTTATTTGAGATGTGTGTACTCAACTAAGAGAATTGAACCACCGTTTTGAAGGAGCAGTTTGGAAACACTCTTTTTCTGGAATCTGCAAGTGGATATTTGGCTAGCTTTGGGGATTTCGCTGGAAGCGGGAATACATATAAAAAGCACACAGCAGCGTTCTGAGAAACTGCTTTCTGATGTTTGCATTCAAGTCAAAAGTTGAACACTCCCTTTCATAGAGCAGTCTTGAAACACCCCTTTTGTAGTATCTGGAACTGGACATTTGGAGCGCTTTCAGGGCTAAGGTGAAAAAGGAAATATCTTCCCATAAAAACTGGACAGAAGCATTCTCAGAAACTTGTTTATGCTGTATCTGCTCAACTAACAAAGTTGAACCTTTCTTTTGATAGAGCAGTTTTGAAATGCTCTTTTTGTGGAATCTGCAAGTGGATATTTGGCTAGTTTTGAGGATTTCGTTGGAAGCGGGAATTCATACAAATTGCAGACTGCAGCGTTCTGAGAAACATCTTTGTGATGTTTGTATTCAGGACACAGAGTTGAACATTCCCTATCATAGAGCAGGTTGGGATCACTCCTTTTGTAGTATCTGGAAGTGGACATTTGGAGCGCTTTCAGGCCTATGTTGAAAAAGGAAAAATCTTCCCATAACAACTAGACAGAAGCATTCTCAGTAAACTTGTTGGTGATGTGTTTCCTCTACTGACAGAGTTGAACCTTTCTTTTCATAGAGCAGTTTCGAAACACTCTTTTTGTAGAATCTGCAAGAGGATATTTGCATAGCTCTGAGGATTTCGTGGGAAACGGGATTGTCTTCAGGTAAAATCTAGACAGAAGCATTCTCAGAAACTTCTTCGGGATGTTTGCATTCAACTCACAGAGTAGAACATTCCCTTTGGTAGAGCAGGTTTGAAACACTCTTTTTGTCGTATCTGGAAGTGGACATTTGTTGCGCTTTCAGGCCTATGTTGGAAAGGGAAATATCTTCCCGTAACAACTAGGCAGAAGCATTCTCAGAAACTTATTTGAGATGTGTGTACTCAACTAAGAGAATTGAACCACCGTTTTGAAGGAGCAGTTTGGAAACACTCTTTTTCTGGAATCTGCAAGAGGATATTTGCCTAGCTTTGAGGATTTCGTTGGAAAAGGGATTGTCTTCAGATCAAATCTAGACAGAAGCATTCTCAGAAACTTCTTTGGGATGTTTGCATTCAAGTCACAGAGTAGAACATTCCCTTTGGTAGAGCAGGTTTGAAACACTCTTTTTTTAGTATATGGAAGTGGACATTTGGAGCGCTTTCAGGCCTACGTTGGAAAAGGAAATATCTTCCCATAACAACTAGACAGAAGCATTCTCAGAAACTAGTTTCTGATGTGTGTCCTCAACTAACACAGTTGAACATTTCTTTAGACAGAACAGTTTTGAAACATTGTTTTTGTGGAATCTGCAAGTGGATATTTGGCTAGATTTGAGGATTTCGTTGGAAACGGGATTACATATAAAAAGCAGACAGCAGCATTCTCAGAAAGTTCTTTGTGATGATTGCATTCAAGTCACAGAATTGAACATTCCCTTTCACAGAGCAGGTTTGAAACACTCTTTTTGTAGTGTGTGTAAGTGGACATTTGGAGCACTTTCCGGCCTAAGGTGAGAAAGGAAATATCTTCCCATAAAAACTAGACAGAAGCATTCTCAGAAACTTACTCGTGATGTGTGTCCTCAACTAAAGGAGCAGAACCTTTCTTTTCATAGAGAAGTTTTGAAACGCTCTTTTTGTGGAATCTGCAAGTGGATATTTGGCTAGTTTTGAGGATTTCGTTGGAAGCGGGAATTCATACAAATTGCAGACTGCAGCGTTCTGAGAAACATCTTTGTGATGTTTGTATTCAGGACAGAGAGTTGAACATTCCCTATCATAGAGCAGGTTGGAATCACTCCTTTTGTAGTATCTGGAAGTGGACATTTGGAGCGCTTTCAGGCCTATGTTGAAAAAGGAAATATCTTCCCATAACAACTAGACACAAGCATTCTCAGAAACTTGTTTGTGATGTGTGCCCTCTACTGACAGAGTTGAACCTTTCTTTTCATAGAGCAGTTTTGAAACACTCTTTTTGTAGAATCTGCAAGAGGATATTTGCATAGCTTTGAGGATTTCGTGGGAAACGGGATTGTCTTCAGGTAAAATCTAGACAGAAGCATTCTCAGAAACTTCTTCGGGATGTTTGCATTCAAGTCACAGAGTAGAACATTCCCTTTGGTAGAGCAGGTTTGAAACACTCTTTTTGTAGTATCTGGAAGTGGACATTTGTTGCGCTTTCAGGCCTATGTTGGAAACGGAAATATCTTCCCGTAACAACTAGGCAGAAGCATTCTCAGAAACTTATTTGAGATGTGTGTACTCAACTAAGAGAATTGAACCACCGTTTTGAAGGAGCAGTTTGGAAACACTCTTTTTCTGGAATCTGCAAGAGGATATTTGCCTAGCTTTGAGGATTTCGTTGGAAAAGGGATTGTCTTCAGATCAAATCTAGACAGAAGCATTCTCAGAAACTTCTTTGGGATGTTTGCATTCAAGTCACAGAGTAGAACATTCCTTTGGTAGAGCAGGTTTGAAACACTCTTTTTTTAGTATATGGAAGTGGACATTTGGAGCGCTTTCAGGCCTACGTTGGAAAAGGAAATATCTTCCCATAACAACTAGACGGAAGCATTCTCAGAAACTAGTTTCTGATGTGTGTCCTCAACTAACACAGTTGAACATTTCTTTAGACAGAACAGTTTTGAAACACTCTTTTTGTGGAATCTGCAAGTGGCTATTTGGCTAGATTTGAGGATTTCGTTGGAAACGGGATTACATATAAAAAGCAGTCAGCAGCATTCTCAGAAAGTTCTTTGTGATGATTGCATTCAAGTCACAGAATTGAACATTCCCTTTCACAGAGCAGGTTTGAAACACTCTTTTTGTAGTGTGTGTAAGTGGACATTTGGAGCACTTACCGGCCTAAGGTGAAAAAGGAAATATCTTCCCATAAAAACTAGACAGAAGCATTCTCAGAAACTTACTCGTGATGTGTGTCCTCAACTAAAGGAGTAGAACCTTTCTATTCATAGAGAAGTTTTGAAACGCTCTTTTTGTGGAATCTCCAAGTGGATATTTGGCTAGTTTTGAGGATTTCGTTGGAAGCGGGAATTCATCCAAATTGCAGACTGCAGCGTTCTGAGAAACTTCTTTCTGATGTTCGCATTCAAGTCAAAAGTTGAACACTCCCTTTCATAGAGCAGTCTTGAAACTCCCCTTTTGTGGTATCTGGAAGTGGACATTTGGAGTGCTTTCAGGGCTAAGGTGAAAAAGGAAATATCTTCCCATAAAAACTGGACAGAAGCATTCTCAGAAACTTGTTTATGCTGTATCTACTCAGCTAACAAAGTTGAACCTTTCTTTTGATAGAGCAGTTTTGAAATGCTCTTTTTGTGGAGTCTGCAAGTGGATATTTGGTTAGTTTTGAGGATTTCGTTGGAAGCGGGAATTCATACAAATTGCAGACTGCAGCGTTCTGAGAAACATCTTTGTGATGTTTGTATTCAGGACACAGAGTTGAACATTCCCTATCATAGAGCAGGTTGGAATCACTCCTTTTGTAGTATCTGGAAGTGGCCATTTCGAGCGCTTTCAGGCCTATGTTGAAAAAGGAAATATCTTCCCATAACAAGTAGACACAAGCATTCTCAGAAACTTGTTTGTGATGTGTGCCCTCTACTGACAGAGTTGAACCTTTCTTTTCATAGAGCAGTTTTGAAACACTCTTTTTGTAGAATCTGCAAGAGGATATTTGCATAGCTTTGAGGATTTCGTGGGAAACGGGATTGTCTTCAGGTAAAATCTAGACAGAAGCATTCTCAGAAACTTCTTTGGGATGTTTGCATTCAAGTCACAGAGTAGAACATTCCCTTTGGTAGAGCAGGTTTGAAACACTCTTTTTGTAGTATCTGGAAGTGGACATTTGGAGCGCTTTCAGGCCCATGTTGGAAAGGGAAATATCTTCCCGTAACAACTAGGCAGAAGCATTCTCAGAAACTTATTTGAGATGTGTGTACTCAACTAAGAGAATTGAACCACCGTTTTGAAGGAGCAGTTTTGAAACACTCTTTTTCTGGAATCTGCAAGAGTATATTTGCCTAGCCTTGAGGATTTCGTTGGAAACGGGATTGTCTTCAGAGAAAATCTAGACAGAAGCATTCTCAGAAACTTCTTTGGGATGTTTGCATTCAAGTCACAGAGTAGAACATTCCCTTTGGTAGAGCAGGTTTGAAACACTCTTTTTTTAGTATATGGAAGTGGACATTTGGAGCGCTTTCAGGCCTACGTTGGAAAAGGAAATATCTTCCCATAACAACTAGACAGAAGCATTCTCAGAAACTAGTTTCTGATGTGTGTCCTCAACTAACACAGTTGAACATTTCTTTAGACAGAACAGTTTTGAAACACTCTTTTTGTGGAATCTGCAAGTGGCTATTTGGCTAGATTTGAGGATTTCGTTGGAAACGGGATTACATATAAAAAGCAGTCAGCAGCATTCTCAGAAACTTCTTTGTGATGATTGCATTCAAGTCACAGAATTGAACATTCCCTTCCACAGAGCAGGTTTGAAACACTCTTTTTGTAGTGTGTGTAAGTGGACATTTGGAGCGCTTTCCGGCCTAAGGTGAACAAGGAAATATCTTCCCATAAAAACTAGACAGAAGCATTCTCAGAAACTTACTCGTGATGTGTGTCCTCAACTAAAGGAGTAGAACCTTTCTTTTCATAGAGAAGTTTTGAAACGCTCTTTTTGTGGAATCTGCAAGTGGATATTTGGCTAGTTTGGAGGATTTCGTTGGAAGCGGGAATTCATACAAATTGCAGACTGCCAGCGTTCTGAGAAACATCTTTGTGATGTTTGTATTCAGGACACAGAGTTGAACATTCCCTATCATAGAGCAGGTTGGAATCACTCCTTTTGTAGTATCTGGAAGTGGACATTTGGAGCGCTTTCAGGCCTATGTTGGAAAAGGAAATATCTTCCCATAACAACTAGACAGAGCATTCTCAGAAACTTATTTGAGATGTGTGTACTCAACTAAGAGAATTGAACCACCGTTTTGAAGGAGCAGTTTTGAAACACTCTTTTTCTGGAATCTGCAAGTGGATATTTGGCTAGCTTTGGGGATTTCGCTGGAAGCGGGAATACATATAAAAAGCACACAGCAGCGTTCTGAGAAACTGCTTTCTGATGTTTGCATTCAAGTCAAAAGTTGAACACTCCCTTTCATAGAGCAGTCCTGAAACACTCCTTTTGTAGTATCTGGAACTGGACTTTTGGAGCGCTTTCAGGGCTAAGGTGAAAAAGGAAATATCTTCCCATAAAAACTGGACAGAAGCATTCTCAGAAACTTGTTTATGCTGTATCTACTCAACTAACAAAGTTGAACCTTTCTTTTGATAGAGCAGTTTTGAAATGGTCTTTTTGTGGAATCTGCAAGTGGATATTTGGCTAGTTTTGAGGATTTCGTTGGAAGCGGGAATTCATACAAATTGCAGACTGCAGCGTTCTGAGAAACATCTTTGTGATGTTTGTATTCAGGACAGAGAGTTGAACATTCCCTATCATAGAGCAGGTTGGAATCACTCCTTTTGTAGTATCTGGAAGTGGACATTTGGAGCGCTTTCTGGCCTATGTTGAAAAAGGAAATATCTTCCCATAACAACTAGACACAAGCATTCTCAGAAACTTGTTTGTGATGTGTGCCCTCTACTGACAGAGTTGAACCTTTCTTTTCATAGAGCAGTTTTGAAACACTCTTTTTGTAGAATCTGCAAGAGGATTTTTGCATAGCTTTGAGGATTTCGTGGGAAACGGGATTGTCTTCAGGTAAAATCTAGACAGAAGCATTCTCAGAAACTTCTTTGGGATGTTTGCATTCAAGTCACAGAGTAGAACATTCCCTTTGGTAGAGCAGGTTTGAAACACTCTTTTTGTAGTATCTGGAAGTGGACATTTGGAGCGCTTTCAGGCCTATGTTGGAAAGGGAAATATCTTCCCGTAACAACTAGGCAGAAGCATTCTCAGAAACTTATTTGAGATGTGTGTACTCAACTAAGAGAATTGAACCACCGTTTTGAAGGAGCAGTTTTGAAACACTCTTTTTCTGGAATCTGCAAGAGGATATTTGCCTAGCCTTGAGGATTTCGTTGGAAACGGGATTGTCTTCAGATCAAATCTAGACAGAAGCATTCTCAGAAACTTCTTTGGGATGTTTGCATTCAAGTCACAGAGTAGAACATTCCCTTTGGTAGAGCAGGTTTGAAACACTCTTTTTTTAGTATATGGAAGTGGACATTTGGAGCGCTTTCAGGCCTACGTTGGAAAAGGAAATATCTTCCCATAACAACTAGACAGAAGCATTCTCAGAAACTAGTTTCTGATGTGTGTCCTCAACTAACACAGTTGAACATTTCTTTAGACAGAACAGTTTTGAAACACTCTTTTTGTGGAATCTGCAAGTGGCTATTTGGCTAGATTTGAGGATTTCGTTGGAAACGGGATTACATATAAAAAGCAGTCAGCAGCATTCTCAGAAACTTCTTTGTGATGATTGCATTCAAGTCACAGAATTGAACATTCCCTTTCACAGAGCAGGTTTGAAACACTCTTTTTGTAGTGTGTGTAAGTGGACATTTGGAGCGCTTTCCGGCCTAAGGTGAACAAGGAAATATCTTCCCATAAAAACTAGACAGAAGCATTCTCAGAAAATTACTCGTGATGTGTGTCCTCAACTAAAGGAGTAGAACCTTTCTTTTCATAGAGAAGTTTTGAAACGCTCTTTTTGTGGAATCTGCAAGTGGATATTTGGCTAGTTTGGAGGATTTCGTTGGAAGCGGGAATTCATACAAATTGCAGACTGCAGCGTTCTGAGAAACATCTTTGTGATGTTTGTATTCAGGACACAGAGTTGAACATTCCCTATCATAGAGCAGGTTGGAATCACTCCTTTTGTAGTATCTGGAAGTGGACATTTGGAGCGCTTTCAGGCCTATGTTGGAAAAGGAAATATCTTCCCATAACAACTAGACAGAAGCATTCTCAGAAACTTATTTGAGATGTGTGTACTCAACTAAGAGAATTGAACCACCGTTTTGAAGGAGCAGTTTTGAAACACTCTTTTTCTGGAATCTGCAAGTGGATATTTGGCTAGCTTTGGGGATTTCGCTGGAGGCGGGAATACATATAAAAAGCACACAGCAGCGTTCTGAGAAACTGCTTTCTGATGTTTGCATTCAAGTCAAAAGTTGAACACTCCCTTTCATAGAGCAGTCTTGAAACACCCCTTTTGTAGTATCTGGAACTGGACTTTTGGAGCGATTTCAGGGCTAAGGTGAAAAAGGAAATATCTTCCCATAAAAACTGGACAGAAGCATTCTCAGAAACTTGTTTATGCTGTATCTACTCAACTAACAAAGTTGAACCTTTCTTTTGATAGAGCAGTTTTGAAATGCTCTTTTTGTGGAATCTGCAAGTGGATATTTGGCTAGTTTTGAGGATTTCGCTGGAAGCGGGAATTCATACAAATTGCAGACTGCAGCGTTCTGAGAAACATCTTTGTGATGTTTGTATTCAGGACAGAGAGTTGAACATTCCCTATCATAGAGCAGGTTGGAATCACTCCTTTTGTAGTATCTGGAAGTGGACATTTGGAGCGCTTTCAGGCCTATGTTGAAAAAGGAAATATCTTCCCATAACAACTAGACACAAGCATTCTCAGAAACTTGTTTGTGATGTGTGCCCTCTACTGACAGAGTTGAACCTTTCTTTTCATAGAGCAGTTTTGAAACACTCTTTTTGTAGAATCTGCAAGAGGATATTTGCATAGCTTTGAGGATTACGTGGGAAACGGGATAGTCTTCAGGTAAAATCTAGACAGAAGCATTCTCAGAAACTTCTTTGGGATGTTTGCATTCAAGTCACAGAGTAGAACATTCCCTTTGGTAGAGCAGGTTTGAAACACTCTTTTTGTAGTATCTGGAAGTGGACATTTGGAGCGCTTTCAGGCCCATGTTGGAAAGGGAAATATCTTCCCGTAACAACTAGGCAGAAGCATTCTCAGAAACTTATTTGAGATGTGTGTACTCAACTAAGAGAATTGAACCACCGTTTTGAAGGAGCAGTTTTGAAACACTCTTTTTCTGGAATCTGCAAGAGGATATTTGCATAGATTTGAGGATTTCGTTGGAAACGGGATTGTCTTCAGATCCAATCTAGACAGAAGCATTCTCAGAAACTTCTTTGGGATGTTTGCATTCAAGTCACAGAGTAGAACATTCCCTTTGGTAGAGCAGGTTTGAAACACTCTTTTTTTAGTATATGGAAGTGGACATTTGGAGCGCTTTCAGGCCTACGTTGGAAAAGGAAATATCTTCCCATAACAACTAGACAGAAGCATTCTCAGAAACTAGTTTCTGATGTGTGTCCTCAACTAACACAGTTGAACATTTCTTTAGACAGAACAGTTTTGAAACACTCTTTTTGTGGAATCTGCAAGTGGATATTTGGCTAGATTTGAGGATTTCGTTGGAAACGGGATTACATATAAAAAGCAGACAGCAGCATTCTCAGAAAGTTCTTTGTGATGATTGCATTCAAGTCACAGAATTGAACATTCCCTTTCACAGAGCAGGTTTGAAACACTCTTTTTGTAGTGTGTGTAAGTGGACATTTGGAGCACTTTCCGGCCTAAGGTGAAAAAGGAAATATCTTCCCACAAAAACTAGACAGAAGCATTCTCAGAAACTTACTCGTGATGTGTGTCCTCAACTAAAGGAGTAGAACCTTTCTTTTCATAGAGAAGTTTTGAAACGCTCTTTTTGTGGAATCTGCAAGTGGATATTTGGCTAGTTTTGAGGATTTCGTTGGAAGCGGGAATTCATACAAATTGCAGACTGCAGCGTTCTGAGAAACATCTTTGTGATGTTTGTATTCAGGACACAGAGTTGAACATTCCCTATCATAGAGCAGGTTGGAATCACTCCTTTTGTAGTATCTGGAAGTGGACATTTGGAGCGCTTTCAGGCCTATGTTGGAAAAGGAAATATCTTCCCATAACAACTAGACAGAAGCATTCTCAGAAACTTATTTGAGATGTGTGTACTCAACTAAGAGAATTGAACCACCGTTTTGAAGGAGCAGTTTTGAAACACTCTTTTTCTGGAATCTGCAAGTGGATATTTGGCTAGCTTTGGGGATTTCGCTGGAAGCGGGAATACATATAAAAAGCACACAGCAGCGTTCTGAGAAACTGCTTTCTGATGTTTGCATTCAAGTCAAAAGTTGAACACTCCCTTTCATAGAGCAGTCCTGAAACACCCCTTTTGTAGTATCTGGAACTGGACTTTTGGAGCGATTTCAGGGCTAAGGTGAAAAAGGAAATATCTTCCCATAAAAACTGGACAGAAGCATTCTCAGAAACTTGTTTATGCTGTATCTACTCAACTAACAAAGTTGAACCTTTCTTTTGATAGAGCAGTTTTGAAATGGTCTTTTTGTGGAATCTGCAAGTGGATATTTGGCTAGTTTTGAGGATTTCGTTGGAAGCGGGAATTCATACAAATTGCAGACTGCAGCGTTCTGAGAAACATCTTTGTGATGTTTGTATTCAGGACACAGAGTTGAACATTCCCTATCATAGAGCAGGTTTGAATCACTCCTTTTGTAGTATCTGGAAGTGGACATTTGGAGCGCTTTCAGGCCTATGTTGGAAAAGGAAATATCTTCCCATAACAACTAGACAGAAGCATTCTCAGAAACTTATTTGAGATGTGTGTACTCAACTAAGAGAATTGAACCACCGTTTTGAAGGAGCAGTTTTGAAACACTCTTTTTCTGGAATCTGCAAGTGGATATTTGGCTAGCTTTGGGGATTTCGCTGGAAGCGGGAATACATATAAAAAGCACACAGCAGCGTTCTGAGAAACTGCTTTCTGATGTTTGCATTCAAGTCAAAAGTTGAACACTCCCTTTCATAGAGCAGTCCTGAAACACCCCTTTTGTAGTATCTGGAACTGGACTTTTGGAGCGCTTTCAGGGCTAAGGTGAAAAAGGAAATATCTTCCCATAAAAACTGGACAGAAGCATTCTCAGAAACTTGTTTATGCTGTATCTACTCAACTAACAAAGTTGAACCTTTCTTTTGATAGAGCAGTTTTGAAATGCTCTTTTTGTGGAATCTGCAAGTGGATATTTGGCTAGTTTTGAGGATTTCGTTGGAAGCGGGAATTCATACAAATTGCAGACTGCAGCGTTCTGAGAAACATCTTTGTGATGTTTGTATTCAGGACAGAGAGTTGAACATTCCCTATCATAGAGCAGGTTGGAATCACTCCTTTTGTAGTATCTGGAAGTGGACATTTGGAGCGCTTTCAGGCCTATGTTGAAAAAGGAAATATCTTCCCATAACAACTAGACACAAGCATTCTCAGAAACTTGTTTGTGATGTGTGCCCTCTACTGACAGAGTTGAACCTTTCTTTTCATAGAGCAGTTTTGAAACACTCTTTTTGTAGAATCTGCAAGAGGATATTTGCATAGCTTTGAGGATTTCGTGGGAAACGGGATTGTCTTCAGGTAAAATCTAGACAGAAGCATTCTCAGAAACTTCTTTGGGATGTTTGCATTCAAGTCACAGAGCAGAACATTCCCTTAGGTAGAGCAGGTTTGAAACACTCTTTTTGTAGTATCTGGAAGTGGACATTTGGAGCGCTTTCAGGCCTATGTTGGAAAGGGAAATATCTTCCCGTAACAACTAGGCAGAAGCATTCTCAGAAACTTATTTGAGATGTGTGTACTCAACTAAGAGAATTGAACCACCGTTTTGAAGGAGCAGTTTTGAAACACTCTTTTTCTGGAATCTGCAAGAGTATATTTGCCTAGCCTTGAGGATTTCGTTGGAAACGGGATTGTCTTCAGAGAAAATCTAGACAGAAGCATTCTCAGAAACTTCTTTGGGATGTTTGCATTCAAGTCACAGAGTAGAACATTCCCTTTGGTAGAGCAGGTTTGAAACACTCTTTTTTTAGTATATGGAAGTGGACATTTGGATCGCTTTCAGGCCTACGTTGGAAAAGGAAATATCTTCCCATAACAACTAGACAGAAGCATTGTCAGAAACTAGTTTCTGATGTGTGTCCTCAACTAACACAGTTGTAAATTTCTTTAGACAGAACAGTTTTGAAACACTCTCTTTGTGGAATCTGCAAGTGGATATTTGGCTAGATTTGAGCATTTCGTTGGAAACGGGATTACATAGAAAAAGCAGACAGCGGCATTCTCAGAAAGTTCTTTGTGATGATTGCATTCAAGTCACAGAATTGAACATTCCCTTTCACAGAGCAGGTTTGAAACACTCTTTTTGTAGTGTGTGTAAGAGGACATTTGGAGCGCTTTCCGGCCTAAGGTGAAAAAGGAAATATCTTCCCATAAAAACTAGACAGAAGCATTCTCAGAAACTTACTCGTGATGTGTGTCCTCAACTAAAGGAGTAGAACCTTTCTTTTCATAGAGAAGTTTTGAAACGCTCTTTTTGTGGAATCTGCAAGTGGATATTTGGCTAGTTTTGAGGATTTCGTTGGAAGCGGGAATTCATACAAATTGCAGACTGCAGCGTTCTGAGAAACATCTTTGTGATGTTTGTATTCAGGACACAGAGTTGAACATTCCCTATCATAGAGCAGGTTTGAATCACTCCTTTTGTAGTATCTGGAAGTGGACATTTGGAGCGCTTTCAGGCCCTATGTTGGAAAAGGAAATATCTTCCCATAACAAATAGACAGGAAGCATTCTCAGAAACTTATTTGAGATGTGTGTACTCAACTAAGAGAATTGAACCACCGTTTTGAAGGAGCAGTTTTGAAACACTCTTTTTCTGGAATCTGCAAGTGGATATTTGGCTAGCTTTGGGGATTTCGCTGGAAGCGGGAATACATATAAAAAGCACACAGCAGCGTTCTGAGAAACTGCTTTCTGATGTTTGCATTCAAGTCAAAAGTTGAACACTCCCTTTCATAGAGCAGTCCTGAAACACTCCTTTTGTAGTATCTGGAACTGGACTTTTGGAGCGCTTTCAGGGCTAAGGTGAAAAAGGAAATATCTTCCCATAAAAACTGGACAGAAGCATTCTCAGAAACTTGTTTATGCTGTATCTACTCAACTAACAAAGTTGAACCTTTCTTTTGATAGAGCAGTTTTGAAATGGTCTTTTTGTGGAATCTGCAAGTGGATATTTGGCTAGTTTTGAGGATTTCGTTGGAAGCGGGAATTCATACAAATTGCAGACTGCAGCGTTCTGAGAAACATCTTTGTGATGTTTGTATTCAGGACACAGAGATGAACATTCCCTATCATAGAGCAGGTTGGAATCACTCCTTTTGTAGTATCTGGGACATTTGGAGCGCTTTCAGGCCTATGTTGAAAAAGGAAATATCTTCCCATAACAACTAGACACAAGCATTCTCAGAAACTTGTTTGTGATGTGTGCCCTCTACTGACAGAGTTGAACCTTTCTTTTCATAGAGCAGTTTTGAAACACTCTTTTTGTAGAATCTGCAAGAGGATATTTGCATAGCTTTGAGGATTTCGTGGGAAACGGGATTGTCTTCAGGTAAAATCTAGACAGAAGCATTCTCAGAAACTTCTTTGGGATGTTTGCATTCAAGTCACAGAGTAGAACATTCCCTTTGGTAGAGCAGGTTTGAAACACTCTTTTTGTAGTATCTGGAAGTGGACATTTGGAGCGCTTTCAGGCCTATGTTGGAAAGGGAAATATCTTCCCGTAACAACTAGGCAGAAGCATTCTCAGAAACTTATTTGAGATGTGTGTACTCAACTAAGAGAATTGAACCACCGTTTTGAAGGAGCAGTTTTGAAACCCTCTTTTTCTGGAATCTGCAAGAGGATATTTGCCTAGCCTTGAGGATTTCGTTGGAAACGGGATTGTCTTCAGATCAAATCTAGACAGAAGCATTCTCAGAAACTTCTTTGGGATGTTTGCATTCAAGTCACAGAGTAGAACATTCCCTTTGGTAGAGCAGGTTTGAAACACTCTTTTTTTAGTATATGGAAGTGGACATTTGGAGCGCTTTCAGGCCTACGTTGGAAAAGGAAATATCTTCCCATAACAACTAGACAGAAGCATTCTCAGAAACTAGTTTCTGATGTGTGTCCTCAACTAACACAGTTGAACATTTCTTTAGACAGAACAGTTTTGAAACACTCTTTTTGTGGAATCTGCAAGTGGCTATTTGGCTAGATTTGAGGATTTCGTTGGAAACGGGATTACATATAAAAAGCAGTCAGCAGCATTCTCAGAAAGTTCTTTGTGATGATTGCATTCAAGTCACAGAATTGAACATTCCCTTTCACAGAGCAGGTTTGAAACACTCTTTTTGTAGTGTGTGTAAGTGGACATTTGGAGCGCTTTCCGGCCTAAGGTGAAAAAGGAAATATCTTCCATAAAAACTAGACAGACAAGCATTCTCAGAAACTTACTCGTGATGTGTGTCCTCAACTAAAGGAGTAGAACCTTTCTATTCATAGAGAAGGTTTGAAACGCTCTTTTTGTGGAATCTCCAAGTGGATATTTGGCTAGTTTTGAGGATTTCGTTGGATGCGGGAATTCATACAAATTGCAGACTGCAGCGTTCTGAGAAACATCTTTGTGATGTTTGTATTCAGGACACAGAGTTGAACATTCCCTATCATAGAGCAGGTTGGAATCACTCCTTTTGTAGTATCTGGAAGTGGACATTTGGAGCGCTTTCAGGCCTATGTTGGAAAAGGAAATATCTTCCCATAACAACTAGACAGAAGCATTCTCAGAAACTTATTTGAGATGTGTGTACTCAACTAAGAGAATTGAACCACCGTTTTGAAGGAGCAGTTTTGAAACTCTCTTTTTCTGGAATCTGCAAGTGGATATTTGGCTAGCTTTGGGGATTTCGCTGGAAGCGGGAATACATATAAAAAGCACACAGCAGCGTTCTGAGAAACTGCTTTCTGATGTTTGCATTCAAATCAAAAGTTGAACACTCCCTTTCATAGAGCAGTCTTGAAACACCCCTTTTGTAGTATCTGGAACTGGACATTTGGGGCGCTTTCAGGGCTAAGGTGAAAAAGGAAATATCTTCCCATAAAAACTGGACAGAAGCATTCTCAGAAACTTGTTTATGCTGTATCTACTCTACTAACAAAGTTGAACCTTTCTTTTGATAGAGCAGTTTTGAAATGCTCTTTTTGTGGAATCTGCAAGTGGATATTTGGCTAGTTTTGAGGATTTCGTTGGAAGCTGGAATTCATGCAAATTGCAGACTGCAGCGTTCTGAGAAACATCTTTGTGATGTTTGTATTCAGGACAGAGAGTTGAACATTCCCTATCATAGAGCAGGTTGGAATCACTCCTTTTGTAGTATCTGGAAGTGGACATTTGGAGCGCTTTCAGGGCTATGTTGAAAAAGGAAATATCTTCCCATAACAACTAGACACAAGCATTCTCAGAAACTTGTTTGTGATGTGTGCCCTCTACTGACAGAGTTGAACCTTTCTTTTCATAGAGCAGTTTTGAAACACTCTTTTTGTAGAATCTGCAAGAGGATATTTGCATAGCTTTGAGGATTTCGTGAGAAACGGGATTGTCTTCAGGTAAAATCTAGACAGAAGCATTCTCAGAAACTTCTTTGGGATGTTTGCATTCAAGTCACAGAGTAGAACATTCCCTTTGGTAGAGCAGGTTTGAAACACTCTTTTTGTAGTATCTGGAAGTGGACATTTGGAGCGCTTTCAGGCCTATGTTGGAAAGGGAAATATCTTCCCGTAACAACTAGGCAGAAGCATTCTCAGAAACTTATTTGAGATGTGTGTACTCAACTAAGAGAATTGAACCACCGTTTTGAAGGAGCAGTTTTGAAACACTCTTTTTCTGGAATCTGCAAGAGGATATTTGCCTAGCTTTGAGGATTTCGTTGGAAACGGGATTGTGTTCAGATCAAATCTAGACAGAAGCATTCTCAGAAACTTCTTTGGGATGCTTGCATTCAAGTCACAGAGTAGAACATTCCCTTTGGTAGAGCAGGTTTGAAACACTCTTTTTGTAGTATCTGGAAGTGGACATTTGGAGCGCTTTCAGGCCTACGTTGGAAAAGGAAATATTCTTCCCATAACAACTAGACAGAAGCATTCTCAGAAACTTATTTGAGATGTGTGTACTCAACTAAGAGAATTGAACGACCGTTTTGAAGGAGCAGTTTTGAAACACTCTTTTTCTGGAATCTGCAAGAGGATATTTGCCTAGCCTTGAGGATTTCGTTGGAAACGGGATTGTCTTCAGATCAAATCTAGACAGAAGCATTCTCAGAAACTTCTTTGGGATGTTTGCATTCAAGTCACAGAGTAGAACATTCCCTTTGGTAGAGCAGGTTTGAAACACTCTTTTTTTAGTATATGGAAGTGGACATTTGGAGCGCTTTCAGGCCTACGTTGGAAAAGGAAATATCTTCCCATAACAACTAGACAGATAAGCATTCTCAGCAAACTAGTTTCTGATGTGTGTCCTCAACTAACACAGTTGAACATTTCTTTAGACAGAACAGTTTTGAAACACTCTTTTTGTGGAATCTGCAAGTGGCTATTTGGCTAGATTTGAGGATTTCGTTGGAAACGGGATTACATATAAAAAGCAGTCAGCAGCATTCTCAGAAAGTTCTTTGTGATGATTGCATTCAAGTCACAGAATTGAACATTCCCTTTCACAGAGCAGGTTTGAAACACTCTTTTTGTAGTGTGTGTAAGTGGACATTTGGAGCACTTACCGGCCTAAGGTGAAAAAGGAAATATCTTCCCATAAAAACTAGACAGAAGCATTCTCAGAAACTTACTCGTGATGTGTGTACTCAACTAAAGGAGTAGAAACTTTCTTTTCATAGAGAAGTTTTGAAACGCTCTTTTTGTGGAATCTGCAAGTGGATATTTGGCTAGTTTTGAGGATTTCGTTGGAAGCGGGAATTCATACAAATTGCAGACTGCAGCGTTCTGAGAAACATCTTTGTGATGTTTGTATTCAGGACACAGAGTTGAACATTCCCTATCATAGAGCAGGTTTGAATCACTCCTTTTGTAGTATCTGGAAGTGGACATTTGGAGCGCTTTCAGGCCTATGTTGGAAAAGGAAATACCTTCCCGTAACAACTAGACAGAAGCATTCTCAGAAACTTATTTGAGATGTGTGTACTCAACTAAGAGAATTGAACCACCGTTTTGAAGGAGCAGTTTTGAAACACTCTTATTCTGGAATCTGCAAGTGGATATTTGGCTAGCTTTGGGGATTTCGCTGGAAGCGGAAATACATATAAAAAGCACACAGCCGCATTCTCAGAAAGTTCTTTCTGATGTTCGCATTCAAGTCAAAAGTTGAACACTCCCTTTCATAGAGCAGTCTTGAAACTCCCCTTTTGTGGTATCTGGAAGTGGACATTTGGAGTGCTTTCAGGGCTAAGGTGAAAAAGGAAATATCTTCCCATAAAAACTGGACAGAAGCATTCTCAGAAACTTGTTTATGCTGTATCTACTCAGCTAACAAAGTTGAACCTTTCTTTTGATAGAGCAGTTTTGAAATGCTCTTTTTGTGGAGTCTGCAAGTGGATATTTGGCTAGTATTGAGGAATTCGTTGGAAGCGGGAATTCATACAAATTGCAGACTGCAGCGTTCTGAGAAACATCTTTGTGATGTTTGTATTCAGGACACAGAGTTGAACATTCCCTATCATACAGCAGGTTGGAATCACTCCTTTTGTAGTATCTGGAAGTGGACATTTGGAGCGCTTTCAGGCCTATGTTGAAAAAGGAAATATCTTCCGATAACAAGTAGACACAAGCATTCTCAGAAACTTATTTGAGATGTGTGTACTCAACTAAGAGAATTGAACCACCGTTTTGAAGGAGCAGTTTTGAAACACTCTTTTTCTGGAATCTGCAAGTGGATATTTGGCTAGCTTTGGGGATTTCGCTGGAAGCGGGAATACATATAAAAAGCACACAGCAGCGTTCTGAGAAACTGCTTTCTGATGTTTGCATTCAAGTCAAAAGTTGAACACTCCCTTTCATAGTGCAGTCCTGAAACACTCCTTTTGTAGTATCTGGAACTGGACTTTTGGAGCGCTTTCAGGGCTAAGGTGAAAAAGGAAATATCTTCCCATAAAAACTGGACAGAAGCATTCTCAGAAACTTTTTTATGCTGTATCTACTCAACTAACAAAGTTGAACCTTTCTTTTGATAGAGCAGTTTTGAAATGCTCTTTTTGTGGAATCTGCAAGTGGATATTTGGCTAGTTTTGAGGATTTCGTTGGAAGCGGGAATTCATACAAATTGCAGACTGCAGCGTTCTGAGAAACATCTTTGTGATGTTTGTATTCAGGACACAGAGTTGAACATTCCCTATCATAGAGCAGGTTGGAATCACTCCTTTTGTAGTATCTGGAAGTGGACATTTGGAGCGCTTTCAGGCCTATTTTGGAAAGGGAAATATCTTCCCGTAACAACTATGCAGAAGCATTCTCAGAAACTTGTTTGTGATGTGTGCCCTCTACTGACAGAGTTGAACCTTTCTTTTCATAGAGCAGTTTTGAAACACTCTTTTTGTAGAATCTGCAAGAGGATATTTGCATAGCTTTGAGGATTTCGTGGGAAACGGGATTGTCTTCAGGTAAAATCTAGACAGAAGCATTCTCAGAAACTTCTTTGGGATGTTTGCATTCAAGTCACAGAGTAGAACATTCCCTTTGGTAGAGCAGGTTTGAAACCCTCTTTTTGTAGTATCTGGAAGTGGACATTTGGAGCGCTTTCAGGCCCATGTTGGAAAGGGAAATATCTTCCCGTAACAACTAGGCAGAAGCATTCTCAGAAACTTATTTGAGATGTGTGTACTCAACTAAGAGAATTGAACCACCGTTTTGAAGGAGCAGTTTTGAAACACTCTTTTTCTGGAATCTGCAAGAGGATATTTGCCTAGCCTTGAGGATTTCGTTGGAAACGGGATTGTCTTCAGATCAAATCTAGACAGAAGCATTCTCAGAAACTTCTTTGGGATGTTTGCATTCAAGTCACAGAGTAGAACATTCCTTTGGTAGAGCAGGTTTGAAACACTCTTTTTTTAGTATATGGAAGTGGACATTTGGAGCGCTTTCAGGCCTACGTTGGAAAAGGAAATATCTTCCCATAACAACTAGACAGAAGCATTCTCAGAAACTAGTTTCTGATGTGTGTCCTCAACTAACACAGTTGAACATTTCTTTAGACAGAACAGTTTTGAAACACTCTTTTTGTGGAATCTGCAAGTGGCTATTTGGCTAGATTTGAGGATTTCGTTGGAAACGGGATTACATATAAAAAGCAGTCAGCAGCATTCTCAGAAACTTCTTTGTGATGATTGCATTCAAGTCACAGAATTGAACATTCCGTTTCACAGAGCAGGTTTGAAACACTCTTTTTGTAGTGTGTGTAAGTGGACATTTGGAGCGCTTTCCGGCCTAAGGTGAACAAGGAAATATCTTCCCATAAAAACTAGACAGAAGCATTCTGAGAAACTTACTCGTGATGTGTGTCCTCAACTAAAGGAGTAGAACCTTTCTTTTCATAGAGAGGTTTTGAAACGCTCTTTTTGTGGAATCTGCAAGTGGATATTTGGCTAGTTTGGAGGATTTCGTTGGAAGCGGGAATTCATACAAATTGCAGACTGCAGCGTTCTGAGAAACATCTTTGTGATGTTTGTATTCAGGACACAGAGTTGAACATTCCCTATCATAGAGCAGGTTTGAATCACTCCTTTTGTAGTATCTGGAAGTGGACATTTGGAGCGCTTTCCGGCCTCAGGTGAAAAAGGAAATATCTTCCCATAAAAACTAGACAGAAGCATTCTCAGAAACTTATTTGAGATGTGTGTACTCAACTAAGAGAATTGAACCACCGTTTTGAAGGAGCAGTTTTGAAACACTCTTTTTCTGGAATCTGCAAGTGGATATTTGGCTAGCTTTGGGGATTTCGCTGGAAGCGGGAATACATATAAAAAGCACACAGCAGCGTTCTGAGAAACTGCTTTCTGATGTTTGCATTCAAGTCAAAAGTTGAACACTCCCTTTCATAGAGCAGTCTTGAAACACCCCTTTTGTAGTATCTGGAACTGGACTTTTGGAGCGATTTCAGGGCTAAGGTGAAAAAGGAAATATCTTCCCATAAAAACTGGACAGAAGCATTCTCAGAAACTTGTTTATGCTGTATCTACTCAACTAACAAAGTTGAACCTTTCTTTTGATAGAGCAGTTTTGAAATGGTCTTTTTGTGGAATCTGCAAGTGGATATTTGGCTAGTTTTGAGGATTTCGTTGGAAGCGGGAATTCATACAAATTGCAGACTGCAGCGTTCTGAGAAACATCTTTGTGATGTTTCTATTCAGGACACAGAGATGAACATTCCCTATCATAGAGCAGGTTGGAATCACTCCCTTTGTAGTATCTGGAAGTGGACATTTGGAGCGCTTTCAGGCCTATGTTGAAAAAGGAAATATCTTCCCATAACAACTAGACACAAGCATTCTCAGAAACTTGTTTGTGATGTGTGCCCTCTACTGACAGAGTTGAACCTTTCTTTTCATAGAGCAGTTTTGAAACACTCTTTTTGTAGAATCTGCAAGAGGATATTTGCATAGCTTTGAGGATTTCGTGGGAAACGGGATTGTCTTCAGGTAAAATCTAGACAGAAGCATTCTCAGAAACTTCTTTGGGATGTTTGCATTCAAGTCACAGAGTAGAACATTCCCTTTGGTAGAGCAGGTTTGAAACACTCTTTTTGTAGTATCTGGAAGTGGACATTTGGAGCGCTTTCAGGCCCATGTTGGAAAGGGAAATATCTTCCCGTAACAACTAGGCAGAAGCATTCTCAGAAACTTATTTGAGATGTGTGTACTCAACTAAGAGAATTGAACCACCGTTTTGAAGGAGCAGTTTTGAAACACTCTTTTTCTGGAATCTGCAAGAGTATATTTGCCTAGCCTTGAGGATTTCGTTGGAAACGGGATTGTCTTCAGAGAAAATCTAGACAGAAGCATTCTCAGAAACTTCTTTGGGATGCTTGCATTCAAGTCACAGAGTAGAACATTCCCTTTGGTAGAGCAGGTTTGAAACACTCTTTTTGTAGTATCTGGAAGTGGACATTTGGAGCGCTTTCAGGCCTACGTTGGAAAAGGAAATATCTTCCCATAACAACTAGACAGAAGCATTCTCAGAAACTAGTTTCTGATGTGTGTCCTCAACTAACACAGTTGAACATTTCTTTAGACAGAACAGTTTTGAAACACTCTTTTTGTGGAATCTGCAAGTGGCTATTTGGCTAGATTTGAGGATTTCGTTGGAAACGGGATTACATATAAAAAGCAGTCAGCAGCATTCTCAGAAAGTTCTTTGTGATGATTGCATTCAAGTCACAGAATTGAACATTCCCTTTCACAGAGCAGGTTTGAAACACTCTTTTTGTAGTGTGTGTAAGTGGACATTTGGAGCACTTACCGGCCTAAGGTGAAAAAGGAAATATCTTCCCATAAAAACTAGACAGAAGCATTCTCAGAAACTTACTCGTGATGTGTGTCCTCAACTAAAGGAGTAGAACCTTTCTTTTCATAGAGAAGTTTTGAAACGCTCTTTTTGTGGAATCTGCAAGTGGATATTTGGCTAGTTTGGAGGATTTCGTTGGAAGCGGGAATTCATACAAATTGCAGACTGCAGCGTTCTGAGAAACATCTTTGTGATGTTTGTATTCAGGACACAGAGTTGAACGTTCCCTATCATAGAGCAGGTTTGAATCACTCCTTTTGTAGTATCTGGAAGTGGACATTTGGAGCGCTTTCCGGCCTCAGGTGAAAAAGGAAATATCTTCCCATAAAAACTAGACAGAAGCATTCTCAGAAACTTATTTGAGATGTGTGTACTCAACTAAGAGAATTGAACCACCGTTTTGAAGGAGCAGTTTTGAAACTCTCTTTTTCTGGAATCTGCAAGTGGATATTTGGCTAGCTTTGGGGATTTCGCTGGAAGCGGGAATACATATAAAAAGCACACAGCAGCGTTCTGAGAAACTGCTTTCTGATGTTTGCATTCAAGTCAAAAGTTGAACACTCCCTTTCATAGAGCAGTCTTGAAACACCCCTTTTGTAGTATCTGGAACTGGACTTTTGGAGCGATTTCAGGGCTAAGGTGAAAAAGGAAATATCTTCCCATAAAAACTGGACAGAAGCATTCTCAGAAACTTGGTTATGCTGTATCTACTCAACTAACAAAGTTGAACCTTTCTTTTGATAGAGCAGTTTTGAAATGGTCTTTTTGTGGAATCTGCAAGTGGATATTTGGCTAGTTTTGAGGATTTCGTTGGAAGCGGGAATTCATACAAATTGCAGACTGCAGCGTTCTGAGAAACATCTTTGTGATGTTTGTATTCAGGACACAGAGTTGAACATTCCCTATCATAGAGCAGGTTGGAATCACTCCTTTTGTAGTATCTGGAAGTGGACATTTGGAGCGCTTTCAGGCCTATTTTGGAAAGGGAAATATCTTCCCGTAACAACTATGCAGAAGCATTCTCAGAAACTTGTTGGTGATGTGTTTCCTCTACTGACAGAGTTGAACCTTTCTTTTCATAGAGCAGTTTCGAAACACTCTTTTTGTAGAATCTGCAAGAGGATATTTGCATAGCTCTGAGGATTTCGTGGGAAACGGGATTGTCTTCAGGTAAAATCTAGACAGAAGCATTCTCAGAAACTTCTTTGGGATGTTTGCATTCAAGTCACAGAGCAGAACATTCCCTTTGGTAGAGCAGGTTTGAAACACTCTTTTTGTAGTATCTGGAAGTGGACATTTGGAGCGCTTTCAGGCCTATGTTGGAAAGGGAAATATCTTCCCGTAACAACTAGGCAGAAGCATTCTCAGAAACTTATTTGAGATGTGTGTACTCAACTAAGAGAATTGAACCACCGTTTTGAAGGAGCAGTTTTGAAACACTCTTTTTCTGGAATCTGCAAGAGTATATTTGCCTAGCCTTGAGGATTTCGTTGGAAACGGGATTGTCTTCAGAGAAAATCTAGACAGAAGTATTCTCAGAAACTTCTTTGGGATGTTTGCATTCAAGTCACAGAGTAGAACATTCCCTTTGGTAGAGCAGGTTTGAAACACTCTTTTTGTAGTATCTGGAAGTGGACATTTGGAGCGATTTCAGGCCCATGTTGGAAAGGGAAATATCTTCCCGTAACAACTAGGCAGAAGCATTCTCAGAAACTTATTTGAGATGTGTGTACTCAACTAAGAGAATTGAACCACCGTTTTGAAGGAGCAGTTTTGAAACACTCTTTTTCTGGAATCTGCAAGAGTATATTTGCCTAGCCTTGAGGATTTCGTTGGAAACGGGATTGTCTTCAGAGAAAATCTAGACAGAAGCATTCTCAGAAACTTCTTTGGGATGTTTGCATTCAAGTCACAGAGTAGAACATTCCCTTTGGTAGAGCAGGTTTGAAACACTCTTTTTTTAGTATCTGGAAGTGGACATTTGGAGCGCTTTCAGGCCTACGTTGGAAAAGGAAATATCTTCCCATAACAACTAGACAGAAGCATTCTCAGAAACTAGTTTCTGATGTGTGTCCTCAACTAACACAGTTGAACATTTCTTTAGACAGAACAGTTTTGAAACTCTCTTTTTGTGGAATCTGCAAGTGGCTATTTGGCTAGATTTGAGGATTTCGTTGGAAACGGGATTACATATAAAAAGCAGACAGCAGCATTCTCAGAACGTTCTTTGTGATGATTGCATTCAAGTCACAGAATTGAACATTCCCTTTCACAGAGCAGGTTTGAAACACTCTTTTTGTAGTGTGTGTAAGTGGACATTTGGAGCACTTTCCGGCCTAAGGTGAAAAAGGAAATATCTTCCCATAAAAACTAGACAGAAGCATTCTCAGAAACTTACTCGTGATGTGTGTCCTCAACTAAAGGAGTAGAACCTTTCTTTTCATAGAGAAGTTTTGAAACGCTCTTTTTGTGGAATCTGCAAGTGGATATTTGGCTAGTTTGGAGGATTTCGTTGGAAGCGGGAATTCATACAAATTGCAGACTGCAGCGTTCTGAGAAACTGCTTTCTGATGTTTGCATTCAAGTCAAAAGTTGAACACTCCCTTTCATAGAGCAGTCCTGAAACACCCCTTTTGTAGTATCTGGAACTGGACTTTTGGAGCGATTTCAGGGCTAAGGTGAAAAAGGAAATATCTTCCCATAAAAACTGGACAGAAGCATTCTCAGAAACTTGTTTATGCTGTATCTACTCAACTAACAAAGTTGAACCTTTCTTTTGATAGAGCAGTTTTGAAATGCTCTTTTTGTGGAATCTGCAAGTGGATATTTGGCTAGTTTTGAGGATTTGGTTGGAAGCGGGAATTCATACAAATTGCAGACTGCAGCGTTCTGAGAAACATCTTTGTGATGTTTGTATTCAGGACAGAGAGTTGAACATTCCCTATCATAGAGCAGGTTGGAATCACTCCTTTTGTAGTATCTGGAAGTGGACATTTGGAGCGCTTTCAGGCCTATGTTGAAAAAGGAAATATCTTCCCATAACAACTAGACACAAGCATTCTCAGAAACTTGTTTGTGATGTGTGCCCTCTACTGACAGAGTTGAACCTTTCTTTTCATAGAGCAGTTTTGAAACACTCTTTTTGTAGAATCTGCAAGAGGATATTTGCATAGCTTTGAGGATTTCGTGGGAAACGGGATTGTCTTCAGGTAAAATCTAGACAGAAGCATTCTCAGAAACTTCTTTGGGATGTTTGCATTCAAGTCACAGAGTAGAACATTCCCTTTGGTAGAGCAGGTTTGAAACACTCTTTTTGTAGTATCTGGAAGTGGACATTTGGAGCGCTTTCAGGCTTATGTTGGAAAGGGAAATATCTTCCCGTAACAACTAGGCAGAAGCATTCTCAGAAACTTATTTGAGATGTGTGTACTCAACTAAGAGAATTGAACCACCGTTTTGAAGGAGCAGTTTTGAAACACTCTTTTTCTGGAATCTGCAAGAGTATATTTGCCTAGCCTTGAGGATTTCGTTGGAAACGGGATTGTCTTCAGAGAAAATCTAGACAGAAGCATTCTCAGAAACTTCTTTGGGATGCTTGCATTCAAGTCACAGAGTAGAACATTCCCTTTGGTAAAGCAGGTTTGAAACACTCTTTTTGTAGTATCTGGAAGTGGACATTTGGAGCGCTTTCAGGCCTACTTTGGAAAAGGAAATATCTTCCCATAACAACTAGACAGAAGCATTCTCAGAAACTAGTTTCTGATGTGTGTCCTCAACTAACACAGTTGAACATTTCTTTAGACAGAACAGTTTTGAAACACTCTTTTTGTGGAATCTGCAAGTGGCTATTTGGCTAGATTTGAGGATTTCGTTGGAAACGGGATTACATATAAAAAGCAGTCAGCAGCATTCTCAGAAAGTTCTTTTTGATGATTGCATTCAAGTCACAGAATTGAACATTCCCTTTCACAGAGCAGGTTTGAAACACTCTTTTTGTAGTGTGTGTAAGTGGACATTTGGAGCGCTTTCCGGCCTAAGGTGAAAAAGGAAATATCTTCCCATAAAAACTAGACAGAAGCATTCTCAGAAACTTACTCGTGATGTGTGTCCTCAACTAAAGGAGTAGAACCTTTCTATTCATAGAGAAGTTTTGAAACGCTCTTTTTGTGGAATCTCCAAGTGGATATTTGGCTAGTTTTGAGGATTTCGTTGGAAGCGGGAATTCATACAAATTGCAGACTGCAGCGTTCTGAGAAACATCTTTGTGATGTTTCTATTCAGGACACAGAGATGAACATTCCCTATCATAGAGCAGGTTGGAATCACTCCTTTTGTAGTATCTGGAAGTGGACATTTGGAGCGCTTTCAGGCCTATGTTGAAAAAGGAAATATCTTCCCATAACAACTAGACACAAGCATTCTCAGAAACTTGTTTGTGATGTGTGCCCTCTACTGACAGAGTTGAACCTTTCTTTTCATAGAGCAGTTTTGAAACACTCTTTTTGTAGAATCCGCAAGAGGATATTTGCATAGCTTTGAGGATTTCGTGGGAAACGGGATTGTCTTCAGGTAAAATGTAGACAGAAGCATTCTCAGAAACTTCTTTGGGATGTTTGCATTCAAGTCACAGAGTAGAACATTCCCTTTGGTAGAGCAGGTTTGAAACACTCTTTTTGTAGTATCTGGAAGTGGACATTTGGAGCGCTTTCAGGCCCATGTTGGAAAGGGAAATATCTTCCCGTAACAACTAGGCAGAAGCATTCTCAGAAACTTATTTGAGATGTGTGTACTCAACTAAGAGAATTGAACCACCGTTTTGAAGGAGCAGTTTTGAAACACTCTTTTTCTGGAATCTGCAAGAGGATATTTGCCTAGCCTTGAGGATTTCGTTGGAAACGGGATTGTCTTCAGATCAAATCTAGACAGAAGCATTCTCAGAAACTTCTTTGGGATGCTTGCATTCAAGTCACAGAGTAGAACATTCCCTTTGGTAGAGCAGGTTTGAAACACTCTTTTCGTAGTATCTGGAAGTGGACATTTGGAGCGCTTTCAGGCCTACGTTGGAAAAGGAAATATCTTCCCATAACAACTAGACAGAAGCATTCTCAGCAAACTAGTTTCTGATGTGTGTCCTCAACTAACACAGTTGAACATTTCTTTAGACAGAACAGTTTTGAAACACTCTTTTTGTGGAATCTGCAAGTGGCTATTTGGCTAGATTTGAGGATTTCGTTGGAAACGGGATTACATATAAAAAGCAGACAGCAGCATTCTCAGAAAGTTCTTTGTGATGATTGCATTCAAGTCACAGAATTGAACATTCCCTTTCACAGAGCAGGTTTGAAACACTCTTTTTGTAGTGTGTGTAAGTGGACATTTGGAACCCTTACCGGCCTAAGGTGAAAAAGGAAATATCTTCCCATAAAAACTAGACAGAAGCATTCTCAGAAACTTACTCGTGATGTGTGTCCTCAACTAAAGGAGTAGAAACTTTCTTTTCATAGAGAAGTTTTGAAACGCTCTTTTTGTGGAATCTGCAAGTGGATATTTGGCTAGTTTTGAGGATTTCGTTGGAAGCGGGAATTCATACAAATTGCAGACTGCAGCGTTCTGAGAAACATCTTTGTGATGTTTGTATTCAGGACACAGAGTTGAACATTCCCTATCATAGAGCAGGTTTGAATCACTCCTTTTGTAGTATCTGGAAGTGGACATTTGGAGCGCTTTCAGGCCTATGTTGGAAAAGGAAATATCTTCCCATAACAACTAGACAGAAGCATTCTCAGAAACTTATTTGAGATGTGTGTACTCAACTAAGAGAATTGAACCACCGTTTTGAAGGAGCAGTTTTGAAACTCTCTTTTTCTGGAATCTGCAAGTGGATATTTGGCTAGCTTTGGGGATTTCGCTGGAAGCGGGAATACATATAAAAAGCACACAGCAGCGTTCTGAGAAACTGCTTTCTGATGTTTGCATTCAAGTCAAAAGTTGAACACTCCCTTTCATAGGGCAGTCCTGAAACACCCCTTTTGTAGTATCTGGAACTGGACTTTTGGAGCGATTTCAGGGCTAAGGTGAAAAAGGAAATATCTTCCCATAAAAACTGGACAGAAGCATTCTCAGAAACTTGTTTATGCTGTATCTGCTCAACTAACAAAGTTGAACCTTTCTTTTGATAGAGCAGTTTTGAAATGCTCTTTTTGTGGAATCTGCAAGTGGATATTTGGCTAGTTTTGAGGATTTCGTTGGAAGCGGGAATTCATACAAATTGCAGACTGCAGCGTTCTGAGAAACATCTTTGTGATGTTTGTATTCAGGACACAGAGTTGAACATTCCCTATCATAGAGCAGGTTGGGATCACTCCTTTTGTAGTATCTGGAAGTGGACATTTGGAGCGCTTTCAGGCCTATGTTGAAAAAGGAAAAATCTTCCCATAGCAACTAGACAGAAGCATTCTCAGAAACTTGTTTGTGATGTGTGCCCTCTACTGACAGAGTTGAACCTTTCTTTTCATAGAGCAGTTTTGAAACACTCTTTTTGTAGAATCTGCAAGAGGATATTTGCATAGCTTTGAGGATTTCGTGGGAAACGGGATTGTCTTCAGGTAAAATCTAGACAGAAGCATTCTCAGAAACTTCTTTGGGATGTTTGCATTCAAGTCACAGAGTAGAACATTCCCTTTGGTAGAGCAGGTTTGAAACCCTCTTTTTGTAGTATCTGGAAGTGGACATTTGGAGCGCTTTCAGGCCCATGTTGGAAAGGGAAATATCTTCCCGTAACAACTAGGCAGAAGCATTCTCAGAAACTTATTTGAGATGTGTGGACTCAACTAAGAGAATTGAACCACCGTTTTGAAGGAGCAGTTTTGAAACACTCTTTTTCTGGAATCTGCAAGAGTATATTTGCCTAGCCTTGAGGATTTCGTTGGAAACGGGGTTGTCTTCAGATAAAATCTAGACAGAAGCATTCTCAGAAACTTCTTTGGGATGTTTGCATTCAAGTCACAGAGTAGAACATTCCCTTTGGTAGAGCAGGTTTGAAACGCTCTTTTTTTAGTATATGGAAGTGGACATTTGGAGCGCTTTCAGGCCTACGTTGGAAAAGGAAATCTCTTCCCATAACTAGACAGAAGCATTCTCAGAAACTAGTTTCTGATGTGTGTCCTCAACTAACACAGTTGAACATTTCTTTAGACAGAACAGTTTTGAAACACTCTTTTTGTGGAATCTGCAAGTGGCTATTTGGCTAGATTTGAGGATTTCGTTGGAAACCGGATTACATATAAAAAGCAGACAGCAGCATTCTCAGAAAGTTCTTTGTGATGATTGCATTCAAGTCACAGAATTGAACATTCCCTTTCACAGAGCAGGTTTGAAACACTCTTTTTGTAGTGTGTGTAAGTGGACATTTGGAGCACTTTCCGGCCTAACGTGAAAAAGGAAATATCTTCCCTTAAAAACTAGACAGAAGCATTCTCAGAAACTTACTCGTGATGTGTGTCCTCAACTAAAGGAGTAGAACCTTTCTTTTCATAGAGAAGTTTTGAAACGCTCTTTTTGTGGAATCTGCAAGTGGATATTTGGCTAGTTTTGAGGATTTCGTTGGAAGCGGGAATTCATACAAATTGCAGCCTGCAGCGTTCTGAGAAACATCTTTGTGATGTTTGTATTCAGGACAGAGAGTTGAACATTCCCTATCATAGAGCAGGTTGGAATCACTCCTTTTGTAGTATCTGGAAGTGGACATTTGGAGCGCTTTCAGGCCTATGTTGAAAAAGGAAATATCTTCCCATAACAACTAGACACAAGCATTCTCAGAAACTTATTTGAGATGTGTGTACTCAACTAAGAGAATTGAACCACCGTTTTGAAGGAGCAGTTTTGAAACACTCTTTTTCTGGAATCTGCAAGTGGATATTTGGCTAGCTTTGGGGATTTCGCTGGAAGCGGGAATACATATAAAAAGCACACAGCAGCGTTCTGAGAAACTGCTTTCTGATGTTTGCATTCAAGTCAAAAGTTGAACACTCCCTTTCATAGAGCAGTCTTGAAACACCCCTTTTGTAGTATCTGGAACTGGACTTTTGGAGCGATTTCAGGGCTAAGGTGAAAAAGGAAATATCTTCCCATAAAAACTGGACAGAATCATTCTCAGAAACTTGTTTATGCTGTATCTACTCAACTAACATAGTTGAACCTTTCTTTTGATAGAGCAGTTTTGAAATGCTCTTTTTGTGGAATCTGCAAGTGGATATTTGGCTAGTTTTGAGGATTTCGTTGGAAGCGGGAATTCATACAAATTGCAGACTGCAGCGTTCTGAGAAACATCTTTGTGATGTTTGTATTCAGGACACAGAGTTGAACATTCCCTATCATAGAGCAGGTTTGAATCACTCCTTTTGTAGTATCTGGAAGTGGACATTTGGAGCGCTTTCAGGCCTATGTTGGAAAAGGAAATATCTTCCCATAACAACTAGACAGAAGCATTCCCAGAAACTTATTTGAGATGTGTGTACTCAACTAAGAGAATTGAACCACCGTTTTGAAGGAGCAGTTTGGAAACACTCTTTTTCTGGAATCTGCAAGTGGATATTTGGCTAGCTTTGGGGATTTCGCTGGAAGCGGGAATACATATAAAAAGCACACAGCAGCGTTCTGAGAAACTGCTTTCTGATGTTTGCATTCAAGTCAAAAGTTGAACACTCCCTTTCATAGAGCAGTCTTGAAACACCCCTTTTGTAGTATCTGGAACTGGAAATTTGGAGCGCTTTCAGGGCTAAGGTGAAAAAGGAAATATCTTCCCATAAAAACTGGACAGAAGCATTCTCAGAAACTTGTTTATGCTGTATCTACTCAACTAACAAAGTTGAACCTTTCTTTTGATAGAGCAGTTTTGAAATGCTCTTTTTGTGGAATCTGCAAGTGGATATTTGGCTAGTTTTGAGGATTTCGTTGGAAGCGGGAATTCATACAAATTGCAGACTGCAGCGTTCTGAGAAACATCTTTGTGATGTTTGTATTCAGGACACAGAGTTGAACATTCCCTATCATAGAGCAGGTTGGGATCACTCCTTTTGTAGTATCTGGAAGTGGACATTTGGAGCGCTTTCAGGCCTATGTTGAAAAAGGAAAAATCTTCCCATAACAACTAGACAGAAGCATTCTCAGAAACTTGTTGGTGATGTGTTTCCTCTACTGACAGAGTTGAACCTTTCTTTTCATAGAGCAGTTTCGAAACACTCTTTTTGTAGAATCTGCAAGAGGATATTTGCATAGCTCTGAGGATTTCGTGGGAAACGGGATTGTCTTCAGGTAAAATCTAGACAGAAGCATTCTCAGAAACTTCTTTGGGATGTTTGCATTCAAGTCACAGAGTAGAACATTCCCTTTGGTAGAGCAGGTTTGAAACACTCTTTTTGTAGTATCCGGAAGTGGACATTTGGAGCGCTTTCAGGCCTATGTTGGAAAGGGAAATATCTTCCCGTAACAACTAGGCAGAAGCATTCTCAGAAACTTATTTGAGATGTGTGTACTCAACTAAGAGAATTGAACCACCGTTTTGAAGGAGCAGTTTTGAAACACTCTTTTTCTGGAATCTGCAAGAGGATATTTGCCTAGCCTTGAGGATTTCGTTGGAAACGGGATTGTCTTCAGATCAAATCTAGACAGAAGCATTCTCAGAAACTTCTTTGGGATGTTTGCATTCAAGTCACAGAGTAGAACATTCCCTTTGGTAGAGCAGGTTTGAAACACTCTTTTTTTAGTATATGGAAGTGGACATTTTGATCGCTTTCAGGCCTACGTTGGAAAAGGAAATATCTTCACATAACAACTAGACAGAAAGCATTCTCAGAAACTAGTTTCTGATGTGTGTCCTCAACTAACACAGTTGAACTTTTCTTTAGACAGAACAGTTTTGAAACACTCTTTTTGTGGAATCTGCAAGTGGCTATTTGGCTAGATTTGAGGATTTCGTTGGAAACGGGATTACATATAAAAAGCAGACAGCAGCATTCTCAGAAAGTTCTTTGTGATGATTGCATTCAAGTCACAGAATTGAACATTCCCTTTCACAGAGCAGGTTTGAAACACTCTTTTAGTAGTGTGTGTAAGTGGACATTTGGAGCGCTTTCCGGCCTAAGGTGAAAAAGGAAATATCTTCCCATAAAAACTAGACAGAAGCATTCTCAGAAACTTACTCGTGATGTGTGTCCTCAACTAAAGGAGTAGAACATTTCTATTCATAGAGAAGTTTTGAAACGCTCTTTTTGTGGAATCTCCAAGTGGATATTTGGCTAGTTTTGAGGATTTCGTTGGAAGCGGGAATTCATACAAATTGCAGACTGCAGCGTTCTGAGAAACATATTTGTGATGTTTGTATTCAGGACACAGAGATGAACATTCCCTATCATAGAGCAGGTTGGAATCACTCCTTTTGTAGTATCTGGAAGTGGACATTTGGAGCGCTTTCAGGCCTATGTTGAAAAAGGAAATATCTTCCCATAACAACTAGACACAAGCATTCTCAGAAACTTGTTTGTGATGTGTGCCCTCTACTGACAGAGTTGAACCTTTCTTTTCATAGAGCAGTTTTGAAACACTCTTTTTGTAGAATCTGCAAGAGGATATTTGCATAGCTTTGAGGATTTCGTGGGAAACGGGATTGTCTTCAGGTAAAATCTAGACAGAAGCATTCTCAGAAACTTCTTTGGGATGTTTGCATTCAAGTCACAGAGTAGAACATTCCCTTTGGTAGAGCAGGTTTGAAACACTCTTTTTGTAGTATCTGGAAGTGGACATTTGGAGCGCTTTCAGGCCCATGTTGGAAAGGGAAATATCTTCCCGTAACAACTAGGCAGAAGCATTCTCAGAAACTTATTTGAGATGTGTGTACTCAACTAAGAGAATTGAACCACCGTTTTGAAGGAGCAGTTTTGAAACACTCTTTTTCTGGAATCTGCAAGAGTATATTTGCCTAGCCTTGAGGATTTCGTTGGAAACGGGATTGTCTTCAGATAAAATCTAGACAGAAGCATTCTCAGAAACTTCTTTGGGATGTTTGCATTCAAGTCACAGAGTAGAACATTCCCTTTGGTAGAGCAGGTTTGAAACACTCTTTTTTTAGTATATGGAAGTGGACATTTGGAGCGCTTTCAGGCCTACGTTGGAAAAGGAAATATCTTCCCATAACAACTAGACAGAAGCATTCTCAGAAACTAGTTTCTGATGTGTGTCCTCAACTAACACAGTTGAACTTTTCTTTAGACAGAACAGTTTTGAAACACTCTTTTTGTGGAATCTGCAAGTGGATATTTGGCTAGATTTGAGGATTTCGTTGGAAACGGGATTACATATAAAAAGTAGACAGCAGCATTCTCAGAAAGTTCTTTGTGATGATTGCATTCAAGTCACAGAATTAAACATTCCCTTTCACAGAGCAGGTTTGAAACACTCTTTTTGTAGTGTGTGTAAGTGGACATTTGGAGCGCTTTCCGGCCTAAGGTGAAAAAGGAAATATCTTCCCATAAAAACTAGACAGAAGCATTCTCAGAAACTTACTCGTGATGTGTGTCCTCAACTAAAGGAGTAGAACCTTTCTATTCGTAGAGAAGTTTTGAAATGCTCTTTTTGTGGAATCTCCAAGTGGATATTTGGCTAGTTTTGAGGATTTCGTTGGAAGCGGGAATTCATACAAATTGCAGACTGCAGCGTTCTGAGAAACATCTTTGTGATGTTTGTATTCAGGACACAGAGAGGAACATTCCCTATCATAGAGCAGGTTGGAATCACTCCTTTTGTAGTATCTGGAAGTGGACATTTGGAGCGCTTTCAGGCCTATGTTGAAAAAGGAAATATCTTCCCATAACAACTAGACACAAGCATTCCCAGAAACTTATTTGAGATGTGTGTACTCAACTAAGAGAATTGAACCACCGTTTTGAAGGAGCAGTTTGGAAACTCTCTTTTTCTGGAATCTGCAAGTGGATATTTGGCTAGCTTTGGGGATTTCGCTGGAAGCGGGAATACATATAAAAAGCACACAGCAGCGTTCTGAGAAACTGCTTTCTGATGTTTGCATTCAAGTCAAAAGTTGAACACTCCCTTTCATAGAGCAGTCCTGAAACACTCCTTTTGTAGTATCTGGAACTGGACTTTTGGAGCGCTTTCAGGGCTAAGGTGAAAAAGGAAATATCTTCCCATAAAAACTGGACAGAAGCATTCTCAGAAACTTGTTTATGCTGTATCTACTCAACTAACAAAGTTGAACCTTTCTTTTGATAGAGCAGTTTTGAAATGGTCTTTTTGTGGAATCTGCAAGTGGATATTTGGCTAGTTTTGAGGATTTCGTTGGAAGCGGGAATTCATACAAATTGCAGACTGCAGCGTTCTGAGAAACATCTTTGTGATGTTTGTATTCAGGACACAGAGTTGAACATTCCCTATCATAGAGCAGGTTTGAATCACTCCTTTTGTAGTATCTGGAAGTGGACATTTGGAGCGCTTTCAGGCCTATGTTGGAAAAGGAAATATCTTCCCATAACAACTAGACAGAAGCATTCTCAGAAACTTATTTGAGATGTGTGTACTCAACTAAGAGAATTGAACCACCGTTTTGAAGGAGCAGTTTTGAAACACTCTTTTTCTGGAATCTGCAAGTGGATATTTGGCTAGCTTTGGGGATTTCGCTGGAAGCGGGAATACATATAAAAAGCACACAGCAGCGTTCTGAGAAACTGCTTTCTGATGTTTGCATTCAAGTCAAAAGTTGAACACTCCCTTTCATAGAGCAGTCTTGAAACACCCCTTTTGTAGTATCTGGAACTGGACTTTTGGAGCGATTTCAGGGCTAAGGTGAAAAAGGAAATATCTTCCCATAAAAACTGGACAGAAGCATTCTCAGAAACTTGTTTATGCTGTATCTACTCAACTAACAAAGTTGAACCTTTCTTTTGATAGAGCAGTTTTGAAATGGTCTTTTTGTGGAATCTGCAAGTGGATATTTGGCTAGTTTTGAGGATTTCGTTGGAAGCGGGAATTCATACAAATTGCAGACTGCAGCGTTCTGAGAAACATCTTTGTGATGTTTGTATTCAGGACAGAGAGTTGAACATTCCCTATCATAGAGCAGGTTGGAATCACTCCTTTTGTAGTATCTGGAAGTGGACATTTGGAGCGCTTTCAGGCCTATGTTGAAAAAGGAAATATCTTCCCATAACAACTAGACACAAGCATTCTCAGAAACTTGTTTGTGATGTGTGCCCTCTACTGACAGAGTTGAACCTTTCTTTTCATAGAGCAGTTTTGAAACACTCTTTTTGTAGAATCTGCAAGAGGATATTTGCATAGCTTTGAGGATTTCGTGGGAAACGGGATTGTCTTCAGGTAAAATCTAGACAGAAGCATTCTCAGAAACTTCTTTGGGATGTTTGCATTCAAGTCACAGAGCAGAACATTCCCTTTGGTAGAGCAGGTTTGAAACACTCTTTTTGTAGTATCTGGAAGTGGACATTTGGAGCGCTTTCAGGCCTATGTTGGAAAGGGAAATATCTTCCCGTAACAACTAGGCAGAAGCATTCTCAGAAACTTATTTGAGATGTGTGTACTCAACTAAGAGAATTGAACCACCGTTTTGAAGGAGCAGTTTTGAAACACTCTTTTTCTGGAATCTGCAAGAGGATATTTGCCTAGCCTTGAGGATTTCGTTGGAAACGGGATTGTCTTCAGATCAAATCTAGACAGAAGCATTCTCAGAAACTTCTTTGGGATGTTTGCATTCAAGTCACAGAGTAGAACATTCCCTTTGGTAGAGCAGGTTTGAAACACTCTTTTTTTAGTATATGGAAGTGGACATTTGGATCGCTTTCAGGCCTACGTTGGAAAAGGAAATATCTTCCCATAACAACTAGACAGAAGCATTCTCAGAAACTAGTTTCTGATGTGTGTCCTCAACTAACACAGTTGTACATTTCTTTAGACAGAACAGTTTTGAAACACTCTTTTTGTGGAATCTGCAAGTGGATATTTGGCTAGATTTGAGGATTTCGTTGGAAACGGGATTACATATAAAAAGCAGACAGCAGCATTCTCAGAAAGTTCTTTGTGATGATTGCATTCAAGTCACAGAATTGAACATTCCCTTTCACAGAGCAGGTTTGCAACACTCTTTTTGTAGTGTGTGTAAGTGGACATTTGGAGCGCTTTCCGGCCTAAGGTGAAAAAGGAAATATCTTCCCATAAAAACTAGACAGAAGCATTCTCAGAAACTTACTCGTGATGTGTGTCCTCAACTAAAGGAGTAGAACCTTTCTATTCATAGAGAAGTTTTGAAACGCTCTTTTTGTGGAATCTCCAAGTGGATATTTGGCTAGTTTTGAGGATTTCGTTGGAAGCGGGAATTCATACAAATTGCAGACTGCAAGCATTCTCAGTAAACTTGTTTATGCTGTATCTACTCAACTAACAAAGTTGAACCTTTCTTTTGATAGAGCAGTTTTGAAATGCTCTTTTTGTGGAATCTGCAAGTGGATATTTGGCTAGTTTTGAGGATTTCGTTGGAAGCGGGAATTCATACAAATTGCAGACTGCAGCATTCTCAGAAACTTATTTGAGATGTGTGTACTCAACTAAGAGAATTGAACCACCGTTTTGAAGGAGCAGTTTTGAAACACTCTTTTTCTGGAATCTGCAAGTGGATATTTGGCTAGCTTTGGGGATTTCGCTGGAAGCGGGAATACATATAAAAAGCACACAGCAGCGTTCTGAGAAACTGCTTTCTGATGTTTGCATTCAAGTCAAAAGTTGAACACTCCCTTTCATAGAGCAGTCTTGAAACACCCCTTTTGTAGTATCTGGAACTGGACATTTGGAGCGCTTTCAGGGCTAAGGTGAAAAAGGAAATATCTTCCCATAAAAACTGGACAGAAGCATTCTCAGAAACTTGGTTATGCTGTATCTACTCAACTAACAAAGTTGAACCTTTCTTTTGATAGAGCAGTTTTGAAATGGTCTTTTTGTGGAATCTGCAAGTGGATATTTGGCTAGTTTTGAGGATTTCGTTGGAAGCGGGAATTCATACAAATTGCAGACTGCAGCGTTCTGAGAAACATCTTTGTGATGTTTGTATTCAGGACACAGAGATGAACATTCCCTATCATAGAGCAGGTTGGAATCACTCCTTTTGTAGTATCTGGAAGTGGACATTTGGAGCGCTTTCAGGCCTATGTTGAAAAAGGAAATATCTTCCCATAACAACTAGACACAAGCATTCTCAGAAACTTGTTTGTGATGTGTGCCCTCTACTGACAGAGTTGAACCTTTCTTTTCATAGAGCAGTTTTGAAACACTCTTTTTGTAGAATCTGCAAGAGGATATTTGCATAGCTTTGAGGATTTCGTGGGAAACGGGATTGTCTTCAGGTAAAATCTAGACAGAAGCATTCTCAGAAACTTCTTCGGGATGTTTGCATTCAAGTCACAGAGTAGAACATTCCCTTTGGTAGAGCAGGTTTGAAACACTCTTTTTGTCGTATCTGGAAGTGGACATTTGTTGCGCTTTCAGGCCTATGTTGGAAAGGGAAATATCTTCCCGTAACAACTAGGCAGAAGCATTCTCAGAAACTTATTTGAGATGTGTGTACTCAAGTAAGAGAATTGAACCACCGTTTTGAAGGAGCAGTTTTGAAACACTCTTTTTCTGGAATCTGCAAGAGGATATTTGCCTAGCCTTGATGATTTCGTTGGAAACGGGATTGTCTTCAGATCAAATCTAGACAGAAGCATTCTCAGAAACTTCTTTGGGATGTTTGCATTCAAGTCACAGAGTAGAACATTCCCTTTGGTAGAGCAGGTTTGAAACACTCTTTTTTTAGTATATGGAAGTGGACATTTGGAGCGCTTTCAGGCCTACGTTGGAAAAGGAAATATCTTCCCATAACAACTAGACAGAAGCATTCTCAGAAACTAGTTTCTGATGTGTGTCCTCAACTAACACAGTTGAACTTTTCTTTAGACAGAACAGTTTTGAAACACTCTTTTTGTGGAATCTGCAAGTGGATATTTGGCTAGATTTGAGGATTTCGTTGGAAACGGGATTACATATAAAAAGCAGACAGCAGCATTCTCAGAAAGTTCTTTTTGATGATTGCATTCAAGTCACAGAATTGAACATTCCCTTTCACAGAGCAGGTTTGAAACACTCTTTTTGTAGTGTGTGTAAGTGGACATTTGGAGCGCTTTCCGGCCTAAGGTGAAAAAGGAAATATCTTCCCATAAAAACTAGACAGAAGCATTCTCAGAAACTTACTCGTGATGTGTGTCCTCAACTAAAGGAGTAGAACCTTTCTATTCATAGAGAAGTTTTGAAACGCTCTTTTTGTGGAATCTCCAAGTGGATATTTGGCTAGTTTTGAGGATTTCGTTGGAAGCGGGAATTCATACAAATTGCAGACTGCAGCGTTCTGAGAAACATCTTTGTGATGTTTGTATTCAGGACACAGAGTTGAACATTCCCTATCATAGAGCAGGTTGGAATCACTCCTTTTGTAGTATCTTGAAGTGGACATTTGGAGCGCTTTCAGGCCTATGTTGGAAAAGGAAATATCTTCCCATAAAAACTAGACAGAAGCATTCTCAGAAACTTATTTGAGATGTGTGTACTCAACTAAGAGAATTGAACCACCGTTTTGAAGGAGCAGTTTTGAAACACTCTTTTTCTGGAATCTGCAAGTGGATATTTGGCTAGCTTTGGGGATTTCGCTGGAAGCGGGAATACATATAAAAAGCACACAGCAGCGTTCTGAGAAACTGCTTTCTGATGTTTGCATTCAAGTCAAAAGTTGAACACTCCCTTTCATAGAGCAGTCTTGAAACACCCCTTTTGTAGTATCTGGAACTGGACTTTTGGAGCGATTTCAGGGCTAAGGTGAAAAAGGAAATATCTTCCCATAAAAACTGGACAGAAGCATTCTCAGAAACTTGTTTATGCTGTATCTACTCAACTAACAAAGTTGAACCTTTCTTTTGATAGAGCAGTTTTGAAATGCTCTTTTTGTGGAATCTGCAAGTGGATATTTGGCTAGTTTTGAGGATTTCGTTGGAAGCGGGAATTCATACAAATTGCAGACTGCAGCGTTCTGAGAAACATCTTTGTGATGTTTGTATTCAGGACACAGAGTTGAACATTCCCTATCATAGAGCAGGTTGGAATCACTCCTTTTGTAGTATCTGGAAGTGGACATTTGGAGCGCTTTCAGGCCTATTTTGGAAAGGGAAATATCTTCCCGTAACAACTATGCAGAAGCATTCTCAGAAACTTGTTTGTGATGTGTGCCCTCTACTGACAGAGTTGAACCTTTCTTTTCATAGAGCAGTTTTGAAACACTCTTTTTGTAGAATCTGCAAGAGGATATTTGCATAGCTTTGAGGATTTCGTGGGAAACGGGATTGTCTTCAGGTAAAATCTAGACAGAAGCATTCTCAGAAACTTCTTTGGGATGTTTGCATTCAAGTCACAGAGTAGAACATTCCCTTTGGTAGAGCAGGTTTGAAACACTCTTTTTGTAGTATCTGGAAGTGGACATTTGGAGCGCTTTCAGGCCCATGTTGGAAAGGGAAATATCTTCCCGTAACAACTAGGCAGAAGCATTCTCAGAAACTTATTTGAGATGTGTGTACTCAACTAAGAGAATTGAACCACCGTTTTGAAGGAGCAGTTTTGAAACACTCTTTTTCTGGAATCTGCAAGAGTATATTTGCCTAGCCTTGAGGATTTCGTTGGAAACGGGATTGTCTTCAGAGAAAATCTAGACAGAAGCATTCTCAGAAACTTCTTTGGGATGCTTGCATTCAAGTCACAGAGTAGAACATTCCCTTTGGTAGAGCAGGTTTGAAACACTCTTTTTGTAGTATCTGGAAGTGGACATTTGGAGCGCTTTCAGGCCTACGTTGGAAAAGGAAATATCTTCCCATAACAACTAGACAGAAGCATTCTCAGAAACTAGTTTCTGATGTGTGTCCTCAACTAACACAGTTGAACATTTCTTTAGACAGAACAGTTTTGAAACACTCTTTTTGTGGAATCTGCAAGTGGCTATTTGGCTAGATTTGAGGATTTCGTTGGAAACGGGATTACATATAAAAAGCAGTCAGCAGCATTCTCAGAAAGTTCTTTGTGATGATTGCATTCAAGTCACAGAATTGAACATTCCCTTTCACAGAGCAGGTTTGAAACACTCTTTTTGTAGTGTGTGTAAGTGGACATTTGGAGCACTTTCCGGACTAAGGTGAAAAAGGAAATATCTTCCCATAAAAACTAGACAGAAGCATTCTCAGAAACTTACTCGTGATGTGTGTCCTCAACTAAAGGAGTAGAACCTTTCTTTTCATAGAGAAGTTTTGAAACGCTCTTTTTGTGGAATCTGCAAGTGGATATTTGGCTAGTTTTGAGGATTTCGTTGGAAGCGGGAATTCATACAAATTGCAGACTGCAGCGTTCTGAGAAACATCTTTGTGATGTTTGTATTCAGGACACAGAGTTGAACATTCCCTATCATAGAGCAGGTTGGAATCACTCCTTTTGTAGTATCTGGAAGTGGACATTTGGAGCACTTTCAGGCCTATGTTAGAAAAGGAAATATCTTCCCATAACAACTAGACAGAAGCATTCTCAGAAACTTATTTGAGATGTGTGTACTCAACTAAGAGAATTGAACCACCGTTTTGAAGGAGCAGTTTTGAAACACTCTTTTTCTGGAATCTGCAAGTGGATATTTGGCTAGCTTTGGGGATTTCGCTGGAAGCGGGAATACATATAAAAAGCACACAGCAGCGTTCTGAGAAACTGCTTTCTGATGTTTGCATTCAAGTCAAAAGTTGAACACTCCCTTTCATAGAGCAGTCTTGAAACACCCCTTTTGTAGTATCTGGAACTGGACTTTTGGAGCGATTTCAGGGCTAAGGTGAAAAAGGAAATATCTTCCCATAAAAACTGGACAGAAGCATTCTCAGAAACTTGGTTATGCTGTATCTACTCAACTAACAAAGTTGAACCTTTCTTTTGATAGAGCAGTTTTGAAATGGTCTTTTTGTGGAATCTGCAAGTGGATATTTGGCTAGTTTTGAGGATTTCGTTGGAAGCGGGAATTCATACAAATTGCAGACTGCAGCGTTCTGAGAAACATCTTTGTGATGTTTGTATTCAGGACACAGAGTTGAACATTCCCTATCATAGAGCAGGTTGGAATCACTCCTTTTGTAGTATCTGGAAGTGGACATTTGGAGCGCATTCAGGCCTATTTTGGAAAGGGAAATATCTTCCCGTAACAACTATGCAGAAGCATTCTCAGAAACTTGTTTGTGATGTGTGCCCTCTACTGACACAGTTGAATCTTTCTTTTCATAGAGCAGTTTCGAAACACTCTTTTTGTAGAATCTGCAAGAGGATATTTGCATAGCTTTGAGGATTTCGTGGGAAACGGGATTGTCTTCAGGTAAAATCTAGACAGAAGCATTCTCAGAAACTTCTTTGGGATGTTTGCATTCAAGTCACAGAGTAGAACATTCCCTTTGGTAGAGCAGGTTTGAAAAACTCTTTTTGTAGTGTGTGTAAGTGGACATTTTGAGCGCTTTCTGGCCTACGTTGGAAAAGGAAATATCTTCCCATAACAACTAGACAGAAGCATTCTCAGAAACTAGTTTCTGATGTGTGTCCTCAACTAACACAGTTGAACATTTCTTTAGACAGAACAGTTTTGAAACACTCTTTTTGTGGAATCTGCAAGTGGATATTTGGCTAGATTTGAGGATTTCGTTGGAAACGGGATTACATATAAAAAGCAGACAGCAGCATTCTCAGAAAGTTCTTTGTGATGATTGCATTCAAGTCACAGAATTGAACATTCCCTTTCACAGAGCAGGTTTGAAACACTCTTTTTGTAGTGTGTGAAAGTGGACATTTGGAGCGCTTTCCGGCCTAAGGTGAAAAAGGAAATATCTTCCCATAAAAACTAGACAGACAGCATTCTCAGTAAACTTACTCGTGATGTGTGTCCTCAACTAAAGGAGTAGAACCTTTCTTTTCATAGAGAAGTTTTGAAACGCTCTTTTTGTGGAATCTGCAAGTGGATATTTGGCTAGTTTTGAGGATTTCGTTGGAAGCGGGAATTCATACAAATTGCAGACTGCAGCGTTCTGAGAAACTGCTTTCTGATGTTTGCATTCAAGTCAAAAGTTGAACACTCCCTTTCATAGAGCAGTCTTGAAACACCCCTTTTGTAGTATCTGGAACTGGACATTTGGAGCGCTTTCAGGGCTAAGGTGAAAAAGGAAATATCTTCCCATAAAAACTGGACAGAAGCATTCTCAGAAACTTGTTTATGCTGTATCTACTCAACTAACAAAGTTGAACCTTTCTTTTGATAGAGCAGTTTTGAAATGCTCTTTTTGTGGAATCTACAAGTGGATATTTGGCTAGGTTTGAGGATTTCGTTGGAAGCGGGAATTCATACAAATTGCAGACTGCAGCGTTCTGAGAAACATCTTTGTGATGTTTGTATTCAGGACACAGAGTTGAACATTCCCTATCATAGAGCAGGTTTGAATCACTCCTTTTGTAGTATCTGGAAGTGGACATTTGGAGCGCTTTCAGGCCCTATGTTGGAAAAGGAAATATCTTCCCATAACAACTAGACAGAAGCATTTTCAGAAACTTATTTGAGATGTGTGTACTCAACTAAGAGAATTGAACCACCGTTTTGAAGGAGCAGTTTTGAAACACTCTTTTTGTGGAATCTGCAAGTGGATATTTGGCTAGCTTTGGGGATTTCGCTGGAAGCGGGAATACATATAAAAAGCACACAGCAGCGTTCTGAGAAACTGCTTTCTGATGTTTGCATTCAAGTCAAAAGTTGAACACTCCCTTTCATAGTGCAGTCCTGAAACACTCCTTTTGTAGTATCTGGAACTGGACTTTTGGAGCGCTTTCAGGGCTAAGGTGAAAAAGGAAATATCTTCCCATAAAAACTGGACAGAAGCATTCTCAGAAACTTGTTTATGCTGTATCTACTCAACTAACAAAGTTGAACCTTTCTTTTGATAGAGCAGTTTTGAAATGGTCTTTTTGTGGAATCTGCAAGTGGATATTTGGCTAGTTTTGAGGATTTCGTTGGAAGCGGGAATTCATACAAATTGCAGACTGCAGCGTTCTGAGAAACATCTTTGTGATGTTTGTATTCAGGACACAGAGTTGAACATTCCCTATCATAGAGCAGGTTGGAATCACTCCTTTTGTAGTATCTGGAAGTGGACATTTGGAGCGCTTTCAGGCCTATTTTGGAAAGGGAAATATCTTCCCGTAACAACTATGCAGAAGCATTCTCAGAAACTTGTTTGTGATGTGTGCCCTCTACTGACAGAGTTGAACCTTTCTTTTCATAGAGCAGTTTTGAAACACTCTTTTTGTAGAATCTGCAAGAGGATATTTGCATAGCTTTGAGGATTTCGTGGGAAACGGGATTGTCTTCAGGTAAAATCTAGACAGAAGCATTCTCAGAAACTTCTTTGGGATGTTTGCATTCAAGTCACAGAGTAGAACATTCCCTTTGGTAGAGCAGGTTTGAAACACTCTTTTTGTAGTATCTGGAAGTGGACATTTGGAGCGCTTTCAGGCCCATGTTGGAAAGGGAAATATCTTCCCGTAACAACTAGGCAGAAGCATTCTCAGAAACTTATTTGAGATGTGTGTACTCAACTAAGAGAATTGAACCACCGTTTTGAAGGAGCAGATTTGAAACACTCTTTTTCTGGAATCTGCAAGAGTATATTTGCCTAGCCTTGAAGATTTCGTTGGAAACGGGATTGTCTTCAGATAAAATCTAGACAGAAGCATTCTCAGAAACTTCTTTGGGATGTTTGCATTCAAGTCACAGAGTAGAACATTCCCTTTGGTAGAGCAGGTTTGAAACACTCTTTTTTTAGTATATGGAAGTGGACATTTGGAGCGCTTTCAGGCCTACGTTGGAAAAGGAAATATCTTCCCATAACAACTAGACAGAAGCATTCTCAGAAACTAGTTTCTGATGTGTGTCCTCAACTAACACAGTTGAACATTTCTTTAGACAGAACAGTTTTGGAACACTCTTTTTGTGGAATCTGCAAGTGGATAGTTGGCTAGATTTGAGGATTTCGTTGGAAACGGGATTACATATAAAAAGCAGTCAGCAGCATTCTCAGAAAGTTCTTTGTGATGATTGCATTCAAGTCACAGAATTGAACATTCCCTTTCACAGAGCAGGTTTGAAACACTCTTTATGTAGTGTGTGTAAGTGGATATTTGGAGCACTTACCGGCCTAAGGTGAACAAGGAAATATCTTCCCATAAAAACTAGACAGAAGCATTCTCAGAAACTTACTCGTGATGTGTGTCCTCAACTAAAGGAGTAGAACCTTTCTTTTCATAGAGAAGTTTTGAAACGCTCTTTTTGTGGAATCTGCAAGTGGATATTTGGCTAGTTTTGAGGATTTCGTTGGAAGCGGGAATTCATACAAATTGCAGACTGCAGCGTTCTGAGAAACTGCTTTCTGATGTTTGCATTCAAGTCAAAAGTTGAACACTCCCTTTCATAGAGCAGTCCTGAAACACCCCTTTTGTAGTATCTGGAACTGGACTTTTGGAGCGATTTCAGGGCTAAGGTGAAAAAGGAAATATCTTCCCATAAAAACTGGACAGAAGCATTCTCAGAAACTTGTTTATGCTGTATCTACTCAACTAACATAGTTGAACCTTTCTTTTGATAGAGCAGTTTTGAAATGCTCTTTTTGTGGAATCTGCAAGTGGATATTTGGCTAGTTTTGAGGATTTCGTTGGAAGCGGGAATTCATACAAATTGCAGACTGCAGCGTTCTGAGAAACATCTTTGTGATGTTTGTATTCAGGACAGAGAGTTGAACATTCCCTATCATAGAGCAGGTTGGAATCACTCCTTTTGTAGTATCTGGAAGTGGACATTTGGAGCGATTTCAGGCCTATGTTGAAAAAGGAAATATCTTCCCATAACAACTAGACACAAGCATTCTCAGAAACTTGTTTGTGATGTGTGCCCTCTACTGACAGAGTTGAACCTTTCTTTTCATAGAGCAGTTTTGAAACACTCTTTTTGTAGAATCTGCAAGAGGATATTTGCATAGCTTTGAGGATTTCGTGGGAAACGGGATTGTCTTCAGGTAAAATCTAGACAGAAGCATTCTCAGAAACTTCTTTGGGATGTTTGCATTCAAGTCACAGAGTAGAACATTCCCTTTGGTAGAGCAGGTTTGAAACACTCTTTTTGTAGTATCTGGAAGTGGACATTTGGAGCGCTTTCAGGCCCATGTTGGAAAGGGAAATATCTTCCCGTAACAACTAGGCAGAAGCATTCTCAGAAACTTATTTGAGATGTGTGTACTCAACTAAGAGAATTGAACCACCGTTTTGAAGGAGCAGTTTTGAAACACTCTTTTTCTGGAATCTGCAAGAGTATATTTGCCTAGCCTTGAGGATTTCGTTGGAAACGGGATTGTCTTCAGATAAAATCTAGACAGAAGCATTCTCAGAAACTTCTTTGGGATGTTTGCATTCAAGTCACAGAGTAGAACATTCCCTTTGGTAGAGCAGGTTTGAAACACTCTTTTTGTAGTATCTGGAAGTGGACATTTGGAGCGCTTTCAGGCCTACGTTGGAAAAGGAAATATCTTCCCATAACAACTAGACAGAAGCATTCTCAGAAACTAGTTTCTGATGTGTGTCCTCAACTAACACAGTTGAACTTTTCTTTAGACAGAACAGTTTTGAAACACTCTTTTTGTGGAATCTGCAAGTGGATATTTGGCTAGATTTGAGGATTTCGTTGGAAACGGGATTACATATAAAAAGCAGACAGCAGCATTCTCAGAAAGTTCTTTGTGATGATTGCATTCAAGTCACAGAATTGAACATTCCCTTTCACAGAGCAGGTTTGAAACACTCTTTTTGTAGTGTGTGTAAGTGGACATTTGGAGCGCTTTCCGGCCTAAGGTGAAAAAGGAAATATCTTCCCATAAAAACTAGACAGAAGCATTCTCAGAAACTTACTCGTGATGTGTGCCCTCAACTAAAGGAGTAGAACCTTTCTATTCATAGAGAAGTTTTGAAACGCTCTTTTTGTGGAATCTCCAAGTGGATATTTGGGTAGTTTTGAGGATTCCGTTGGAAGCGGGAATTCATACAAATTGCAGACTGCAGCGTTATGAGAAACATCTTTGTGATGTTTGTATTCAGGACACAGAGATGAACATTCCCTATCATAGAGCAGGTTGGAATCACTCCTTTTGTAGTATCTGGAAGTGGACATTTGGAGCGCTTTCAGGCCTATGTTGAAAAAGTAAATATCTTCCCATAACAACTAGACACATAAGCATTCTCAGAAAACTTATTTGAGATGTGTGTACTCAACTAAGAGAATTGAACCACCGTTTTGAAGGAGCAGTTTTGAAACTCTCTTTTTCTGGAATCTGCAAGTGGATATTTGGCTAGCTTTGGGGATTTCGCTGGAAGCGGGAATACATATAAAAAGCACACAGCAGCGTTCTGAGAAACTGCTTTCTGATGTTTGCATTCAAGTCAAAAGTTGAACACTCCCTTTCATAGTGCAGTCCTGAAACACTCCTTTTGTAGTATCTGGAACTGGACTTTTGGAGCGCTTTCAGGGCTAAGGTGAAAAAGGAAATATCTTCCCATAAAAACTGGACAGAAGCATTCTCAGAAACTTGTTTATGCTGTATCTACTCAACTAACAAAGTTGAACCTTTCTTTTGATAGAGCAGTTTTGAAATGCTCTTTTTGTGGAATCTGCAAGTGGATATTTGGCTAGTTTTGAGGATTTCGCTGGAAGCGGGAATTCATACAAATTGCAGACTGCAGCGTTCTGAGAAACATCTTTGTGATGTTTGTATTCAGGACACAGAGTTGAACATTCCCTATCATAGAGCAGGTTTGAATCACTCCTTTTGTAGTATCTGGAAGTGGACATTTGGAGCGCTTTCAGGCCTATGTTGGAAAAGGAAATATCTTCCCATAACAACTAGACAGAAGCATTCTCAGAAACTTATTTGAGATGTGTGTACTCAACTAAGAGAATTGAACCACCGTTTTGAAGGAGCAGTTTTGAAACTCTCTTTTTCTGGAATCTGCAAGTGGATATTTGGCTAGCTTTGGGGATTTCGCTGGAAGCGGGAATACATATAAAAAGCACACAGCAGCGTTCTGAGAAACTGCTTTCTGATGTTTGCATTCAAGTCAAAAGTTGAACACTCCCTTTCATAGAGCAGTCTTGAAACACCCCTTTTGTAGTATCTGGAACTGGACTTTTGGAGCGATTTCAGGGCTAAGGTGAAAAAGGAAATATCTTCCCATAAAAACTGGACAGAAGCATTCTCAGAAACTTGTTTATGCTGTATCTACTCAACTAACAAAGTTGAACCTTTCTTTTGATAGAGCAGTTTTGAAATGGTCTTTTTGTGGAATCTGCAAGTGGATATTTGGCTAGTTTTGAGGATTTCGTTGGAAGCGGGAATTCATACAAATTGCAGACTGCAGCGTTCTGAGAAACATCTTTGTGATGTTTGTATTCAGGACACAGAGTTGAACATTCCCTATCATAGAGCAGGTTGGAATCACTCCTTTTGTAGTATCTGGAAGTGGACATTTGGAGCGCTTTCAGGCCTATTTTGGAAAGGGAAATATCTTCCCGTAACAACTATGCAGAAGCATTCTCAGAAACTTGTTTGTGATGTGTGCCCTCTACTGACAGAGTTGAACCTTTCTTTTCATAGAGCAGTTTTGAAACACTCTTTTTGTAGAATCCGCAAGAGGATATTTGCATAGCTTTGAGGATTTCGTGGGAAACGGGATTGTCTTCAGGTAAAATCTAGACAGAAGCATTCTCAGAAACTTCTTTGGGATGTTTGCATTCAAGTCACAGAGTAGAACATTCCCTTTGGTAGAGCAGGTTTGAAACACTCTTTTTGTAGTATCTGGAAGTGGACATTTGGAGCGCTTTCAGGCCTATGTTGGAAAGGGAAATATCTTCCCGTAACAACTAGGCAGAAGCATTCTCAGAAACTTATTTGAGATGTGTGTACTCAACTAAGAGAATTGAACCACCCTTTTGAAGGAGCAGTTTTGAAACACTCTTTTTCTGGAATCTGCAAGAGGATATTTGCCTAGCCTTGAGGATTTCGTTGGAAACGGGATTGTCTTCAGATCAAATCTAGACAGAAGCATTCTCAGCAAACTTCTTTGGGATGTTTGCATTCAAGTCACAGAGTAGAACATTCCCTTTGGTAGAGCAGGTTTGAAACACTCTTTTTTTAGTATATGGAAGTGGACATTTGGATCGCTTTCAGGCCTACGTTGGAAAAGGAAATATCTTCCCATAACAACTAGACAGAAGCATTCTCAGAAACTAGTTTCTGATGTGTGTCCTCAACTAACACAGTTGAACATTTCTTTAGACAGAACAGTTTTGAAACACTCTTTTTGTGGAATCTGCAAGTGGCTATTTGGCTAGATTTGAGGATTTCGTTGGAAACGGGATTACATATAAAAAGCAGTCAGCAGCAGTCTCAGAAAGTTCTTTTTGATGATTGCATTCAAGTCACAGAATTGAACATTCCCTTTCACAGAGCAGGTTTGAAACACTCTTTTTGTAGTGTGTGTAAGTGGACATTTGGAGCACTTTCCAGCCTAAGGTGAAAAAGGAAATATCTTCCCATAAAAACTAGACAGAAGCATTCTCAGAAACTTACTCGTGATGTGTGTCCTCAACTAAAGGAGTAGAACCTTTCTATTCATAGAGAAGTTTTGAAACGCTCTTTTTGTGGAATCTCCAAGTGGATATTTGGCTAGTTTTGAGGATTTCGTTGGAAGCGGGAATTCATACAAATTGCAGACTGCAGCATTCTCAGAAACTTGTTTATGCTGTATCTACTCAGCTAACAAAGTTGAACCTTTCTTTTGATAGAGCAGTTTTGAAATGCTCTTTTTGTGGAGTCTGCAAGTGGATATTTGGTTAGTTTTGAGGATTTCTTTGGAAGCGGGAATTCATACAAATTGCAGACTGCAGCGTTCTGAGAAACATCTTTGTGATGTTTGTATTCAGGACACAGAGTTGAACATTCCCTATCATAGAGCAGGTTGGAATCACTCCTTTTGTAGTATCTGGAAGTGGACATTTGGAGCGCTTTCAGGCCTATGTTGAAAAAGGAAATATCTTCCCATAACAAGTAGACACAAGCATTCTCAGAAACTTGTTTGTGATGTGTGCCCTCTACTGACAGAGTTGAACCTTTCTTTTCATAGAGCAGTTTTGAAACACTCTTTTTGTAGAATCTGCAAGAGGATATTTGCATAGCTTTGAGGATTTCGTGGGAAACGGGATTGTCTTCAGGTAAAATCTAGACAGAAGCATTCTCAGAAACTTCTTTGGGATGTTTGCATTCAAGTCACAGAGTAGAACATTCCCTTTGGTAGAGCAGGTTTGAAACACTCTTTTTGTAGTATCTGGAAGTGGACATTTGGAGCGCTTTCAGGCCTATGTTGGAAAGGGAAATATCTTCCCGTAACAACTAGGCAGAAGCATTCTCAGAAACTTATTTGAGATGTGTGTACTCAACTAAGAGAATTGAACCACCGTTTTGAAGGAGCAGTTTTGAAACACTCTTTTTCTGGAATCTGCAAGAGGATATTTGCCTAGCCTTGAGGATTTCGTTGGAAACGGGATTGTCTTCAGATCAAATCTAGACAGAAGCATTCTCAGAAACTTCTTTGGGATGTTTGCATTCAAGTCACAGAGTAGAACATTCCCTTTGGTAGAGCAGGTTTGAAACACTCTTTTTTTAGTATATGGAAGTGGACATTTGGAGCGCTTTCAGGCCTACGTTGGAAAAGGAAATATCTTCCCATAACAACTAGACAGAAGCATTCTCAGAAACTAGTTTCTGATGTGTGTCCTCAACTAACACAGTTGAACATTTCTTTAGACAGAACAGTTTTGAAACACTCTTTTTGTGGAATCTGCAAGTGGCTATTTGGCTAGATTTGAGGATTTCGTTGGAAACGGGATTACATATAAAAAGCAGACAGCAGCATTCTCAGAAAGTTCTTTGTGATGATTGCATTCAAGTCACAGAATTGAACATTCCCTTTCACAGAGCAGGTTTGAAACACTCTTTTTGTAGTGTGTGTAAGTGGACATTTGGAGCACTTTCCGGCCAAGGTGAAAAAGGGAATATCTTCCCATAAAAACTAGACAGAAGCATTCTCAGAAACTTACTCGTGATGTGTGTCCTCAACTAAAGGAGTAGAACCTTTCTTTTCATAGAGAAGTTTTGAAACGCTCTTTTTGTGGAATCTGCAAGTGGATATTTGGCTAGTTTGGAGGATTTCGTTGGAAGCGGGAATTCATACAAATTGCAGACTGCAGCGTTCTGAGAAACTGCTTTCTGATGTTTGCATTCAAGTCAAAAGTTGAACACTCCCTTTCATAGAGCAGTCCTGAAACACTCCTTTTGTAGTATCTGGAACTGGAATTTTGGAGCGCTTTCAGGGCTAAGGTGAAAAAGGAAATATCTTCCCATAAAAACTGGACAGAAGCATTCTCAGAAACTTGTTTATGCTGTATCTACTCAACTAACAAAGTTGAACCTTTCTTTTGATAGAGCAGTTTTGAAATGCTCTTTTTGTGGAATCTGCAAGTGGATATTTGGCTAGTTTTGAGGATTTCGTTGGAAGCGGGAATTCATACAAATTGCAGACTGCAGCGTTCTGAGAAACAGCTTTGTGATGTTTGTATTCAGGACAGAGAGTTGAACATTCCCTATCATAGAGCAGGTTGGAATCACTCCTTTTGTAGTATCTGGAAGTGGACATTTGGAGCGCTTTCTGGCCTATGTTGAAAAAGGAAATATCTTCCCATAACAACTAGACACAAGCATTCTCAGAAACTTGTTTGTGATGTGTGCCCTCTACTGACAGAGTTGAACCTTTCTTTTCATAGAGCAGTTTTGAAACACTCTTTTTGTAGAATCTGCAAGAGGATATTTGCATAGCTTTGAGGATTTCGTGGGAAACGGGATTGTCTTCAGGTAAAATCTAGACAGAAGCATTCTCAGAAACTTCTTTGGGATGTTTGCATTCATGTCACAGAGTAGAACATTCCCTTTGGTAGAGCAGGTTTGAAACACTCTTTTTATAGTATCTGGAAGTGGACATTTGGAGCGCTTTCAAGCCTATGTTGGAAAGGGAAATATCTTCCCGTAACAACTAGGCAGAAGCATTCTCAGAAACTTATTTGAGATGTGTGTACTCAACTAAGAGAATTGAACCACCGTTTTGAAGGAGCAGTTTTGAAACCCTCTTTTTCTGGAATCTGCAAGAGTATATTTGCCTAGCCTTGAGGATTTCGTTGGAAACGGGATTGTCTTCAGATAAAATCTAGACAGAAGCATTCTCAGAAACTTCTTTGGGATGTTTGCATTCAAGTCACAGAGTAGAACATTCCCTTTGGTAGAGCAGGTTTGAAACACTCTTTTTTTAGTATATGGAAGTGGACATTTGGAGCGCTTTCAGGCCTACGTTGGAAAAGGAAATATCTTCCCATAACAACTAGACAGAAGCATTCTCAGAAACTAGTTTCTGATGTGTGTCCTCAACTAACACAGTTGAACATTTCTTTAGACAGAACAGTTTTGAAACACTCTTTTTGTGGAATCTGCAAGTGGCTATTTGGCTAGATTTGAGGATTTCGTTGGAAACGGGATTACATATAAAAAGCAGTCAGCAGCATTCTCAGAAAGTTCTTTGTGATGATTGCATTCAAGTCACAGAATTGAACATTCCCTTTCACAGAGCAGGTTTGAAACACTCTTTTTGTAGTGTGTGTAAGTGGACATTTGGAGCACTTTCCGGCCTAAGGTGAAAAAGGAAATATCTTCCCATAAAAACTAGACAGAAGCATTCTCAGAAACTTACTCGTGATGTGTGTCCTCAACTAAAGGAGTAGAACCTTTCTTTTCATAGAGAAGTTTTGAAACGCTCTTTTTGTGGAATCTGCAAGTGGATATTTGGCTAGTTTTGAGGATTTCGTTGGAAGCGGGAATTCATACAAATTGCAGACTGCAGCGTTCTGAGAAACATCTTTGTGATGTTTGTATTCAGGACACAGAGTTGAACATTCCCTATCATAGAGCAGGTTGGAATCACTCCTTTTGTAGTATCTGGAAGTGGACATTTGGAGCGCTTTCAGGCCTACGTTGGAAAAGGAAATATCTTCCCATAACAACTAGACAGAAGCATTCTCAGAAACTAGTTTCTGATGTGTGTCCTCAACTAACACAGTTGAACATTTCTTTAGACAGAACAGTTTTGAAACACTCTTTTTGTGGAATCTGCAAGTGGCTATTTGGCTAGATTTGAGGATTTCGTTGGAAACGGGATTACATATAAAAAGCAGACAGCAGCATTCTCAGAAAGTTCTTTGTGATGATTGCATTCAAGTCACAGAATTGAACATTCCCTTTCACAGAGCAGGTTTGAAACACTCTTTTTGCAGTGTGTGTAAGTGGACATTTGGAGCACTTTCCTGCCTAAGGTGAAAAAGGAAATATCTTCCCATAAAAACTAGACAGAAGTATTCTCAGAAACTTACTCGTGATGTGTGTCCTCAACTAAAGGAGTAGAACCTTTCTTTTCATAGAGAAGTTTTGAAACGCTCTTTTTGTGGAATCTGCAAGTGGATATTTGGCTAGTTTTGAGGATTTCGTTGGAAGCGGGAATTCATACAAATTGCAGACTGCAGCGTTCTGAGAAACATCTTTGTGATGTTTGTATTCAGGACACAGAGTTGAACATTCCCTATCATAGAGCAGGTTTGAATCACTCCTTTTGTAGTATCTGGAAGTGGACATTTGGAGCGCTTTCAGGCCTATGTTGGAAAAGGAAATATCTTCCCATAACAACTAGACAGAAGCATTCTCAGAAACTTATTTGAGATGTGTGTACTCAACTAAGAGAATTGAACCACCGTTTTGAAGGAGCAGTTTTGAAACACTCTTTTTCTGGAATCTGCAAGTGGATATTTGGCTAGCTTTGGGGATTTCGCTGGAAGCGGGAATACATATAAAAAGCACACAGCAGCGTTCTGAGAAACTGCTTTCTGATGTTTGCATTCAAGTCAAAAGTTGAACACTCCCTTTCATAGAGCAGTCCTGAAACACCCCTTTTGTAGTATCTGGAACTGGACTTTTGGAGCGATTTCAGGGCTAAGGTGAAAAAGGAAATATCTTCCCATAAAAACTGGACAGAAGCATTCTCAGAAACTTGTTTATGCTGTATCTACTCAACTAACAAAGTTGAACCTTTCTTTTGATAGAGCAGTTTTGAAATGCTCTTTTTGTGGAATCTGCAAGTGGATATTTGGCTAGTTTTGAGGATTTCGCTGGAAGCGGGAATTCATACAAATTGCAGACTGCAGCGTTCTGAGAAACATCTTTGTGATGTTTGTATTCAGGACACAGAGTTGAACATTCCCTATCATAGAGCAGGTTGGAATCACTCCTTTTGTAGTATCTGGAAGTGGACATTTGGAGCGCTTTCAGGCCTATTTTGGAAAGGGAAATATCTTCCCGGTAACAACTATGCAGAAGCATTCTCAGAAACTTGTTTGTGATGTGTGCCCTCTTGCTGACAGAGTTGAACCTTTCTTTTCATAGAGCAGTTTTGAAACACTCTTTTTGTAGAATCTGCAAGAGGATATTTGCATAGCTTCGAGGATTTCGTGGGAAACGGGATTGTCTTCAGGTAAAATCTAGACAGAAGCATTCTCAGAAAATTCCTTCGGGATGTTTGCATTCAAGTCACAGAGTAGAACATTCCCTTTGGTAGAGCAGGTTTGAAACACTCTTTTTGTAGTATCTGGAAGTGGACATTTGGAGCGCTTTCAGGCCTATGTTAGAAAGGGAAATATCTTCCGGTAACAACTAGGCAGAAGCATTCTCAGAAACTTATTTGAGATGTGGTGTACTCAACTAAGAGAATTGAACCACCGTTTTGAAGGACCAGTTTTGAAACACTCTTTTTCTGGAATCTGCAAGAGGATATTTGCCTAGCCTTGAGGATTTCGTTGGAAACGGGATTGTCTTCAGATCAAATCTAGACAGAAGCATTCTCAGAAACTTCTTTGGGATGTTTGCATTCAAGTCACAGAGTAGAACATTCCCTTTGGTAGAGCAGGTTTGAAACACTCTTTTTTTAGTATATGGAAGTGGACATTTGGAGCGCTTTCAGGCCTACGTTGGAAAAGGAAATATCTTCCCATAACAACTAGACAGAAGCATTCTCAGAAACTAGTTTCTGATGTGTGTCCTCAACTAACACAGTTGAACATTTCTTTAGACAGAATAGTTTTGAAACACTCTTTTTGTGGAATCTGCAAGTGGCTATTTGGCTAGATTTGAGGATTTCGTTGGAAACGGGATTACATATAAAAAGCAGACAGCAGCATTCTCAGAAAGTTCTTTGTGATGATTGCATTCAAGTCACAGAATTGAACATTCCCTTTCACAGAGCAGGTTTGAAACACTCTTTTTGTAGTGTGTGTAAGTGGACATTTGGAGCGCTTTCCGGCCTAAGGTGAAAAAGGAAATATCTTCCCATAAAAACTAGACAGAAGCATTCTCAGAAACTTACTCGTGATGTGTGTCCTCAACTAAAGGAGTAGAACCTTTCTATTCATAGAGAAGTTTTCAAACGCTCTTTTTGTGGAATCTCCAAGTGGATATTTGGCTAGTTTTGAGGATTTCGTTGGAAGCGGGAATTCATACAAATTGCAGACTGCAGCGTTCTGAGAAACTGCTTTCTGATGTTTGCATTCAAGTCAAAAGTTGAACACTCCCTTTCATAGAGCAGTCCTGAAACACTCCTTTTGTAGTATCTGGAACTGGACTTTTGGAGCGCTTTCAGGGCTAAGGTGAAAAAGGAAATATCTTCCCATAAAAACTGGACAGAAGCATTCTCAGAAACTTGTTTATGCTGTATCTACTCTACTAACAAAGTTGAACCTTTCTTTTGATAGAGCAGTTTTGAAATGCTCTTTTTGTGGAATCTGCAAGTGGATATTTGGCTAGATTTGAGGATTTCGTTGGAAGCTGGAATTCATACAAATTGCAGACTGCAGCGTTCTGAGAAACATCTTTGTGATGTTTGTATTCAGGACAGAGAGTTGAACATTCCCTGTCATAGAGCAGGTTGGAATCACTCCTTTTGTAGTATCTGGAAGTGGACATTTGGAGCGCTTTCAGGCCTATGTTGAAAAAGGAAATATCTTCCCATAACAACTAGACACAAGCATTCTCAGAAACTTATTTGAGATGTGTGTACTCAACTAAGAGAATTGAACCACCGTTTTGAAGGAGCAGTTTTGAAACTCTCTTTTTCTGGAATCTGCAAGTGGATATTTGGCTAGCTTTGGGGATTTCGCTGGAAGCGGGAATACATATAAAAAGCACACAGCAGCGTTCTGAGAAACTGCTTTCTGATGTTTGCATTCAAGTCAAAAGTTGAACACTCCCTTTCATAGAGCAGTCCTGAAACACCCCTTTTGTAGTATCTGGAACTGGACTTTTGGAGCGATTTCAGGGCTAAGGTGAAAAAGGAAATATCTTCCCATAAAAACTGGACAGAAGCATTCTCAGAAACTTGGTTATGCTGTATCTACTCAACTAACAAAGTTGAACCTTTCTTTTGATAGAGCAGTTTTGAAATGGTCTTTTTGTGGAATCTGCAAGTGGATATTTGGCTAGTTTTGAGGATTTCGTTGGAAGCGGGAATTCATACAAATTGCAGACTGCAGCGTTCTGAGAAACATCTTTGTGATGTTTGTATTCAGGACACAGAGTTGAACATTCCCTATCATAGAGCAGGTTGGAATCACTCCTTTTGTAGTATCTGGAAGTGGACATTTGGAGCGCTTTCAGGCCTATTTTGGAAAGGGAAATATCTTCCCGTAACAACTATGCAGAAGCATTCTCAGAAACTTGTTTGTGATGTGTGCCCTCTACTGACAGAGTTGAACCTTTCTTTTCATAGAGCAGTTTTGAAACACTCTTTTTGTAGAATCTGCAAGAGGATATTTGCATAGCTTTGAGGATTTCGTGGGAAACGGGATTGTCTTCAGGTAAAATCTAGACAGAAGCATTCTCAGAAACTTCTTTGGGATGTTTGCATTCAAGTCACAGAGTAGAACATTCCCTTTGGTAGAGCAGGTTTGAAACACTCTTTTTGTAGTATCTGGAAGTGGACATTTGGAGCGCTTTCAGGCCTATGTTGGAAAGGGAAATATCTTCCCGTAACAACTAGGCAGAAGCATTCTCAGAAACTTATTTGAGATGTGTGTACTCATCTAAGAGAATTGAACAACCGTTTTGAAGGAGCAGTTTTGAAACACTCTTTTTCTGGAATCTGCAAGAGTATATTTGCCTAGCCTTGAGGATTTCGTTGGAAACGGGATTGTCTTCAGAGAAAATCTAGACAGAAGCATTCTCAGAAACTTCTTTGGGATGTTTGCATTCAAGTCACAGAGTAGAACATTCCCTTTGGTAGAGCAGGTTTGAAACACTCTTTTTTTAGTATATGGAAGTGGACATTTGGAGCACTTTCAGGCCTACGTTGGAAAAGGAAATATCTTCCCATAACAACTAGACAGAGAGCATTCTCAGAAACTAGTTTCTGATGTGTGTCCTCAACTAACACAGTTGAACATTTCTTTAGACAGAACAGTTTTGAAACACTCTTTTTGTGGAATCTGCAAGTGGCTATTTGGCTAGATTTGAGGATTTCGTTGGAAACGGGATTACATATAAAAAGCAGACAGCAGCATTCTCAGAAACTTCTTTGTGATGATTGCATTCAAGTCACAGAATTGAACATTCCCTTTCACAGAGCAGGTTTGAAACACTCTTTTTGTAGTGTGTGTAAGTGGACATTTGGAGCACTTTCCGGCCTAAGGTGAAAAAGGAAATATCTTCCCATAAAAACTAGACAGAAGCATTCTCAGAAACTTACTCGTGATGTGTGTCCTCAACTAAAGGAGTAGAACCTTTCTTTTCATAGAGAAGTTTTGAAACGCTCTTTTTGTGGAATCTGCAAGTGGATATTTGGCTAGTTTTGAGGATTTCGTTGGAAGCGGGAATTCATACAAATTGCAGACTGCAGCGTTCTGAGAAACTGCTTTCTGATGTTTGCATTCAAGTCAAAAGTTGAACACTCCCTTTCATAGAGCAGTCCTGAAACACCCCTTTTGTAGTATCTGGAACTGGACTTTTGGAGCGATTTCAGGGCTAAGGTGAAAAAGGAAATATCTTCCCATAAAAACTGGACAGAAGCATTCTCAGAAACTTGTTTATGCTGTATCTACTCAACTAACAAAGTTGAACCTTTCTTTTGATAGAGCAGTTTTGAAATGCTCTTTTTGTGGAATCTGCAAGTGGATATTTGGCTAGTTTTGAGGATTTCGTTGGAAGCGGGAATTCATACAAATTGCAGACTGCAGCGTTCTGAGAAACATCTTTGTGATGTTTGTATTCAGGACAGAGAGTTGAACATTCCCTATCATAGAGCAGGTTGGAATCACTCCTTTTGTAGTATCTGGAAGTGGACATTTGGAGCGCTTCAGGCCTATGTTGAAAAAGGAAATATCTTCCCATAACAACTAGACACAAGCATTCTCAGAAACTTGTTTGTGATGTGTGCCCTCTGCTGACAGAGTTGAACCTTTCTTTTCATAGAGCAGTTTTGAAACACTCTTTTTGTAGAATCTGCAAGAGGATATTTGCATAGCTTTGAGGATTTCGTGGGAAACGGGATTGTCTTCAGGTAAAATCTAGACAGAAGCATTCTCAGAAACTTCTTCGGGATGTTTGCATTCAAGTCACAGAGTAGAACATTCCCTTCGGTAGAGCAGGTTTGAAACACTCTTTTTGTAGTATCTGGAAGTGGACATTTGTTGCGCTTTCAGGCCTATGTTGGAAAGGGAAATATCTTCCCGTAACAACTAGGCAGAAGCATTCTCAGAAACTTATTTGAGATGTGTGTACTCAACTAAGAGAATTGAACCACCGTTTTGAAGGAGCAGTTTTGAAACACTCTTTTTCTGGAATCTGCAAGAGTATATTTGCCTAGCCTTGAGGATTTCGTTGGAAACGGGATTGTCTTCAGAGAAAATCTAGACAGAAGCATTCTCAGAAACTTCTTTGGGATGCTTGCATTCCAGTCACAGAGTAGAACATTCCCTTTGGTAGAGCAGGTTTGAAACACTCTTTTTTTAGTATCTGGAAGTGGACATTTGGAGCGCTTTCAGGCCTACGTTGGAAAAGGAAATATCTTCCCATAACAACTAGACAGAAGCATTCTCAGAAACTAGTTTCTGATGTGTGTCCTCAACTAACACAGTTGAACATTTCTTTAGACAGAACAGTTTTGAAACACTCTTTTTGTGGAATCTGCAAGTGGCTATTTGGCTAGATTTGAGGATTTCATTGGAAACGGGATTACATATAAAAAGCAGTCAGCAGCATTCTCAGAAAGTTCTTTGTGATGATTGCATTCAAGTCAAAGAATTGAACATTCCCTTTCACAGAGCAGGTTTGAAACACTCTTTTTATAGTGTGTGTAAGTGGACATTTGGAGCACTTTCCGGCCTAAGGTGAAAAAGGAAATATCTTCCCATAAAAACTAGACAGAAGCATTCTCAGAAACTTACTCGTGATGTGTGTCCTCAACTAAAGGAGTAGAACCTTTCTTTTCATAGAGAAGTTTTGAAACGCTCTTTTTGTGGAATCTGCAAGTGGATATTTGGCTAGTTTGGAGGATTTCGTTGGAAGCGGGAATTCATACAAATTGCAGACTGCAGCGTTCTGAGAAACATCTTTGTGATGTTTGTATTCAGGACACAGAGTTGAACATTCCCTATCATAGAGCAGGTTGGAATCACTCCTTTTGTAGTATCTGGAAGTGGACATTTGGAGCGCTTTCAGGCCTATGTTGGAAAAGGAAATATCTTCCCATAACAACTAGACAGAAGCATTCTCAGAAACTTATTTGAGATGTGTGTACTCAACTAAGAGAATTGAACCACCGTTTTGAAGGAGCAGTTTTGAAACACTCTTTTTCTGGAATCTGCAAGTGGATATCTGGCTAGCTTTGGGGATTTCGCTGGAAGCGGGAATACATATAAAAAGCACACAGCAGCGTTCTGAGAAACTTCTTTCTGATGTTCGCATTCAAGTCAAAAGTTGAACACTCCCTTTCGTAGAGCAGTCTTGAAACTCCCCTTTTGTGGTATCTGGAAGTGGACATTTGGAGTGCTTTCAGGGCTAAGGTGAAAAAGGAAATATCTTCCCATAAAAACTGGACAGAAGCATTCTCAGAAACTTGTTTATGCTGTATCTACTCAGCTAACAAAGTTGAACCTTTCTTTTGATAGAGCAGTTTTGAAATGCTCTTTTTGTGGAGTCTGCAAGTGGATATTTGGCTAGTTTTGAGGATTTCGTTGGAAGCGGGAATTCATACAAATTGCAGACTGCAGCGTTCTGAGAAACATCTTTGTGATGTTTGTATTCAGGACACAGAGTTGAACATTCCCTATCATAGAGCAGGTTGGAATCACTCCTTTTGTAGTATCTGGAAGTGGCCATTTCGAGCGCTTTCAGGCCTATGTTGAAAAAGGAAATATCTTCCCATAACAAGTAGACACAAGCATTCTCAGAAACTTGTTTGTGATGTGTGCCCTCTACTGACAGAGTTGAACCTTTCTTTTCATAGAGCAGTTTCGAAACACTCTTTTTGTAGAATCTACAAGAGGATATTTGCATAGCTTTGAGGATTTCGTGGGAAACGGGATTGTCTTCAGGTAAAATCTAGACAGAAGCATTCTCAGAAACTTCTTTGGGATGTTTACATTCAAGTCACAGAGTAGAACATTCCCTTTGGTAGAGCAGGTTTGAAACCCTCTTTTTGTAGTATCTGGAAGTGGACATTTGGAGCGCTTTCTGGCCCATGTTGCAAAGGGAAATATCTTCCCGTAACAACTAGGCAGAAGCATTCTCAGAAACTTATTTGAGATGTGTGTACTCAACTAAGAGAATTGAACCACCGTTTTGAAGGAGCAGTTTTGAAACACTCTTTTTCTGGAATCTGCAAGAGTATATTTGCCTAGCCTTGAGGATTTCGTTGGAAACGGGATTGTCTTCAGATAAAATCTAGACAGAAGCATTCTCAGAAACTTCTTTGGGATGTTTGCATTCAAGTCACAGAGTAGAACATTCTCTTTGGTAGAGCAGGTTTGAAACACTCTTTTTTTAGTATATGGAAGTGGACATTTGGAGCGCTTTCAGGCCTACGTTGGAAAAGGAAATATCTTCCCATAACAACTAGACAGACAAGCATTCTCAGAAACTAGTTTCTGATGTGTGTCCTCAACTAACACAGTTGTACATTTCTTTAGACAGAACAGTTTTGAAACACTCTTTTTGTGGAATCTGCAAGTGGATATTGGGCTAGATTTGAGGATTTCGTTGGAAACGGGATTACATATAAAAAGCAGACAGCAGCATTCTCAGAAAGTTCTTTGTGATGATTGCATTCAAGTCACAGAATTGAACATTCCCTTTCACAGAGCAGGTTTGAAACACTCTTTTTGTAGTGTGTGTAAGTGGACATTTGGAGCACTTTCCGGCCTAAGGTGAAAAAGGAAATATCTTCCCATAAAAACTAGACAGAAGCATTCTCAGAAACTTACTCGTGATGTGTGTCCTCAACTAAAGGAGTAGCACCTTTCTATTCATAGAGAAGTTTTGAAACGCTCTTTTTGTGGAATCTCCAAGTGGATATTTGGCTAGTTTTGAGGATTTCGTTGGAAGCGGGAATTCATACAAATTGCAGACTGCAGCGTTCTGAGAAACATCTTTGTGATGTTTGTATTCAGGACACAGAGTTGAACATTCCCTATCATAGAGCAGGTTTGAATCACTCCTTTTGTAGTATCTGGAAGTGGACATTTGGAGCGCTTTCAGGCCTATGTTGGAAAAGGAAATATCTTCCCATAACAACTAGACAGAAGCATTCCCAGAAACTTATTTGAGATGTGTGTACTCAACTAAGAGAATTGAACCACCGTTTTGAAGGAGCAGTTTGGAAACACTCTTTTTCTGGAATCTGCAAGTGGATATTTGGCTAGCTTTGGGGATTTCGCTGGAAGCGGGAATACATATAAAAAGCACACAGCAGCGTTCTGAGAAACTGCTTTCTGATGTTTGCATTCAAGTCAAAAGTTGAACACTCCCTTTCATAGAGCAGTCTTGAAACACCCCTTTTGTAGTATCTGGAACTGGACTTTTGGAGCGATTTCAGGGCTAAGGTGAAAAAGGAAATATCTTCCCATAAAAACTGGACAGAAGCATTCTCAGAAACTTGTTTATGCTGTATCTACTCAACTAACAAAGTTGAACCTTTCTTTTGATAGAGCAGTTTTGAAATGCTCTTTTTGTGGAATCTGCAAGTGGATATTTGGCTAGTTTTGAGGATTTCGCTGGAAGCGGGAATTCATACAAATTGCAGACTGCAGCGTTCTGAGAAACGTCTTTGTGATGTTTGTATTCAGGACACAGAGTTGAACATTCCCTATCATAGAGCAGGTTGGAATCACTCCTTTTGTAGTATCTGGAAGTGGACATTTGGAGCGCTTTCAGGCCTATGTTGAAAAAGGAAATATCTTCCCATAACAACTAGACAGAAGCATTCTCAGAAACTTGTTTGTGATGTGTGCCCTCTACTGACAGAGTTGAACCTTTCTTTTCATAGAGCAGTTTCGAAACACTCTTTTTGTAGAATCTGCAAGAGGATATTTGCATAGCTTTGAGGATTTCGTGGGAAACGGGATTGTCTCCAGGTAAAATCTAGACAGAAGCATTCTCAGAAACTTCTTTGGGATGTTTGCATTCAAGTCACAGAGTAGAACATTCCCTTTGGTAGAGCAGGTTTGAAACACTCTTTTTGTAGTATCTGGAAGTGGACATTTGGAGCGCTTTCAGGCCCATGTTGGAAAGGGAAATATCTTCCCGTAACAACTAGGCAGAAGCATTCTCAGAAACTTATTTGAGATGTGTGTACTCAACTAAGAGAATTGAATCACCGTTTTGAAGGAGCAGTTTTGAAACACTCTTTTTCTGGAATCTGCAAGAGGATATTTGCCTAGCCTTGAGGATTTCGTTGGAAACGGGATTGTCTTCAGATCAAATCTAGACAGAAGCATTCTCAGAAACTTCTTTGGGATGTTTGCATTCAAGTCACAGAGTAGAACATTCCCTTTGGTAGAGCAGGTTTGAAACACTCTTTTTTTAGTATATGGAAGTGGACATTTGCAGCGCTTTCAGCCCACGTTGGAAAAGGAAATATCTTCCCATAACAACTAGACAGAAGCATTCTCAGAAACTAGTTTCTGATGTGTGTCCTCAACTAACACAGTTGAACATTTCTTTAGACAGAACAGTTTTGAAACACTCTTTTTGTGGAATCTGCAAGTGGCTATTTGGCTAGATTTGAGGATTTCGTTGGAAACGGGATTACATATAAAAAGCAGACAGCAGCATTCTCAGAAAGTTCTTTGTGATGATTGCATTCAAGTCACAGAATTGAACATTCCCTTTCACAGAGCAGGTTTGAAACACTCTTTTTATAGTGTGTGTAAGTGGACATTTGGAGCACTTTCCGGCCTAAGGTGAAAAAGGAAATATCTTCCCATAAAAACTAGACAGAAGCATTCTCAGAAACTTACTCGTGATGTGTGTCCTCAACTAAAGGAGTAGAACCTTTCTTTTCATAGAGAAGTTTTGAAACGCTCTTTTTGTGGAATCTGCAAGTGGATATTTGGCTAGTTTGGAGGATTTCGTTGGAAGCGGGAATTCATACAAATTGCAGACTGCAGCGTTCTGAGAAACTGCTTTCTGATGTTTGCATTCAAGTCAAAAGTTGAACACTCCCTTTCATAGAGCAGTCTTGAAACACCCCTTTTGTAGTATCTGGAACTGGACTTTTGGAGCGATTTTAGGGCTAAGGTGAAAAAGGAAATATCTTCCCATAAAAACTGGACAGAAGCATTCTCAGAAACTTGTTTATGCTGTATCTACTCAACTAACAAAGTTGAACCTTTCTTTTGATAGAGCAGTTTTGAAATGGTCTTTTTGTGGAATCTGCAAGTGGATATTTGGCTAGTTTTGAGGATTTCGTTGGAAGCGGGAATTCATACAAATTGCAGACTGCAGCGTTCTGAGAAACATCTTTGTGATGTTTGTATTCAGGACACAGAGTTGAACATTCCCTATCATAGAGCAGGTTGGAATCACTCCTTTTGTAGTATCTGGAAGTGGACATTTGGAGCGCTTTCAGGCCTATGTTGAAAAAGGAAATATCTTCCCATAACAACTAGACACAAGCATTCTCAGAAACTTGTTTGTGATGTGTGCCCTCTACTGACAGAGTTGAACCTTTCTTTTCATAGAGCAGTTTTGAAACACTCTTTTTGTAGAATCTGCAAGAGGATATTTGCATAGCTTTGAGGATTTCGTGGGAAACGGGATTGTCTTCAGGTAAAATCTAGACAGAAGCATTCTCAGAAACTTCTTTGGGATGTTTGCATTCAAGTCACAGAGTAGAACATTCCCTTTGGTAGAGCAGGTTTGAAACACTCTTTTTGTAGTATCTGGAAGTGGACATTTGGAGCGCTTTCAGGCCCATGTTGGAAAGGGAAATATCTTCCCGTAACAACTAGGCAGAAGCATTCTCAGAAACTTATTTGAGATGTGTGTACTCCACTAAGAGAATTGAACCACCGTTTTGAAGGAGCAGTTTTGAAACACTCTTTTTCTGGAATCTGCAAGAGTATATTTGCCTAGCCTTGAAGATTTCGTTGGAAACGGGATTGTCTTCAGATAAAATCTAGACAGAAGCATTCTCAGAAACTTCTTTGGGATGTTTGCATTCAAGTCACAGAGTAGAACATTCCCTTTGGTAGAGCAGGTTTGAAACACTCCTTTTTTAGTATATGGAAGTGGACATTTGGAGCGCTTTCAGGCCTACGTTGGAAAAGGAAATATCTTCCCATAACAACTAGACAGAAGCATTCTCAGAAACTAGTTTCTGATGTGTGTCCTCAACTAACACAGTTGAACTTTTCTTTAGACAGAACAGTTTTGAAACACTCTTTTTGTGGAATCTGCAAGTGGATATTTGGCTAGATTTGAGGATTTCGTTGGAAACGGGATTACATATAAAAAGCAGACAGCAGCATTCTCAGAAAGTTCTTTGTGATGATTGCATTCAAGTCACAGAATTGAACATTCCCTTTCACAGAGCAGGTTTGAAACACTCTTTTTGTAGTGTGTGTAAGTGGACATTTGGAGCGCTTTCCGGCCTAAGGTGAACAAGGAAATATCTTCCCATAAAAACTAGACAGAAGCATTCTCAGAAACTTACTCGTGATGTGTGTCCTCAACTAAAGGAGTAGAACCTTTCTATTCATAGAGAAGTTTTGAAATGCTCTTTTTGTGGAATCTCCAAGTGGATATTTGGCTAGTTTTGAGGATTTCGTTGGAAGCGGGAATTCATACAAATTGCAGACTGCAGCGTTCTGAGAAACATCTTTGTGATGTTTGTATTCAGGACACAGAGATGAACATTCCCTATGATAGAGCAGGTTGGAATCACTCCTTTTGTAGTATCTGGAAGTGGACATTTGGAGCGCTTTCAGGCCTATGTTGAAAAAGGAAATATCTTCCCATAACAACTAGACACAAGCATTCTCAGAAACTTATTTGAGATGTGTGTACTCAACTAAGAGAATTGAACCACCGTTTTGAAGGAGCAGTTTTGAAACACTCTTTTTCTGGAATCTGCAAGTGGATATTTGGCTAGCTTTGGGGATTTCGCTGGAAGCGGGAATACATATAAAAAGCACACAGCAGCGTTCTGAGAAACTGCTTTCTGATGTTTGCATTCAAGTCAAAAGTTGAACACTCCCTTTCATAGAGCAGTCTTGAAACACCCCTTTTGTAGTATCTGGAACTGGACTTTTGGAGCGATTTCAGGGCTAAGGTGAAAAAGGAAATATCTTCCCATAAAAACTGGACAGAAGCATTCTCAGAAACTTGTTTATGCTGTATCTACTCAACTAACAAAGTTGAACCTTTCTTTTGATAGAGCAGTTTTGAAATGGTCTTTTTGTGGAATCTGCAAGTGGATATTTGGCTAGTTTTGAGGATTTCGTTGGAAGCGGGAATTCATACAAATTGCAGACTGCAGCGTTCTGAGAAACATCTTTGTGATGTTTGTATTCAGGACAGAGAGTTGAACATTCCCTATCATAGAGCAGGTTGGAATCACTCCTTTTGTAGTATCTGGAAGTGGACATTTGGAGCGCTTTCAGGCCTATGTTGAAAAAGGAAATATCTTCCCATAACAACTAGACACAAGCATTCTCAGAAACTTGTTTGTGATGTGTGCCCTCTACTGACAGAGTTGAACCTTTCTTTTCATAGAGCAGTTTTGAAACACTCTTTTTGTAGAATCTGCAAGAGGATATTTGCATAGCTTTGAGGATTTCGTGGGAAACCGGATTGTCTTCAGGTAAAATCTAGACAGAAGCATTCTCAGAAACTTCTTTGGGATGTTTGCATTCAAGTCACAGAGTAGAACATTCCCTTTGGTAGAGCAGGTTTGAAACACTCTTTTTGTAGTATCTGGAAGTGGACATTTGGAGCGCTTTCAGGCCTATGTTGGAAAGGGAAATATCTTCCCGTAACAACTAGGCAGAAGCATTCTCAGAAACTTATTTGAGATGTGTGTACTCAACTAAGAGAATTGAACCACCGTTTTGAAGGAGCAGTTTTGAAACACTCTTTTTCTGGAATCTGCAAGAGGATATTTACCTAGCCTTGAGGATTTCGTTGGAAACGGGATTGTCTTCAGATCAAATCTAGACAGAAGCATTCTCAGAAACTTCTTTGGGATGTTTGCATTCATGTCACAGAGTAGAACATTCCCTTTGGTAGAGCAGGTTTGAAACACTCTTTTTTAAGTATATGGAAGTGGACATTTGGAGCGCTTTCAGGCCTACGTTGGAAAAGGAAATATCTTCCCATAACAACTAGACAGAAGCATTCTCAGAAACTAGTTTCTGATGTGTGTCCTCAACTAACACAGTTGAACTTTTCTTTAGACAGAGCAGTTTTGAAACACTCTTTTTGTGGAATCTGCAAGTGGATATTGGGCTAGATTTGAGGATTTCGTTGGAAACGGGATTACATATAAAAAGCAGACAGCAGCATTCTCAGAAAGTTCTTTGTGATGATTGCATTCAAGTCACAGAATTGAACATTCCCTTTCACAGAGCAGGTTTGAAACACTCTTTTTGTAGTGTGTGTAAGTGGACATTTGGAGCGCTTTCCAGCCTAAGGTGAAAAAGGAAATATCGTCCCATAAAAACTAGACAGAAGCACTCTCAGAAACTTACTCGTGATGTGTGTCTTCAACTAAAGGAGTAGAACCTTTGTTTTCATAGAGAAGTTTTGAAACGCTCTTTTTGTGGAATCTGCAAGTGGATATTTGGCTAGTTTGGAGGATTTCGTTGGAAGCGGGAATTCATACAAATTGCAGACTGCAGCGTTCTGAGAAACATCTTTGTGATGTTTGTATTCAGGACACAGAGTTGAACATTCCCTATCATAGAGCAGGTTTGAATCACTCCTTTTGTAGTATCTGGAAGTGGACATTTGGAGCGCTTTCAGGCCTATGTTGGAAAAGGAAATATCTTCCCATAACAACTAGACAGAAGCATTCTCAGAAACTTATTTGAGATGTGTGTACTCAACTAAGAGAATTGAACCACCGTTTTGAAGGAGCAGTTTTGAAACTCTCTTTTTCTGGAATCTGCAAGTGGATATTTGGCTAGCTTTGGGGATTTCGCTGGAAGCGGGAATACATATAAAAAGCACACAGCAGCGTTCTGAGAAACTGCTTTCTGATGTTTGCATTCAAGTCAAAAGTTGAACACTCCCTTTCATAGAGCAGTCTTGAAACACCCCTTTTGTAGTATCTGGAACTGGACTTTTGGAGCGATTTCAGGGCTAAGGTGAAAAAGGAAATATCTTCCCATAAAAACTGGACAGAAGCATTCTCAGAAACTTGTTTATGCTGTATCTACTCAACTAACAAAGTTGAACCTTTCTTTTGATAGAGCAGTTTTGAAATGCTCTTTTTGTGGAATCTGCAAGCGGATATTTGGCTAGTTTTGAGGATTTCGTTGGAAGCGGGAATTCATACAAATTGCAGACTGCAGCGTTCTGAGAAACATCTTTGTGATGTTTGTATTCAAGACACAGAGATGAACATTCCCTATCATAGAGCATGATGGAATCACTCCTTTTGTAGTATCTGGAAGTGGACATTTGGAGCGCTTTCAGGCCTATGTTGAAAAAGGAAATATCTTCCCATAACAACTAGACACAAGCGTTCTCAGAAACTTGTTTGTGATGTGTGCCCTCCACTGACAGAGTTGAACCTTTCTTTTCATAGAGCAGTTTTGAAACACTCTTTTTGTAGAATCTGCAAGAGGATATTTGCATAGCTTTGAGGATTTCGTGGGAAACGGGATTGTCTTCAGGTAAAATCTAGACAGAAGCATTCTCAGAAACTTCTTTGGGATGTTTGCATTCAAGTCACAGAGTAGAACATTCCCTTTGGTAGAGCAGGTTTGAAACACTCTTTTTGTAGTATCTGGAAGTGGACATTTGGAGCGCTTTCAGGCCTATGTTGGAAAGGGAAATATCTTCCCGTAACAACTAGGCAGAAGCATTCTCAGAAACTTATTGGAGATGTGTGTACTCAACTAAGAGAATTGAACCACCGTTTTGAAGGAGCAGTTTTGAAACACTCTTTTTCTGGAATCTGCAAGAGGATATTTGCCTAGCTTTGAGGATTTCGTTGGAAACGGGATTGTCTTCAGATCAAATCTAGACAGAAGCATTCTCAGAAACTTCTTTGGGATGTTTGCATTCAAGTCACAGAGTAGAACATTCCCTTTGGTAGAGCAGGTTTGAAACACTCTTTTTTTAGTATATGGAAGTGGACATTTGGAGCGCATTCAGGCCTACGTTGGAAAAGGAAATATCTTCCCATAACAATTAGACAGAAAGCATTCTCAGAAACTAGTTTCTGATGTGTGTCCTCAACTAACACAGTTGAACATTTCTTTAGACAGAACAGTTTTGAAACTCTCTTTTTGTGGAATCTGCAAGTGGCTATTTGGCTAGATTTGAGGATTTCGTTGGAAACGGGATTACATATAAAAAGCAGACAGCAGCATTCTCAGAAAGTTCTTTGTGATGATTGCATTCAAGTCACAGAATTGAACATTCCCTTTCACAGAGCAGGTTTGAAACACTCTTTTTATAGTGTGTGTAAGTGGACATTTGGAGCACTTTCCGGCCTAAGGTGAAAAAGGAAATATCTTCCCATAAAAACTAGACAGAAGCATTCTCAGAAACTTACTCGTGATGTGTGTCCTCAACTAAAGGAGTAGAACCTTTGTTTTCATAGAGAAGTTTTGAAACGCTCTTTTTGTGGAATCTGCAAGTGGATATTTGGCTAGTTTGGAGGATTTCGTTGGAAGCGGGAATTCATACAAATTGCAGACTGCAGCGTTCTGAGAAACTGCTTTCTGATGTTTGCATTCAAGTCAAAAGTTGAACACTCCCTTTCATAGAGCAGTCTTGAAACACCCCTTTTGTAGTATCTGGAACTGGAAATTTGGAGCGCTTTCAGGGCTAAGGTGAAAAAGGAAATATCTTCCCATAAAAACTGGACAGAAGCATTCTCAGAAACTTGTTTATGCTGTATCTACTCAACTAACAAAGTTGAACCTTTCTTTTGATAGAGCAGTTTTGAAATGCTCTTTTTGTGGAATCTGCAAGTGGATATTTGGCTAGTTTTGAGGATTTCGGTTGGAAGCGGGAATTCATACAAATTGCAGACTGCAGCGTTCTGAGAAACATCTTTGTGATGTTTGTATTCAGGACACAGAGTTGAACATTCCCTATCATAGAGCAGGTTGGAATCACTCCTTTTGTAGTATCTGGAAGTGGACATTTGGAGCGCTTTCAGGCCTATTTTGGAAAGGGAAATATCTTCCCGTAACAACTATGCAGAAGCATTCTCAGAAACTTGTTTGTGATGTGTGCCCTCTACTGACAGAGTTGAACCTTTCTTTTCATAGAGCAGTTTTGAAACACTCTTTTTGTAGAATCTGCAAGAGGATATTTGCATAGCTTTGAGGATTTCGTGGGAAACGGGATTGTCTTCAGGTAAAATCTAGACAGAAGCATTCTCAGAAACTTCTTTGGGATGTTTGCATTCAAGTCACAGAGTAGAACATTCCCTTTGGTAGAGCAGGTTTGAAACACTCTTTTTGTAGTATCTGGAAGTGGACATTTGGAGCGCTTTCAGGCCCATGTTGGAAAGGGAAATATCTTCCCGTAACAACTAGGCAGAAGCATTCTCAGAAACTTATTTGAGATGTGTGTACTCAACTAAGAGAATTGAACCACCGTTTTGAAGGAGCAGTTTTGAAACACTCTTTTTCTGGAATCTGCAAGAGTATATTTGCCTAGCCTTGAGGATTTCGTTGGAAACGGGATTGTCTTCAGAGAAAATCTAGACAGAAGCATTCTCAGAAACTTCTTTGGGATGCTTGCATTCAAGTCACAGAGTAGAACATTCCCTTTGGTAGAGCAGGTTTGAAACACTCTTTTTGTAGTATCTGGAAGTGGACATTTGGAGCGCTTTCAGGCCTACGTTGGAAAAGGAAATATCTTCCCATAACAACTAGACAGAAGCATTCTCAGAAACTAGTTTCTGATGTGTGTCCTCAACTAACACAGTTGAACATTTCTTTAGACAGAACAGTTTTGAAACACTCTTTTTGTGGAATCTGCAAGTGGCTATTTGGCTAGATTTGAGGATTTCGTTGGAAACGGGATTACATATAAAAAGCAGTCAGCAGCATTCTCAGAAAGTTCTTTGTGATGATTGCATTCAAGTCACAGAATTGAACATTCCCTTTCACAGAGCAGGTTTGAAACACTCTTTTTGTAGTGTGTGTAAGTGGACATTTGGAGCACTTACCGGCCTAAGGTGAAAAAGGAAATAATCTTCCCATAAAAACTAGACAGAAGCATTCTCAGAAACTTACTCGTGATGTGTGTCCTCAACTAAAGGAGTAGAACCTTTCTTTTCATAGAGAAGTTTTGAAACGCTCTTTTTGTGGAATCTGCAAGTGGATATTTGGCTAGTTTTGAGGATTTCGTTGGAAGCGGGAATTCATACAAATTGCAGACTGCAGCATTCTCAGAAACTTATTTGAGATGTGTGTACTCAACTAAGAGAATTGAACCACCGTTTTGAAGGAGCAGTTTTGAAACACTCTTTTTCTGGAATCTGCAAGTGGATATTTGGCTAGCTTTGGGGATTTCGCTGGAAGCGGGAATACATATAAAAAGCACACAGCAGCGTTCTGAGAAACTGCTTTCTGATGTTTGCATTCAAGTCAAAAGTTGAACACTCCCTTTCATAGTGCAGTCCTGAAACACTCCTTTTGTAGTATCTGGAACTGGACTTTTGGAGCGCTTTCAGGGCTAAGGTGAAAAAGGAAATATCTTCCCATAAAAACTGGACAGAAGCATTCTCAGAAACTTGTTTATGCTGTATCTACTCAACTAACAAAGTTGAACCTTTCTTTTGATAGAGCAGTTTTGAAATGCTCTTTTTGTGGAATCTGCAAGTGGATATTTGGCTAGTTTTGAGGATTTCGTTGGAAGCGGGAATTCATACAAATTGCAGACTGCAGCGTTCTGAGAAACATCTTTGTGATGTTTGTATTCAGGACAGAGAGTTGAACATTCCCTATCATAGAGCAGGTTGGAATCACTCCTTTTGTAGTATCTGGAAGTGGACATTTGGAGCGCTTTCAGGCCTATGTTGAAAAAGGAAATATTTTCCCATAACAACTAGACACAAGCATTCTCAGAAACTTGTTTGTGATGTGTGCCCTCTACTGACACAGTTGAACCTTTCTTTTCATAGAGCACTTTCGAAACACTCTTTTTGTAGAATCTGCAAGAGGATATTTGCATAGCTTTGAGGATTTCGTGGGAAACGGGATTGTCTTCAGGTAAAATCTAGACAGAAGCATTCTCAGAAACTTCTTTGGGATGTTTGCATTCAAGTCACAGAGTAGTACATTCCCTTTGGTAGAGCAGGTTTGAAACACTCTTTTTGTAGTGTGTGTAAGTGGACATTTGGAGCGCTTTCAGGCCTACGTTGGAAAAGGAAATATCTTCCCATAACAACTAGACAGAAGCATTCTCAGAAACTAGTTTCTGATGTGTGTCCTCAACTAACACAGTTGAACATTTCTTTAGACAGAACAGTTTTGAAACACTCTTTTTGTGGAATCTGCAAGTGGCTATTTGGCTAGATTTGAGGATTTCGTTGGAAACGGGATTACATATAAAAAGCAGTCAGCAGCATTCTCAGAAAGTTCTTTGTGATGATTGCATTCAAGTCACAGAATTGAACATTCCCTTTCACAGAGCAGGTTTGAAACACTCTTTTTGTAGTGTGTGTAAGTGGACATTTGGAGCACTTTCCGGCCTAAGGTGAGAAAGGAAATATCTTCCCATAAAAACTAGACAGAAGCATTCTCAGAAACTTACTCGTGATGTGTGTCCTCAACTAAAGGAGTAGAACCTTTCTTTTCATAGAGAAGTTTTGAAACGCTCTTTTTGTGGAATCTGCAAGTGGATATTTGGCTAGTTTGGAGGATTTCGTTGGAAGCGGGAATTCATACAAATTGCAGACTGCAGCGTTCTGAGAAACATCTTTGTGATGTTTGTATTCAGGACACAGAGTTGAACATTCCCTATCATAGAGCAGGTTGGAATCACTCCTTTTGTAGTATCTGGAAGTGGACATTTGGAGCGCTTTCAGGCCTATGTTGGAAAAGGAAATATCTTCCCATAACAACTAGACAGAAGCATTCTCAGAAACTTATTTGAGATGTGTGTACTCAACTAAGAGAATTGAACCACCGTTTTGAAGGAGCAGTTTTGAAACACTCTTTTTCTGGAATCTGCAAGTGGATATTTGGCTAGCTTTGGGGATTTCGCTGGAAGCGGGAATACATATAAAAAGCACACAGCAGCGTTCTGAGAAACTGCTTTCTGATGTTTGCATTCAAGTCAAAAGTTGAACACTCCCTTTCATAGAGCAGTCCTGAAACACTCCTTTTGTAGTATCTGGAACTGGACTTTTGGAGCGCTTTCAGGGCTAAGGTGAAAAAGGAAATATCTTCCCATAAAAACTGGACAGAAGCATTCTCAGAAACTTGTTTATGCTGTATCTACTCAACTAACAAAGTTGAACCTTTCTTTTGATAGAGCAGTTTTGAAATGCTCTTTTTGTGGAATCTGCAAGTGGATATTTGGCTAGTTTTGAGGATTTCGTTGGAAGCGGGAATTCATACAAATTGCAGACTGCAGCGTTCTGAGAAACATCTTTGTGATGTTTGTATTCAGGACAGAGAGTTGAACATTCCCTATCATAGAGCAGGTTGGAATCACTCCTTTTGTAGTATCTGGAAGTGGACATTTGGAGCGCTTTCAGGCCTATGTTGAAAAAGGAAATATCTTCCCATAACAACTAGACACAAGCATTCTCAGAAACTTGTTTGTGATGTGTGCCCTCTACTAACAGAGTTGAACCTTTCTTTTCATAGAGCAGTTTGAAACACTCTTTTTGTAGAATCTGCAGGAGGATATTTGCATAGCTTTGAGGATTTCGTTGGAAACGGGATTGTCTTCAGATAAAATCCAGACAGAAGCATTCTCAGAAACTTCTTTGGGATGCTTGCATTCAAGTCACAGAGTAGAACATTCCCTTTGGTAGAGCAGGTTTGAAACACTCTTTTTGTAGTATCTGGAAGTGGACATTTGGAGCGCTTTCAGGCCTACGTTGGAAAAGGAAATATTCTTCCCATAACAACTAGACAGAAGCATTCTCAGAAACTAGTTTCTGATGTGTGTCCTCAACTAACACAGTTGAACATTTCTTTAGACAGAACAGTTTTGAAACACTCTTTTTGTGGAATCTGCAAGTGGCTATTTGGCTAGATTTGAGGATTTCGTTGGAAACGGGATTACATATAAAAAGCAGTCAGCAGCAGTCTCAGAAAGTTCATTGTGATGATTGCATTCAAGTCACAGAATTGAACATTCCCTTTCACAGAGCAGGTTTGAAACACTCTTTTTGTAGTGTGTGTAAGTGGACATTTGGAGCACTTTCCGGCCTAAGGTGAAAAAGGAAATATCTTCCCATAAAAACTAGACAGAAGCATTCTCAGAAACTTACTCGTGATGTGTGTCCTCAACTAAAGGAGTAGAACCTTTCTATTCATAGAGAAGTTTTGAAACGCTCTTTTTGTGGAATCTCCAAGTGGATATTTGGCTAGTTTTGAGGATTTCGTTGGAAGCGGGAATTCATACAAATTGCAGACTGCAGCATTCTCAGAAACTTGTTTATGCTGTATCTACTCAACTAACAAAGTTGAACCTTTCTTTTGATAGAGCAGTTTTGAAATGCTCTTTTTGTGGAATCTGCAAGTGGATATTTGGCTAGTTTTGAGGATTTCGTTGGAAGCGGGAATTCATACAAATTGCAGACTGCAGCGTTCTGAGAAACATCTTTGTGATGTTTGTATTCAGGACAGAGAGTTGAACATTCCCTATCATAGAGCAGGTTGGAATCACTCCTTTTGTAGTATCTGGAAGTGGACATTTGGAGCGCTTTCCGGCCTAAGGTGAAAAAGGAAATATCTTCCCATAAAAACTAGACAGAAGCATTCTCAGAAACTTGTTTGTGATGTGTGCCCTCTACTGACAGAGTTGAACCTTTCTTTTCATAGAGCAGTTTTGAAACACTCTTTTTGTAGAATCTGCAAGAGGATATTTGCATAGCTTTGAGGATTTCGTGGGAAACGGGATTGTCTTCAGGTAAAATCTAGACAGAAGCATTCTCAGAAACTTCTTTGGGATGTTTGCATTCAAGTCACAGAGTAGAACATTCCCTTTGGTAGAGCAGGTTTGAAACACTCTTTTTGTAGTGTCTGGAAGTGGACATTTGGAGCGCTTTCAGGCCTATGTTGGAAAGGGAAATATCTTCCCGTAACAACTAGGCAGAAGCATTCTCAGAAACTTATTTGAGATGTGTGTACTCAACTAAGAGAATTGAACCACCGTTTTGAAGGAGCAGTTTTGAAACACTCTTTTTCTGGAATCTGCAAGAGGATATTTGCCTAGCCTTGAGGATTTCGTTGGAAACGGGATTGTCTTCAGATCAAATCTAGACAGAAGCATTCTCAGAAACTTCTTTGGGATGTTTGCATTCAAGTCACAGAGTAGAACATTCCCTTTGGTAGAGCAGGTTTGAAACACTCTTTTTGTAGTGTGTGTAAGTGGACATTTGGAGCGCTTTCAGGCCTACGTTGGAAAAGGAAATATCTTCCCATAACAACTAGACAGAAGCATTCTCAGAAACTAGTTTCTGATGTGTGTCCTCAACTAACACAGTTGAACATTTCTTTAGACAGAACAGTTTTGAAACACTCTTTTTGTGGAATCTGCAAGTGGATATTTGGCTACATTTGAGGATTTCGTTGGAAACGGGATTACATATAAAAAGCAGACAGCAGCATTCTCAGAAAGTTCTTTGTGATGATTGCATTCAAGTCACAGAATTGAACATTCCCTTTCACAGAGCAGGTTTGAAACACTCTTTTTGTAGTGTGTGTAAGTGGACATTTGGAGCACTTTCCGGCCTAAGGTGAAAAAGGAAATATCTTCCCATAAAAACTAGACAGAAGCATTCTCAGAAACTTACTCGTGATGTGTGTCCTCAACTAAAGGAGTAGAACCTTTCTTTTCATAGAGAAGTTTTGAAACGCTCTTTTTGTGGAATCTGCAAGTGGATATTTGGCTAGTTTTGAGGATTTCGTTGGAAGCGGGAATTCATACAAATTGCAGACTGCAGCGTTCTGAGAAACATCTTTGTGATGTTTGTATTCAGGACACAGAGTTGAACGTTCCCTATCATAGAGCAGGTTTGAATCACTCCTTTTGTAGTATCTGGAAGTGGACATTTGGAGCGCTTTCCGGCCTCAGGTGAAAAAGGAAATATCTTCCCATAAAAACTAGACAGAAGCATTCTCAGAAACTTATTTGAGATGTGTGTACTCAACTAAGAGAATTGAACCACCGTTTTGAAGGAGCAGTTTTGAAACTCTCTTTTTCTGGAATCTGCAAGTGGATATTTGGCTAGCTTTGGGGATTTCGCTGGAAGCGGGAATACATATAAAAAGCACACAGCAGCGTTCTGAGAAACTGCTTTCTGATGTTTGCATTCAAGTCAAAAGTTGAACACTCCCTTTCATAGAGCAGTCTTGAAACACCCCTTTTGTAGTATCTGGAACTGGACTTTTGGAGCGATTTCAGGGCTAAGGTGAAAAAGGAAATATCTTCCCATAAAAACTGGACAGAAGCATTCTCAGAAACTTGTTTATGCTGTATCTACTCAACTAACAAAGTTGAACCTTTCTTTTCATAGAGCAGTTTTGAAATGGTCTTTTTGTGGAATCTGCAAGTGGATATTTGGCTAGTTTTGAGGATTTCGTTGGAAGCGGGAATTCATACAAATTGCAGACTGCAGCGTTCTGAGAAACATCTTTGTGATGTTTGTATTCAGGACACAGAGTTGAACATTCCCTATCATAGAGCAGGTTGGAATCACTCCTTTTGTAGTATCTGGAAGTGGACATTTGGAGCGCTTTCAGGCCTATTTTGGAAAGGGAAATATCTTCCCGTAACAACTATGCAGAAGCATTCTCAGAAACTTGTTTGTGATGTGTGCCCTCTACTGACAGAGTTGAACCTTTCTTTTCATAGAGCAGTTTTGAAACACTCTTTTTGTAGAATCTGCAAGAGGATATTTGCATAGCTTTGAGGATTTCGTGGGAAACGGGATTGTCTTCAGGTAAAATCTAGACAGAAGCATTCTCAGAAACTTCTTTGGGATGTTTGCATTCAAGGCACAGAGTAGAACATTCCCTTTGGTAGAGCAGGTTTGAAACGCTCTTTTTGTAGTATCTGGAAGTGGACATTTGGAGCGCTTTCAGGCCCATGTTGGAAAGGGAAATATCTTCCCGTAACAACTAGGCAGAAGCATTCTCAGAAACTTATTTGAGATGTGTGTACTCAACTAAGAGAATTGAACCACCGTTTTGAAGGAGCAGTTTTGAAACACTCTTTTTCTGGAATCTGCAAGAGGATATTTGCCTAGCCTTGAGGATTTCGTTGGAAACGGGATTGTCTTCAGAGAAAATCTAGACAGAAGCATTCTCAGAAACTTCTTTGGGATGTTTGCATTCAAGTCACAGAGTAGAACATTCCCTTTGGTAGAGCAGGTTTGAAACACTCTTTTTTTAGTATATGGAAGTGGACATTTTGATCGCTTTCAGGCCTACGTTGGAAAAGGAAATATCTTCCCATAACAACTAGACAGAAGCATTCTCAGAAACTAGTTTCTGATGTGTGTCCTCAACTAACACAGTTGAACATTTCTTTAGACAGAACAGTTTTGAAACACTCTTTTTGTGGAATCTGCAAGTGGCTATTTGGCTAGATTTGAGGATTTCGTTGGAAACGGGATTACATATAAAAAGCAGTCAGCAGCATTCTCAGAAAGTTCTTTGTGATGATTGCATTCAAGTCACAGAATTGAACATTCCCTTTCACAGAGCAGGTTTGAAACACTCTTTTTGTAGTGTGTGTAAGTGGACATTTGGAGCACTTACCGGCCTAAGGTGAAAAAGGAAATATCTTCCCATAAAAACTAGACAGAAGCATTCTCAGAAACTTACTCGTGATGTGTGTCCTCAACTAAAGGAGTAGAACCTTTCTATTCATAGAGAAGTTTTGAAACGCTCTTTTTGTGGAATCTCCAAGTGGATATTTGGTTAGTTTTGAGGATTTCGTTGGAAGCGGGAATTCATACAAATTGCAGACTGCAGCGTTCTGAGAAACATCTTTGTGATGTTTGTATTCAAGACACAGAGATGAACATTCCCTATCATAGAGCATGTTGGAATCACTCCTTTTGTAGTATCTGGAAGTGGACATTTGGACCGCTTTCAGGCCTATGTTGAAAAAGGAAATATCTTCCCATAACAACTAGACACAAGCATTCTCAGAAACTTGTTTGTGATGTGTGCCCTCTACTGACAGAGTTGAACCTTTCTTTTCATAGAGCAGTTTTGAAACACTCTTTTTGTAGAATCTGCAAGAGGATATTTGCATAGCTTTGAGGATTTCGTGGGAAACGGGATTGTCTTCAGGTAAAATCTAGACAGAAGCATTCTCAGAAACTTCTTTGGGATGTTTGCATTCAAGTCACAGAGTAGAACATTCCCTTTGGTAGAGCAGGTTTGAAACACTCTTTTTGTAGTATCTGGAAGTGGACATTTGGAGCGCTTTCAGGCCCATGTTGGAAAGGGAAATATCTTCCCGTAACAACTAGGCAGAAGCATTCTCAGAAACTTATTTGAGATGTGTGTACTCAACTAAGAGAATTGAACCACCGTTTTGAAGGAGCAGTTTTGAAACACTCTTTTTCTGGAATCTGCAAGAGTATATTTGCCTAGCCTTGAGGATTTCGTTGGAAACGGGATTGTCTTCAGATAAAATCTAGACAGAAGCATTCTCAGAAACTTCTTTGGGATGTTTGCATTCAAGTCACAGAGTAGAACATTCCCTTTGGTAGAGCAGGTTTGAAACACTCTTTTTTTAGTATATGGAAGTGGACATTTGGAGCGCTTTCAGGCCTACGTTGGAAAAGGAAATATCTTCCCATAACAACTAGACAGAAGCATTCTCAGAAACTAGTTTCTGATGTGTGTCCTCAACTAACACAGTTGAACATTTCTTTAGACAGAACAGTTTTGAAACACTCTTTTTGTGGAATCTGCAAGTGGCTATTTGGCTAGATTTGAGGATTTCGTTGGAAACGGGATTACATATAAAAAGCAGTCAGCAGCATTCTCAGAAAGTTCTTTGTGATGATTGCATTCAAGTCACAGAATTGAACATTCCCTTTCACAGAGCAGGTTTGAAACACTCTTTTTGTAGTGTGTGTAAGTGGACATTTGGAGCGCTTTCCGGCCTAAGGTGAAAAAGGACATATCTTCCCATAAAAACTAGACAGAAGCATTCTCAGAAACTTACTCGTGATGTGTGTCCTCAACTAAAGGAGTAGAACCTTTCTATTCATAGAGAAGTTTTGAAACGCTCTTTTTGTGGAATCTCCAAGTGGATATTTGGCTAGTGTTGAGGATTTCGTAGGAAGCGGGAATTCATCCAAATTGCAGACTGCAGCGTTCTGAGAAACATCTTTGTGATGTTTGTATTCAGGACACAGAGATGAACATTCCCTATCATAGAGCAGGTTGGAATCACTCCTTTTGTAGTATCTGGAAGTGGACATTTGGAGCGCTTTCAGGCCTATGTTGAAAAAGGAAATATCTTCCCATAACAACTAGACACAAGCATTCTCAGAAACTTATTTGAGATGTGTGTACTCAACTAAGAGAATTGAACCACCGTTTTGAAGGAGCAGTTTTGAAACACTCTTTTTCTGGAATCTGCAAGTGGATATTTGGCTAGCTTTGGGGATTTCGCTGGAAGCGGGAATACATATAAAAAGCACACAGCAGCGTTCTGAGAAACTGCTTTCTGATGTTTGCATTCAAGTCAAAAGTTGAACACTCCCTTTCATAGAGCAGTCTTGAAACACCCCTTTTGTAGTATCTGGAACTGGACTTTTGGAGCGATTTCAGGGCTAAGGTGAAAAAGGAAATATCTTCCCATAAAAACTGGACAGAAGCATTCTCAGAAACTGGTTTATGCCGTATCTACTCAACTAACAAAGTTGAACCTTTCTTTTGATAGAGCAGTTTTGAAATGCTCTTTTTGTGGAATCTGCAAGTGGATATTTGGCTAGGTTTGAGGATTTCGTTGGAAGCGGGAATTCATACAAATTGCAGACTGCACCGTTCTCAGAAAAATCTTTGTGATGTCTGTATTCAGGACACAGAGTTGAACATTCCCTATCATAGAGCAGGTTGGAATCACTCCTTTTGTAGTATCTGGAAGTGGACATTTGGAGCGCTTTCAGGCCTATGTTGAAAAAGGAAATATCTTCCCATAACAACTAGGCAGAAGCATTCTCAGAAACTTGTTTGTGATGTGTGCCCTCTACTGACACAGTTGAACCTTTCTTTTCATAGAGCAGTTTCGAAACACTCTTTTTGTAGAATCTGCAAGAGGATATTTGCTTAGCTTTGAGGATTTCGTGGGAAACGGGATTGTCTTCAGGTAAAATCTAGACAGAAGCATTCTCAGAAACTTCTTTGGGATGTTTGCATTCAAGTCACAGAGTAGAATAATCCCTTTGGTAGAGCAGGTTTGAAACACTCTTTTTTTAGTATATGGAAGTGGACATTTGGAGCGCTTTCAGGCCTACGTTGGAAAAGGAAATATCTTCCCATAACAACTAGACAGAAGCATTCTCAGAAACTAGTTTCTGATGTGTGTCCTCAACTAACACAGTTGAACATTTCTTTAGACAGAACAGTTTTGAAACACTCTTTTTGTGGAATCTGCAAGTGGATATTTGGCTAGATTTGAGGATTTCGTTGGAAACGGGATTACATATAAAAAGCAGACAGCAGCATTCTCAGAAAGTTCTTTGTGATGATTGCATTCAAGTCACAGAATTGAACATTCCCTTTCACAGAGCAGGTTTGAAACACTCTTTTTGTAGTGTGTGTAAGTGGACATTTGGAGCACTTACCGGCCTAAGGTGAAAAAGGAAATATCTTCCCATAAAAACTAGACAGAAGCATTCTCAGAAACTTACTCGTGATGTGTGTCCTCAACTAAAGGAGTAGAACCTTTCTATTCATAGAGAAGTTTTGAAACGCTCTTTTTGTGGAATCTCCAAGTGGATATTTGGCTAGTTTTGAGGATTTCGTTGGAAGCGGGAATTCATACAAATTGCAGACTGCAGCGTTCTGAGAAACATCTTTGTGATGTTTGTATTCAGGACACAGAGTTGAACATTCCCTATCATAGAGCAGGTTTGAATCACTCCTTTTGTAGTATCTGGAAGTGGACATTTGGAGCGCTTTCAGGCCTATGTTGCAAAAGGAAATATCTTCCCATAACAACTAGACAGAAGCATTCTCAGAAACTTATTTGAGATGTGTGTACTCAACTAAGAGAATTGAACCACCGTTTTGAAGGAGCAGTTTTGAAACACTCTTTTTCTGGAATCTGCAAGTGGATATTTGGCTAGCTTTGGGGATTTCGCTGGAAGCGGGAATACATATAAAAAGCACACAGCAGCGTTCTGAGAAACTGCTTTCTGATGTTTGCATTCAAGTCAAAAGTTGAACACTCCCTTTCATAGAGCAGTCCTGAAACACTCCTTTTGTAGTATCTGGAACTGGACTTTTGGAGCGCTTTCAGGGCTAAGGTGAAAAAGGAAATATCTTCCCATAAAAACTGGACAGAAGCATTCTCAGAAACTTACTCGTGATGAGTGTCCTCAACTAAAAGAGTAGAACCTTTCTTTTCATAGAGAAGTTTTGAAACGCTCTTTTTGTGGAATCTGCAAGTGGATATTTGGCTGGTTTGGAGGATTTCGTTGGAAGCGGGAATTCATACAAGTTGCAGACTGCAGCGTTCTGAGAAACACCTTTGTGATGTTTGTATTCAGGACACAGAGTTGAACATTCCCTATCATAGAGCATGTTTGAATCACTCCTTTTGTAGTATCTGGAAGTGGACATTTGGAGCGCTTTCAGGCCTATGTTGAAAAAGGAAAAATCTTCCCATAACAACTAGACAGAAGCATTCTCAGAAACTTGTTGGTGATGTGTTTCCTCTACTGACAGAGTTGAACCTTTCTTTTCATAGAGCAGTTTTGAAACACTCTTTTTGTAGAATCTGCAAGAGGATATTTGCATAGCTCTGAGGATTTCGTGGGAAACGGGATTGTCTTCAGGTAAAATCTAGACAGAAGCATTCTCAGAAAACTTCTTTGGGATGTTTGCATTCAAGTCACAGAGTAGAACATTCCCTTTGGTAGAGCAGGTTTGAAACACTCTTTTTGTAGTATCTGGAAGTGGACATTTGGAGCGCTTTCAGGCCTATGTTGGAAAGGGAAATATCTTCCGGTAACAACTAGGCAGAAGCATTCTCAGAAACTTATTTGAGATGTGTGTACTCAACTAAGAGAATTGAACCACCGTTTTGAAGGAGCAGTTTTGAAACACTCTTTTTCTGGAATCTGCAAGAGGATATTTGCCTAGCTTTGAGGATTTCGTTGGAAACGGGATTGTGTTCAGATCAAATCTAGACAGAAGCATTCTCAGAAACTTCTTTGGGATGCTTGCATTCAAGTCACAGAGTAGAACATTCCCTTTGGTAGAGCAGGTTTGAAACACTCTTTTTGTAGTATCTGGAAGTGGACATTTGGAGCGCTTTCAGGCCTACGTTGGAAAAGGAAATATCTTCCCATAACAACTAGACAGAAGCATTCTCAGAAACTAGTTTCTGATGTGTGTCCTCAACTAAAACAGTTGAACATTTCTTTAGACAGAACAGTTTTGAAACACTCTTTTTGTGGAATCTGCAAGTGGATATTTGGCTACATTTGAGGATTTCGTTGGAAACGGGATTACATATAAAAAGCAGACAGCAGCATTCTCAGAAAGTTCTTTGTGATGATTGCATTCAAGTCACAGAATTGAACATTCCCTTTCACAGAGCAGGTTTGAAACACTCTTTTTGTAGTGTGTGTAAGTGGACATTTGGAGCACTTACCGGCCTAAGGTGAAAAAGGAAATATCTTCCCATAAAAACTAGACAGAAGCATTCTCAGAAACTTATTTGAGATGTGTGTACTCAACTAAGAGAATTGAAGCACCGTTTTGAAGGAGCAGTTTTGAAACACTCTTTTTCTGGAATCTGCAAGTGGATATTTGGCTAGCTTTGGGGATTTCGCTGGAAGCGGGAATACATATAAAAAGCACACAGCAGCGTTCTGAGAAACTGCTTTCTGATGTTTGCATTCAAGTCAAAAGTTGAACACTCCCTTTCATAGAGCAGTCTTGAAACACCCCTTTTGTAGTATCTGGAACTGGACTTTTGGAGCGATTTCAGGGCTAAGGTGAAAAAGGAAATATCTTCCCATACAAACTGGACAGAAGCATTCTCAGAAACTTGTTTATGCTGTATCTACTCAACTAACAAAGTTGAACCTTTCTTTTGATAGAGCAGTTTTGAAATGGTCTTTTTGTGGAATCTGCAAGTGGATATTTGGCTAGTTTTGAGGATTTCGTTGGAAGCGGGAATTCATACAAATTGCAGACTGCAGCGTTCTGAGAAACATCTTTGTGATGTTTGTATTCAGGACACAGAGTTGAACATTCCCTATCATAGAGCAGGTTGGAATCACTCCTTTTGTAGTATCTGGAAGTGGACATTTGGAGCGCTTTCAGGCCTATGTTGAAAAAGGAAATATCTTCCCATAACAACTAGACACAAGCATTCTCAGAAACTTGTTTGTGATGTGTGCCCTCTAGTGACAGAGTTGAACCTTTCTTTTCATAGAGCAGTTTTGAAACACTCTTTTTGTAGAATCTGCAAGAGGATATTTGCATAGCTTTGAGGATTTCGTGGGAAACGGGATTGTCTTCAGGTAAAATCTAGACAGAAGCATTCTCAGAAACTTCTTTGGGATGTTTGCATTCAAGTCACAGAGTAGAACATTCCCTTTGGTAGAGCAGGTTTGAAACACTCTTTTTGTAGTATCTGGAAGTGGACATTTGAAGCGCTTTCAGGCCTATGTTGGAAAGGGAAATATCTTCCCGTAACAACTAGGCAGAAGCATTCTCAGAAACTTATTTGAGATGTGTGTACTCAAGTAAGAGAATTGAACCACCGTTTTGAAGGAGCAGTTTTGAAACACTCTTTTTCTGGAATCTGCAAGAGGATATTTGCCTAGCCTTGAGGATTTCGTTGGAAACGGGATTGTCTTCAGATCAAATCTAGACAGAAGCATTCTCAGAAACTTCTTTGGGATGTTTGCATTCAAGTCACAGAGTAGAACGTTCCCTTTGGTAGAGCAGGTTTCAAACACTCTTTTTTTAGTATATGGAAGTGGACATTTGGAGCGCTTTCAGGCCTACGTTGGAAAAGGAAATATCTTCCCATAACAACTAGACAGAAGCATTCTCAGAAACTAGTTTCTGATGTGTGTCCTCAACTAACACAGTTGAACTTTTCTTTAGACAGAACAGTTTTGAAACACTCTTTTTGTGGAATCTGCAAGTGGATATTTGGCTAGATTTGAGGATTTCGTTGGAAACGGGATTACATATAAAAAGCAGACAGCAGCATTCTCAGAAAGTTCTTTGTGATGATTGCATTCAAGTCACAGAATTGAACATTCCCTTTCACAGAGCAGGTTTGAAACACTCTTTTTGTAGTGTGTGTAAGTGGACATTTGGAGCGCTTTCCGGCCTAAGGTGAAAAAGGAAATATCTTCCCATAAAAACTAGACAGAAGCATTCTCAGAAACTTACTCGTGATGTGTGTCCTCAACTAAAGGAGTAGAACCTTTCTCTTCATAGAGAAGTTTTGAAACGCTCTTTTTGTGGAATCTCCAAGTGGATATTTGGCTAGTTTTGAGGATTTCGTTGGAAGCGGGAATTCATACAAATTGCAGACTGCAGCATTCTCAGAAACTTGTTTATGCTGTATCTACTCAGCTAACAAAGTTGAACCTTTCTTTTGATAGAGCAGTTTTGAAATGCTCTTTTTGTGGAGTCTGCAAGTGGATATTTGGTTAGTTTTGAGGATTTCTTTGGAAGCGGGAATTCATACAAATTGCAGACTGCAGCGTTCTGAGAAACATCTTTGTGATGTTTGTATTCAGGACACAGAGTTGAACATTCCCTATCATAGAGGAGGTTGGAATCACTCCTTTTGTAGTATCTGGAAGTGGACATTTGGAGCGCTTTCAGGCCTATGTTGAAAAAGGAAATATCTTCCCATAACAAGTAGACACAAGCATTCTCAGAAACTTGTTTGTGATGTGTGCCCTCTACTGACAGAGTTGAACCTTTCTTTTCATAGAGCAGTTTTGAAACACTCTTTTTGTAGAATCTGCAAGAGGATATTTGCATAGCTTTGAGGATTTCGTGGGAAACGGGATTGTCTTCAGGTAAAATCTAGACAGAAGCATTCTCAGAAACTTCTTTGGGATGTTTGCATTCAAGTCACAGAGTAGAACATTCCCTTTGGTAGAGCAGGTTTGAAACACTCTTTTTGTAGTATCTGGAAGTGGACATTTGGAGCGCTTTCAGGCCCATGTTGGAAAGGGAAATATCTTCCCGTAACAACTAGGCAGAAGCATTCTCAGAAACTTATTTGAGATGTGTGTACTCAACTAAGAGAATTGAACCACCGTTTTGAAGGAGCAGTTTTGAAACACTCTTTTTCTGGAATCTGCAAGAGTATATTTGCCTAGCCTTGAGGATTTCGTTGGAAACGGGATTGTCTTCAGATCAAATCTAGACAGAAGCATTCTCAGAAACTTCTTTGGGATGTTTGCATTCAAGTCACAGAGTAGAACATTCCCTTTGGTAGAGCAGGTTTGAAACACTCTTTTTTTAGTATATGGAAGTGGACATTTGGAGCGCTTTCAGGCCTACGTTGGAAAAGGAAATATCTTCCCATAACAACTAGACAGAAGCATTCTCAGAAACTAGTTTCTGATGTGTGTCCTCAACTAACACAGTTGAACATTTCTTTAGACAGAACAGTTTTGAAACACTCTTTTTGTGGAATCTGCAAGTGGCTATTTGGCTAGATTTGAGGATTTCGTTGGAAACGGGATTACATATAAAAAGCAGACAGCAGCATTCTCAGAAAGTTCTTTGTGATGATTGCATTCAAGTCACAGAATTGAACATTCCCTTTCAGAGAGCGGGTTTGAAACACTCTTTTTGTAGTGTGTGTAAGTGGACATTTGGAGCACTTTCCGGCCTAAGGTGAAAAAGGAAATATCTTCCCATAAAAACTAGACAGAAGCATTCTCAGAAACTTACTCGTGATGTGTGTCCTCAACTAAAGGAGTAGAACCTTTCTTTTCATAGAGAAGTTTTGAAACGCTCTTTTTGTGGAATCTGCAAGTGGATATTTGGCTAGTTTTGAGGATTTCGTTGGAAGCGGGAATTCATACAAATTGCAGACTGCAGCGTTCTGAGAAACATCTTTGTGATGTTTGTATTCAGGACACAGAGTTGAACATTCCCTATCATAGAGCAGGTTGGAATCACTCCTTTTGTAGTATCTGGAAGTGGACATTTGGAGCGCTTTCAGGCCTATGTTGGAAAAGGAAATATCTTCCCATAACAACTAGACAGAAGCATTCTCAGAAACTTATTTGAGATGTGTGTACTCAACTAAGAGAATTGAACCACCGTTTTGAAGGAGCAGTTTTGAAACACTCTTTTTCTGGAATCTGCAAGTGGATATTTGGCTAGCTTTGGGGATTTCGCTGGAAGCGGGAATACATATAAAAAGCACACAGCAGCGTTCTGAGAAACTGCTTTCTGATGTTTGCATTCAAGTCAAAAGTTGAACACTCCCTTTCATAGAGCAGTCTTGAAACACCCCTTTTGTAGTATCTGGAACTGGACTTTTGGAGCGATTTCAGGGCTAAGGTGAAAAAGGAAATATCTTCCCATAAAAACTGGACAGAAGCATTCTCAGAAACTTGGTTATGCTGTATCTACTCAACTAACAAAGTTGAACCTTTCTTTTGATAGAGCAGTTTTGAAATGGTCTTTTTGTGGAATCTGCAAGTGGATATTTGGCTAGTTTTGAGGATTTCGTTGGAAGCGGGAATTCATACAAATTGCAGACTGCAGCGTTCTGAGAAACATCTTTGTGATGTTTGTATTCAAGACACAGAGATGAACATTCCCTATCATAGAGCATGTTGGAATCACTCCTTTTGTAGTATCTGGAAGTGGACATTTGGAGCGCTTTCAGGCCTATGTTGAAAAAGGAAATATCTTCCCATAACAACTAGACAGAAGCATTCTCAGAAACTTGTTTGTGATGTGTGCCCTCTACTGACAGAGTTGAACCTTTCTTTTCATAGAGCAGTTTTGAAACACTCTTTTTGTAGAATCCGCAAGAGGATATTTGCATAGCTTTGAGGATTTCGTGGGAAACGGGATTGTCTTCAGGTAAAATCTAGACAGAAGCATTCTCAGAAACTTCTTTGGGATGTTTGCATTCAAGTCACAGAGTAGAACATTCCCTTTGGTAGAGCAGGTTTGAAACACTCTTTTTGTAGTATCTGGAAGTGGACATTTGGAGCGCTTTCAGGCCTATGTTGGAAAGGGAAATATCTTCCCGTAACAACTAGGCAGAAGCATTCTCAGAAACTTATTTGAGATGTGTGTACTCAACTAAGAGAATTGAACCACCGTTTTGAAGGAGCAGTTTTGAAACACTCTTTTTCTGGAATCTGCAAGAGGATATTTGCCTAGCCTTGAGGATTTCGTTGGAAACGGGATTGTCTTCAGATCAAATCTAGACAGAAGCATTCTCAGAAACTTCTTTGGGATGTTTGCATTCAAGTCACAGAGTAGAACATTCCCTTTGGTAGAGCAGGTTTGAAACACTCTTTTTTTAGTATATGGAAGTGGACATTTGGAGCGCTTTCAGGCCTACGTTGGAAAAGGAAATATCTTCCCATAACAACTAGACAGAAGCATTCTCAGAAACTAGTTTCTGATGTGTGTCCTCAACTAACACAGTTGAACATTTCTTTAGACAGAACAGTTTTGAAACACTCTTTTTGTGGAATCTGCAAGTGGCTATTTGGCTAGATTTGAGGATTTCGTTGGAAACGGGATTACATATAAAAAGCAGACAGCAGCATTCTCAGAAACTTCTTTGTGATGATTGCATTCAAGTCACAGAATTGAACATTCCCTTTCACAGAGCAGGTTTGAAACACTCTTTTTGTAGTGTGTGTAAGTGGACATTTGGAGCACTTTCCGGCCTAAGGTGAAAAAGGAAATATCTTCCCATAAAAACTAGACAGAAGCATTCTCAGAAACTTACTCGTGATGTGTGTCCTCAACTAAAGGAGTAGAACCTTTCTTTTCATAGAGAAGTTTTGAAACGCTCTTTTTGTGGAATCTGCAAGTGGATATTTGGCTAGTTTTGAGGATTTCGTTGGAAGCGGGAATTCATACAAATTGCAGACTGCAGCGTTCTGAGTAAACTGCTTTCTGATGTTTGCATTCAAGTCAAAAGTTGAACACTCCCTTTCATAGAGCAGTCCTGAAACACTCCTTTTGTAGTATCTGGAACTGGACTTTTGGAGCGCTTTCAGGGCTAAGGTGAAAAAGGAAATATCTTCCCATAAAAACTGGACAGAAGCATTCTCAGAAACTTGTTTATGCTGTATCTACTCAACTAACAAAGTTGAACCTTTCTTTTGATAGAGCAGTTTTGAAATGCTCTTTTTGTGGAATCTGCAAGTGGATATTTGGCTAGTTTTGAGGATTTCGTTGGAAGCGGGATTTCATACAAATTGCAGACTGCAGCGTTCTGAGAAACATCTTTGTGATGTTTGTATTCAGGACAGAGAGTTGAACATTCCCTATCATAGAGCAGGTTGGAATCACTCCTTTTGTAGTATCTGGAAGTGGACATTTGGAGCGCTTTCAGGCCTATGTTGAAAAAGGAAATATCTTCCCATAACAACTAGACACAAGCATTCTCAGAAACTTGTTTGTGATGTGTGCCCTCTACTGACAGAGTTGAACCTTTCTTTTCATAGAGCAGTTTTGAAACACTGTTTTTGTAGAATCCGCAAGAGGATATTTGCATACCTTTGAGGATTTCGTGGGAAACGGGATTGTCTTCAGGTAAAATCTAGACAGAAGCATTCTCAGAAACTTCTTTGGGATGTTTGCATTCAAGTCACAGAGTAGAACATTCCCTTTGGTAGAGCAGGTTTGAAACACTCTTTTTGTAGTATCTGGAAGTGGACATTTGGAGCGCTTTCAGGCCTATGTTGGAAAGGGAAATATCTTCCCGTAACAACTAGGCAGAAGCATTCTCAGAAACTTATTTGACATGTGTGTACTCAACTAAGAGAATTGAACCACCGTTTTGAAGGAGCAGTTTTGAAACACTCTTTTTCTGGAATCTGCAAGAGTATATCTTCCTAGCTTTGTGGATTTCGTTGGAAACGGGATTGTCTTCAGATAAAATCTAGACAGAAGCATTCTCAGAAACTTCTTTGGGATGTTTGCATTCAAGTCACAGAGTAGAACATTCCCTTTGGTAGAGCAGGTTTGAAACACTCTTTTTTTAGTATATGGAAGTGGACATTTTGATCGCTTTCAGGCCTACGTTGGAAAAGGAATTATCTTCCCATAACAACTAGACAGAAGCATTCTCAGAAACTAGTTTCTGATGTGTGTCCTCAACTAACACAGTTGAACATTTCTTTAGACAGAACAGTTTTGAAACACTCTTTTTGTGGAATCTGCAAGTGGCTATTTGGCTAGATTTGAGGATTTCGTTGGAAACGGGATTACATATAAAAAGCAGTCAGCAGCATTCTCAGAAAGTTCTTTGTGATGATTGCATTCAAGTCACAGAATTGAACATTCCCTTTCACAGAGCAGGTTTGAAACACTCTTTTTGTAGTGTGTGTAAGTGGACATTTGGAGCACTTACCGGCCTAAGGTGAAAAAGGAAATATCTTCCCATAAAAACTAGACAGAAGCATTCTCAGAAACTTACTCGTGATGTGTGTACTCAAGTAAAGGAGTAGAAACTTTCTTTTCATAGAGAAGTTTTGAAACGCTCTTTTTGTGGAATCTGCAAGTGGATATTTGGCTAGTTTTGAGGATTTCGTTGGAAGCGGGAATTCATACAAATTGCAGACTGCAGCGTTCTGAGAAACATCTTTGTGATGTTTGTATTCAGGACACAGAGTTGAACATTCCCTATCATAGAGCAGGTTTGAATCACTCCTTTTGTAGTATCTGGAAGTGGACATTTGGAGCGCTTTCAGGCCTATGTTGGAAAAGGAAATATCTTCCCATAACAAATGGACAGAAGCATTCTCAGAAACTTATTTGAGATGTGTGTACTCAACTAAGAGAATTGAACCACCGTTTTGAAGGAGCAGTTTTGAAACACTCTTTTTCTGGAATCTGCAAGTGGATATTTGGCTAGCTTTGGGGATTTCGCTGGAAGCGGGAATACATATAAAAAGCACACAGCAGCGTTCTGAGCAAACTGCTTTCTGATGTTTGCATTCAAGTCAAAAGTTGAACACTCCCTTTCATAGAGCAGTCTTGAAACACCCCTTTTGTAGTATCTGGAACTGGACTTTTGGAGCGATTTCAGGGCTAAGGTGAAAAAGGAAATATCTTCCCATAAAAACTGGACAGAAGCATTCTCAGAAACTTGGTTATGCTGTATCTACTCAACTAACAAAGTTGAACCTTTCTTTTGATAGAGCAGTTTTGAAATGGTCTTTTTGTGGAATCTGCAAGTGGATATTTGGCTAGTTTTGAGGATTTCGTTGGAAGCGGGAATTCATACAAATTGCAGACTGCAGCGTTCTGAGAAACATCTTTGTGATGTTTGTATTCAGGACACAGAGATGAACATTCCCTATCATAGAGCAGGTTGGAATCACTCCTTTTGTAGTATCTGGAAGTGGACATTTGGAGCGCTTTCAGGCCTATGTTGAAAAAGGAAATATCTTCCCATAACAACTAGACACAAGCATTCTCAGAAACTTGTTTGTGATGTGTGCCCTCTACTGACAGAGTTGAACCTTTCTTTTCATAGAGCAGTTTTGAAACACTCTTTTTGTAGAATCTGCAAGAGGATATTTGCATAGCTTTGAGGATTTCGTGGGAAACGGGATTGTCTTCAGGTAAAATCTAGACAGAAGCATTCTCAGAAACTTCTTTGGGATGTTTGCATTCAATTCACAGAGTAGAACATTCCCTTTGGTAGAGCAGGTTTGAAACACTCTTTTTGTAGTATCTGGAAGTGGACATTTGGAGCGCTTTCAGGCCTATGTTGGAAAGGGAAATATCTTCCCTTAACAACTAGGCAGAAGCATTCTCAGAAACTTATTTGAGATGTGTGTACTCAACTAAGAGAATTGAACCACCGTTTTGAAGGAGCAGTTTTGAAACCCTCTTTTTCTGGAATCTGCAAGAGTATATTTGCCTAGCCTTGAGGATTTCGTTGGAAACGGGATTGTCTTCAGATAAAATCTAGACAGAAGCATTCTCAGAAACTTCTTTGGGATGTTTGCATTCAAGTCACAGAGTAGAACATTCCCTTTGGTAGAGCAGGTTTGAAACACTCTTTTTTTAGTATATGGAAGTGGACATTTGGAGCGCTTTCAGGCCTATGTTGGAAAAGGAAATATCTTCCCATAACAACTAGACAGAAGCATTCTCAGAAACTAGTTTCTGATGTGTGACCTCAACTAACACAGTTGAACATTTCTTTAGACAGAACAGCTTTGAAACACTCTTTTTGTGGAATCTGCAAGTGGCTATTTGGCTAGATTTAAGGATTTCGTTGGAAACGGGATTACATATAAAAAGCACTCAGCAGCATTCTCAGAAAGTTCTTTGTGATGATTGCATTCAAGTCACAGAATTGAACATTCCCTTTCACAGAGCAGGTTTGAAACACTCTTTTTGTAGTGTGTGTAAGTGGACATTTGGAGCGCTTTCCGGCCTAAGGTGAAAAAGGACATATCTTCCCATAAAAACTAGACGGAAGCATTCTCAGAAACTTACTCGTGATGTGTGTCCTCAACTAAAGGAGTAGAACCTTTCTATTCATAGAGAAGTTTTGAAACGCTCTTTTTGTGGAATCTCCAAGTGGATATTTGGCTAGTTTTGAGGATTTCGTTGGAAGCGGGAATTCATACAAATTGCAGACTGCAGCATTCTCAGAAACTTATTTGAGATGTGTCTACTCAACTAAGAGAATTGAACCACCGTTTTGAAGGAGCAGTTTTGAAACACTCTTTTTCTGGAATCTGCAAGTGGATATTTGGCTAGCTTTGGGGATTTCGCTGGAAGCGGGAATACATATAAAAAGCACACAGCAGCGTTCTGAGAAACTGCTTTCTGATGTTTGCATTCAAGTCAAAAGTTGAACACTCCCTTTCATAGAGCAGTCCTGAAACACTCCTTTTGTAGTATCTGGAACTGGACTTTTGGAGCGATTTCAGGTCTAAGGTGAAAAAGGAAATATCTTCCCATAAAAACTGGACAGAAGCATTCTCAGAAACTTGTTTATGCTGTATCTACTCAACTAACAAAGTTGAACCTTTCTTTTGATAGAGCAGTTTTGAAATGCTCTTTTTGTGGAATCTGCAAGTGGATATTTGGCTAGTTTTGAGGATTTCGTTGGAAGCGGGAATTCATACAAATTGCAGACTGCAGCGTTCTGAGAAACATCTTTGTGATGTTTGTATTCAGGACACAGAGTTGAACATTCCCTATCATAGAGCAGGTTGGAATCACTCCTTTTGTAGTATCTGGAAGTGGACATTTGGAGCGCTTTCAGGCCTATGTTGAAAAAGGAAATATCTTCCCATAACAACTAGACACAAGCATTCTCAGAAACTTGTTTGTGATGTGTGCCCTCTACTGACAGAGTTGAACCTTTCTTTTCATAGAGCAGTTTTGAAACACTCTTTTTGTAGAATCTGCAAGAGGATATTTGCATAGCTTTGAGGATTTCGTGGGAAACGGGATTGTCTTCAGGTAAAATCTAGACAGAAGCATTCTCAGAAACTTCTTTGGGATGTTTGCATTCAAGTCACAGAGTAGAACATTCCCTTTGGTAGAGCAGGTTTGAAACACTCTTTTTGTAGTATCTGGAAGTGGACATTTGGAGCGCTTTCAGGCCCATGTTGGAAAGGGAAATATCTTCCCGTAACAACTAGGCAGAAGCATTCTCAGAAACTTATTTGAGATGTGTGTACTCAACTAAGAGAATTGAACCACCGTTTTGAAGGAGCAGTTTTGAAACACTCTTTTTCTGGAATCTGCAAGAGTATATTTGCCTAGCCTTGAGGATTTCGTTGGAAACGGGATTGTCTTCAGAGAAAATCTAGACAGAAGCATTCTCAGAAACTTCTTTGGGATGTTTGCATTCAAGTCACAGAGTAGAACATTCCCTTTGGTAGAGCAGGTTTGAAACACTCTTTTTGTAGTATCTGGAAGTGGACATTTGGAGCGCTTTCAGGCCTACGTTGGAAAAGGAAATATCTTCCCATAACAACTAGACAGAAGCATTCTCAGAAACTAGTTTCTGATGTGTGTCCTCAACTAACACAGTTGAACATTTCTTTAGACAGAACAGTTTTGAAACACTCTTTTTGTGGAATCTGCAAGTGGCTATTTGGCTAGATTTGAGGATTTCGTTGGAAACGGGATTACATATAAAAAGCAGTCAGCAGCATTCTCAGAAAGTTCTTTGTGATGATTGCATTCAAGTCACAGAATTGAACATTCCCTTTCACAGAGCAGGTTTGAAACACTCTTTTTGTAGTGTGTGTAAGTGGACATTTGGAGCACTTACCGGCCTAAGGTGAAAAAGGAAATAATCTTCCCATAAAAACTAGACAGAAGCATTCTCAGAAACTTACTCGTGATGTGTGTCCTCAACTAAAGGAGTAGAACCTTTCTTTTCATAGAGAAGTTTTGAAACGCTCTTTTTGTGGAATCTGCAAGTGGATATTTGGCTAGTTTTGAGGATTTCGTTGGAAGCGGGAATTCATACAAATTGCAGACTGCAGCATTCTCAGAAACTTATTTGAGATGTGTGTACTCAACTAAGAGAATTGAACCACCGTTTTGAAGGAGCAGTTTTGAAACACTCTTTTTCTGGAATCTGCAAGTGGATATTTGGCTAGCTTTGGGGATTTCGCTGGAAGCGGGAATACATATAAAAAGCACACAGCAGCGTTCTGAGAAACTGCTTTCTGATGTTTGCATTCAAGTCAAAAGTTGAACACTCCCTTTCATAGAGCAGTCTTGAAACACCCCTTTTGTAGTATCTGGAACTGGACTTTTGGAGCGATTTCAGGGCTAAGGTGAAAAAGGAAATATCTTCCCATAAAAACTGGACAGAAGCATTCTCAGAAACTTGTTTATGCTGTATCTACTCAACTAACAAAGTTGAACCTTTCTTTTGATAGAGCAGTTTTGAAATGGTCTTTTTGTGGAATCTGCAAGTGGATATTTGGCTAGTTTTGAGGATTTCGTTGGAAGCGGGAATTCATACAAATTGCAGACTGCAGCGTTCTGAGAAACATCTTTGTGATGTTTGTATTCAGGACACAGAGTTGAACATTCCCTATCATAGAGCAGGTTGGAATCACTCCTTTTGTAGTATCTGGAAGTGGACATTTGGAGCGCTTTCAGGCCTATTTTGGAAAGGGAAATATCTTCCCGTAACAACTATGCAGAAGCATTCTCAGAAACTTGTTTGTGATGTGTGCCCTCTACTGACAGAGTTGAACCTTTCTTTTCATAGAGCAGTTTTGAAACACTCTTTTTGTAGAATCTGCAAGAGGATATTTGCATAGCTTTGAGGATTTCGTGGGAAACGGGATTGTCTTCAGGTAAAATCTAGACAGAAGCATTCTCAGAAACTTCTTTGGGATGTTTGCATTCAAGTCACAGAGTAGAACATTCCCTTTGGTAGAGCAGGTTTGAAACACTCTTTTTGTAGTATCTGGAAGTGGACATTTGGAGCGCTTTCAGGCCTATGTTGGAAAGGGAAATATCTTCCCGTAACAACTAGGCAGAAGCATTCTCAGAAACTTATTTGAGATGTGTGTACTCAACTAAGAGAATTGAACCACCGTTTTGAAGGAGCAGTTTTGAAACACTCTTTTTCTGGAATCTGCAAGAGGATATTTGCCTAGCTTTGAGGATTTCGTTGGAAACGGGATTGTGTTCAGATCAAATCTAGACAGAAGCATTCTCAGAAACTTCTTTGGGATGCTTGCATTCAAGTCACAGAGTAGAACATTCCCTTTGGTAGAGCAGGTTTGAAACACTCTTTTTGTAGTATCTGGAAGTGGACATTTGGAGCGCTTTCAGGCCTACGTTGGAAAAGGAAATATCTTCCCATAACAACTAGACAGAAGCATTCTCAGAAACTAGTTTCTGATGTGTGTCCTCAACTAACACAGTTGAACATTTCTTTAGACAGAACAGTTTTGAAACTCACTTTTTGTGGAATCTGCAAGTGGCTATTTGGCTAGATTTGAGGATTTCGTTGGAAACGGGATTACATATAAAAAGCAGACAGCAGCATTCTCAGAAAGTTCTTTCTGATGATTGCATTCAAGTCACAGAATTGAACATTCCCTTTCACAGAGCAGGTTTGAAACACTCTTTTTGTAGTGTGTGTAAGTGGACATTTGGAGCGCTTTCTGGCCTAAGGTGAACAAGGAAATATCTTCCCATAAAAACTAGACAGAAGCATTCTCAGAAACTTACTCGTGATGTGTGTCCTCAACTAAAGGAGTAGAACCTTTCTATTCATAGAGAAGTTTTGAAATGCTCTTTTTGTGGAATCTCCAAGTGGATATTTGGCTAGTTTTGAGGATTTCGTTGGAAGCGGGAATTCATACAAATTGCAGACTGCAGCGTTATGAGAAACATCTTTGTGATGTTTGTATTCAGGACACAGAGATGAACATTCCCTATCAGAGAACATGTTGGAATCACTCCTTTTGTAGTATCTGGAAGTGGACATTTGGAGCGCTTTCAGGCCTATGTTGAAAAAGGAAATATCTTCCCATAACAACTAGACACAAGCATTCTCAGAAACTTATTTGAGATGTGTGTACTCAACTAAGAGAATTGAACCACCGTTTTGAAGGAGCAGTTTTGAAACACTCTTTTTCTGGAATCTGCAAGTGGATATTTGGCTAGCTTTGGGGATTTCGCTGGAAGCGGGAATACATATAAAAAGCACACAGCAGCGTTCTGAGAAACTGCTTTCTGATGTTTGCATTCAAGTCAAAAGTTGAACACTCCCTTTCATAGAGCAGTCTTGAAACACCCCTTTTGTAGTATCTGGAACTGGACTTTTGGAGCGATTTCAGGGCTAAGGTGAAAAAGGAAATATCTTCCCATAAAAACTGGACAGAAGCATTCTCAGAAACTTGTTTATGCTGTATCTACTCAGCTAACAAAGTTGAACCTTTCTTTTGATAGAGCAGTTTTGAAATGCTCTTTTTGTGGAGTCTGCAAGTAGATATTTGGTTAGTTTTGAGGATTTCTTTGGAAGCGGGAATTCATACAAATTGCAGACTGCAGAGTTCTGAGAAACATCTTTGTGATGTTTGTATTCAGGACACAGAGATGAACATTCCCTATCATAGAGCAGGTTGGAATCACTCCTTTTGTAGTATCAGGAAGTGGACATTTGGAGCGCTTTCAGGCCTATGTTGAAAAAGGAAATATCTTCCCATAACAACTAGACACAAGCATTCTCAGAAACTTGTTTGTGATGTGTGCCCTCTACTGACAGAGTTGAACCTTTCTTTTCATAGAGCAGTTTTGAAACACTCTTTTTGTAGAATCCGCAAGAGGATATTTGCATAGTTTTGAGGATTTCGTGGGAAACGGGATTGTCTTCAGGTAAAATCTAGACAGAAGCATTCTCAGAAACTTCTTTGGGATGTTTGCATTCAAGTCACAGAGTAGAACATTCCCTTTGGTAGAGCAGGTTTGAAACACTCTTTTTGTAGTATCTGGAAGTGGACATTTGGAGCGCTTTCAGGCCCATGTTGGAAAGGGAAATATCTTCCCGTAACAACTAGGCAGAAGCATTCTCAGAAACTTATTTGAGATGTGTGTACTCAACTAAGAGAATTGAACCACCGTTTTGAAGGAGCAGTTTTGAAACCCTCTTTTTCTGGAATCTGCAAGAGTATATTTGCCTAGCCTTGAGGATTTCGTTGGAAACGGGATTGTCTTCAGATAAAATCTAGACAGAAGCATTCTCAGAAACTTCTTTGGGATGTTTGCATTCAAGTCACAGAGTAGAACATTCCCTTTGGTAGAGCAGGTTTGAAACACTCTTTTTTTAGTATATGGAAGTGGACATTTGGAGCGCTTTCAGGCCTACGTTGGAAAAGGAAATATCTTCCCATAACAACTAGACAGAAGCATTCTCAGAAACTAGTTTCTGATGTGTGTCCTCAACTAACACAGTTGAACATTTCTTTAGACAGAACAGTTTTGAAACACTCTTTTTGTGGAATCTGCAAGTGGCTATTTGGCTAGATTTGAGGATTTCGTTGGAAACGGGATTACATATAAAAAGCAGACAGCAGCATTCTCAGAAAGTTCTTTGTGATGGTTGCATTCAAGTCACAGAATTGAACATTCCCTTTCACAGAGCAGGTTTGAAACACTCTTTTTGTAGTGTGTGTAAGTGGACATTTGGAGCACTTTCCGGCCTAAGGTGAAAAAGGAAATATCTTCCCATAAAAACTAGACAGAAGCATTCTCAGAAACTTACTCGTGATGTGTGTCCTCAACTAAAGGAGTAGAACCTTTCTTTTCATAGAGAAGTTTTGAAACGCTCTTTTTGTGGAATCTGCAAGTGGATATTTGGCTAGTTTTGAGGATTTCGTTGGAAGCGGGAATTCATACAAATTGCAGACTGCAGCGTTCTGAGAAACTGCTTTCTGATGTTTGCATTCAAGTCAAAAGTTGAACACTCCCTTTCATAGAGCAGTCCTGAAACACTCCTTTTGTAGTATCTGGAACTGGACTTTTGGAGCGCTTTCAGGGCTAAGGTGAAAAAGGAAATATCTTCCCATAAAAACTGGACAGAAGCATTCTCAGAAACTTGTTTATGCTGTATCTACTCAACTAACAAAGTTGAACCTTTCTTTTGATAGAGCAGTTTTGAAATGGTCTTTTTGTGGAATCTGCAAGTGGATATTTGGCTAGTTTTGAGGATTTCGTTGGAAGCGGGAATTCATACAAATTTGCAGACTGCAGCGTTCTGAGAAACATCTTTGTGATGTTTGTATTCAGGACAGAGAGTTGAACATTCCCTATCATAGAGCAGGTTGGAATCACTCCTTTTGTAGTATCTGGAAGTGGACATTTGGAGCGCTTTCAGGCCTATGTTGAAAAAGGAAATATCTTCCCATAACAACTAGACACAAGCATTCTCAGAAACTTGTTTGTGATGTGTGCCCTCTACTGACAGAGTTGAACCTTTCTTTTCATAGAGCAGTTTTGAAACACTCTTTTTGTAGAATCTGCAAGAGGATATTAGCATAGCTTTGAGGATTTCGTGGGAAACGGGATTGTCTTCAGGTAAAATCTAGACAGAAGCATTCTCAGAAACTTCTTTGGGATGTTTGCATTCAAGTCACAGAGTAGAACATTCCCTTTGGTAGAGCAGGTTTGAAACACTCTTTTTGTAGTATCTGGAAGTGGACATTTGGAGCGCTTTCAGGCCCATGTTGGAAAGGGAAATATCTTCCCGTAACAACTAGGCAGAAGCATTCTCAGAAACTTATTTGAGATGTGTGTACTCAACTAAGAGAATTGAACCACCGTTTTGAAGGAGCAGTTTTGAAACACTCTTTTTCTGGAATCTGCAAGAGTATATTTGCCTAGCCTTGAGGATTTCGTTGGAAACGGGATTGTCTTCAGATAAAATCTAGACAGAAGCATTCTCAGAAACTTCTTTGGGATGTTTGCATTCAAGTCACAGAGTAGAACATTCCCTTTGGTAGAGCAGGTTTGAAACACTCTTTTTTTAGTATATGGAAGTGGACATTTGGAGCGCTTTCAGGCCTACGTTGGAAAAGGAAATATCTTCCCATAACAACTAGACAGAAGCATTCTCAGAAACTAGTTTCTGATGTGTGTCCTCAACTGACACAGTTGTACATTTCTTTAGACAGAACAGTTTTGAAACACTCTTTTTGTGGAATCTGTAAGTGGATATTGGGCTAGATTTGAGGATTTCGTTGGAAACGGGATTACATATAAAAAGCAGTCAGCAGCATTCTCAGAACGTTCTTTGTGATGATTGCATTCAAGTCACAGAATTGAACATTCCCTTTCACAGAGCAGTTTTGAAACACTCTTTTTGTAGTGTGTGTAAGTGGACATTTGGAGCACTTTCCGGCCTAAGGTGAAAAAGGAAATATCTTCCCATAAAAACTAGACAGAAGCACTCTCAGAAACTTACTCGTGATGTGTGTCCTCAACTAAAAGGAGTAGAACCTTTCTTTTCATAGAGAAGTTTTGAAACGCTCTTTTTGTGGAATCTGCAAGTGGATATTTGGCTAGTTTGGAGGATTTCGTTGGAAGCGGGAATTCATACAAATTGCAGACTGCAGCGTTCTGAGAAACATCTTTGTGATGTTTGTATTCAGGACACAGAGTTGAACATTCCCTATCATAGAGCAGGTTTGAATCACTCCTTTTGTAGTATCTGGAAGTGGACATTTGGAGCGCTTTCAGGCCTATGTTGGAAAAGGAAATATCTTCCCATAACCACTAGACAGAAGCATTCTCAGAAACTTATTTGAGATGTGTGTACTCAACTAAGAGAATTGAACCACCGTTTTGAAGGAGCAGTTTTGAAACACTCTTTTTCTGGAATCTGCAAGTGGATATTTGGCTAGCTTTGGGGATTTCGCTGGAAGCGGGAATACATATAAAAAGCACACAGCAGCGTTCTGAGAAACTGCTTTCTGATGTTTGCATTCAAGTCAAAAGTTGAACACTCCCTTTCATAGAGCAGTCTTGAAACACCCCTTTTGTAGTATCTGGAACTGGACTTTTGGAGCGATTTCAGGGCTAAGGTGAAAAAGGAAATATCTTCCCATAAAAACTGGACAGAAGCATTCTCAGAAACTTGGTTATGCTGTATCTACTCAACTAACAAAGTTGAACCTTTCTTTTGATAGAGCAGTTTTGAAATGGTCTTTTTGTGGAATCTGCAAGTGGATATTTGGCTAGTTTTGAGGATTTCGTTGGAAGCGGGAATTCATACAAATTGCAGACTGCAGCGTTCTGAGAAACATCTTTGTGATGTTTGTATTCAGGACACAGAGTTGAACATTCCCTATCATAGAGCAGGTTGGGATCACTCCTTTTGTAGTATCTGGAAGTGGACATTTGGAGCGCTTTCAGGCCTATGTTGAAAAAGGAAAAATCTTCCCATAACAACTAGACAGAAGCATTCTCAGAAACTTGTTGGTGATGTGTTTCCTCTACTGACAGAGTTGAACCTTTCTTTTCATAGAGCAGTTTCGAAACACTCTTTTTGTAGAATCTGCAAGAGGATATTTGCATAGCTCTGAGGATTTCGTGGGAAACGGGATTGTCTTCAGGTAAAATCTAGACAGAAGCATTCTCAGAAACTTCTTTGGGATGTTTGCATTCAAGTCACAGAGTAGAACATTCCCTTTGGTAGAGCAGGTTTGAAACACTCTTTTTGTAGTATCTGGAAGTGGACATTTGGAGCGCTTTCAGGCCCATGTTGGAAAGGGAAATATCTTCCCGTAACAACTAGGCAGAAGCATTCTCAGAAACTTATTTGAGATGTGTGTACTCAACTAAGAGAATTGAACCACCGTTTTGAAGGAGCAGTTTTGAAACACTCTTTTTCTGGAATCTGCAAGAGTATATTTGCCTAGCCTTGAGGATTTCGTTGGAAACGGGATTGTCTTCAGAGAAAATCTAGACAGAAGCATTCTCAGAAACTTCTTTGGGATGTTTGCATTCAAGTCACAGAGTAGAACATTCCCTTTGGTAGAGCAGGTTTGAAACACTCTTTTTTTAGTATATGGAAGTGGACATTTGGAGCGCTTTCAGGCCTACGTTGGAAAAGGAAATATCTTCCCATAACAACTAGACAGAAGCATTCTCAGAAACTAGTTTCTGATGTGTGTCCTCAACTAACACAGTTGAACATTTCTTTAGACAGAACAGTTTTGAAACACTCTTTTTGTGGAATCTGCAAGTGGCTATTTGGCTAGATTTGAGGATTTCGTTAGAAACGGGATTACATATAAAAAGCAGTCAGCAGCATTCTCAGAAAGTTCTTTGTGATGATTGCATTCAAGTCACAGAATTGAACATTCCCTTTCACAGAGCAGGTTTGAAACACTCTTTTTGTAGTGTGTGTAAGTGGACATTTGGAGCGCTTTCCGGCCTAAGGTGAAAAAGGAAATATCTTCCCATAAAAACTAGACAGAAGCATTCTCAGAAACTTACTCGTGATGTGTGTCCTCAACTAAAGGAGTAGAACCTTTCTTTTCATAGAGAAGTTTTGAAACGCTCTTTTTGTGGAATCTGCAAGTGGATATTTGGCTAGTTTTGAGGATTTCGTTGGAAGCGGGAATTCATACAAATTGCAGACTGCAGCATTCTCAGAAACTTGTTTATGCTGTATCTACTCAACTAACAAAGTTGAACCTTTCTTTTGATAGAGCAGTTTTGAAATGCTCTTTTTGTGGAATCTGCAAGTGGATATTTGGCTAGTTTTGAGGATTTCGTTGGAAGCGGGAATTCATACAAATTGCAGACTGCAGCGTTCTGAGAAACATCTTTGTGATGTTTGTATTCAGGACAGAGAGTTGAACATTCCCTATCATAGAGCAGGTTGGAATCACTCCTTTTGTAGTATCTGGAAGTGGACATTTGGAGCGCTTTCAGGCCTATGTTGAAAAAGGAAATATCTTCCCATAACAACTAGACACAAGCATTCTCAGAAACTTGTTTGTGATGTGTGCCCTCTACTGACAGAGTTGAACCTTTCTTTTCATAGAGCAGTTTTGAAACACTCTTTTTGTAGAATCCACAAGAGGATATTTGCATCGCTTTGGGGATTTCGTGGGAAACGGGATTGTCTTCAGGTAAAATCTAGACAGAAGCATTCTCAGAAACTTCTTTGGGATGTTTGCATTCAAGTCACAGAGTAGAACATTCCCTTTGGTAGAGCAGGTTTGAAACACTCTTTTTGTAGTATCTGGAAGTGGACATTTGGAGCGCTTTCAGGCCTATGTTGGAAAGGGAAATATCTTCCCGTAACAACTAGGCAGAAGCATTCTCAGAAACTTATTTGAGATGTGTGTACTCAACTAAGAGAATTGAACCACCGTTTTGAAGGAGCAGTTTTGAAACACTCTTTTTCTGGAATCTGCAAGAGGATATTTGCCTAGCCTTGAGGATTTCGTTGGAAACGGGATTGTCTTCAGATCAAATCTAGACAGAAGCATTCTCAGAAACTTCTTTGGGATGTTTGCATTCAAGTCACAGAGTAGAACATTCCCTTTGGTAGAGCAGGTTTGAAACACTCTTTTTTTAGTATATGGAAGTGGACATTTGGAGCGCTTTCAGGCCTACGTTGGAAAAGGAAATATCTTCCCATAACAACTAGACAGAAGCATTCTCAGAAACTAGTTTCTGATGTGTATCCTCAACTAACACAGTTGAACTTTTCTTTAGACAGAACAGTTTTGAAACACTCTTTTTGTGGAATCTGCAAGTGGATATTTGGCTAGATTTGAGGATTTCGTTGGAAACGGGATTACATATAAAAAGCAGACAGCAGCATTCTCAGAAAGTTCTTTGTGATGATTGCATTCAAGTCACAGAATTGAACATTCCCTTTCACAGAGCAGGTTTGAAACACTCTTTTTGTAGTGTGTGTAAGTGGACATTTGGAGCGCTTTCCGGCCTAAGGTGAAAAAGGAAATATCTTCCCATAAAAACTAGACAGAAGCATTCTCAGAAACTTACTCGTGATGTGTGTCCTCAACTAAAGGAGTAGAACCTTTCTATTCATAGAGAAGTTTTGAAACGCTCTTTTTGTGGAATCTCCAAGTGGATATTTGGTTAGTTTTGAGGATTTCGTTGGAAGCGGGAATTCATACAAATTGCAGACTGCAGCGTTCTGAGAAACATCTTTGTGATGTTTGTATTCAAGACACAGAGATGAACATTCCCTATCATAGAGCAGGTTGGAATCACTCCTTTTGTAGTATCTGGAAGTGGACATTTGGAGCGCTTTCAGGCCTATGTTGAAAAAGGAAATATCTTCCCATAACAACTAGACACAAGCATTCTCAGAAACTTATTTGAGATGTGTGTACTCAACTAAGAGAATTGAACCACCGTTTTGAAGGAGCAGTTTTGAAACTCTCTTTTTCTGGAATCTGCAAGTGGATATTTGGCTAGCTTTGGGGATTTCGCTGGAAGCGGGAATACATATAAAAAGCACACAGCAGCGTTCTGAGAAACTGCTTTCTGATGTTTGCATTCAAGTCAAAAGTTGAACACTCCCTTTCATAGAGCAGTCCTGAAACACCCCTTTTGTAGTATCTGGAACTGGACTTTTGGAGCGATTTCAGGGCTAAGGTGAAAAAGGAAATATCTTCCCATAAAAACTGGACAGAAGCATTCTCAGAAACTTGTTTATGCTGTATCTACTCAACTAACAAAGTTGAACCTTTCTTTTGATAGAGCAGTTTTGAAATGGTCTTTTTGTGGAATCTGCAAGTGGATATTTGGCTAGTTTTGAGGATTTCGTTGGAAGCGGGAATTCATACAAATTGCAGACTGCAGCGTTCTGAGAAACATCTTTGTGATGTTTGTATTCAGGACACAGAGATGAACATTCCCTATCATAGAGCAGGTTGGAATCACTCCTTTTGTAGTATCTGGAAGTGGACATTTGGAGCGCTTTCAGGCCTATGTTGAAAAAGGAAATATCTTCCCATAACAACTAGACACAAGCATTCTCAGAAACTTGTTTGTGATGTGTGCCCTCTACTGACACAGTTGATCCTTTCTTTTCATAGAGCAGTTTCGAAACACTCTTTTTGTAGAATCTGCAAGAGGATATTTGCATAGCTTTGAGGATTTCGTGGGAAACGGGATTGTCTTCAGGTAAAATCTAGACAGAAGCATTCTCAGAAACTTCTTTGGGATGTTTGCATTCAAGTCACAGAGTAGAACATTTACTTTGATAGAGCAGGTTTGAAACACTCTTTTTGTAGTGTGTGTAAGTGGACATTTGGAGCGCTTTCAGGCCTACGTTGGAAAAGCAAATGTCTTCCCATAACAACTAGACAGAAGCATTCTCAGAAACTAGTTTCTGATGTGTGTCCTCAACTACCACAGTTGTACATTTCTTTACACAGAACAGTTTTGAAACACTCTTTTTGTGGAATCTGCAAGTGGATATTGGGGTAGATTTGAGGATTTCGTTGGAAACGGGATTACATATAAAAAGCAGTCAGCAGCATTCTCAGAAAGTTCTTTGTGATGATTGCATTCAAGTCACAGAATTGAACATTCCCTTTCCAGAGCAGGTTTGAAACACTCTTTTTGTAGTGTGTGTAAGTGGACATTTGGAGCGCTCTCCGGCCTAAGGTGAAAAAGGACATATCTTCCCATAAAAACTAGACAGAAGCATTCTCAGAAACTTACTCGTGATGTGTGTCCTCAACTAAAGGAGTAGAACATTTCTATTCATAGAGAAGTTTTGAAACGCTCTTTTTGTGGAATCTCCAAGTGGATATTTGGCTAGTTTTGAGGATTTCGTTGGAAGCGGGAATTCATACAAATTGCAGACTGCAGCATTCTCAGAAAATTCTTCGGGATGTTTGCATTCAAGTCACAGAGTAGAACATTCCCTTTGGTAGAGCAGGTTTGAAACACTCTTTTTGTAGTATCTGGAAGTAGACATTTGGAGCGCTTTCAGGCCTATGTTGGAAAGGGAAATATCTTCCCGTAACAACTAGGCAGAAGCATTCTCAGAAACTTATTTGAGATGTGTGTACTCAACTAAGAGAATTGAACCACCGTTTTGAAGGAGCAGTTTTGAAACACTCTTTTTCTGGAATCTGCAAGTGGATATTTGGCTAGCTTTGGGGATTTCGCTGGAAGCGGGAATACATATAAAAAGCACACAGCAGCGTTCTGAGAAACTGCTTTCTGATGTTTGCATTCAAGTCAAAAGTTGAACACTCCCTTTCATAGAGCAGTCTTGAAACACCCCTTTTGTAGTATCTGGAACTGGACTTTTGGAGCGATTTCAGGGCTAAGGTGAAAAAGGAAATATCTTCCCATAAAAACTGGACAGAAGCATTCTCAGAAACTTGGTTATGCTGTATCTACTCAACTAACAAAGTTGAACCTTTCTTTTGATAGAGCAGTTTTGAAATGGTCTTTTTGTGGAATCTGCAAGTGGATATTTGGCTAGTTTTGAGGATTTCGTTGGAAGCGGGAATTCATACAAATTGCAGACTGCAGCGTTCTGAGAAACATCTTTGTGATGTTTGTATTCAGGACACAGAGATGAACATTCCCTATCATAGAGCAGGTTGGAATCACTCCTTTTGTAGTATCTGGAAGTGGACATTTGGAGCGCTTTCAGGCCTATGTTGAAAAAGGAAATATCTTCCCATAACAACTAGACACAAGCATTCTCAGAAACTTGTTTGTGATGTGTGCCCTCTACTGACAGAGTTGAACCTTTCTTTTCATAGAGCAGTTTTGAAACACTCTTTTTGTAGAATCTGCAAGAGGATATTTGCATAGCTTTGAGGATTTCGTGGGAAACGGGATTGTCTTCAGGTAAAATCTAGACAGAAGCATTCTCAGAAACTTCTTTGGGATGTTTGCATTCAAGTCACAGAGTAGAACATTCCCTTTGGTAGAGCAGGTTTGAAACACTCTTTTTGTAGTATCTGGAAGTGGACATTTGGAGCGCTTTCAGGCCTATGTTGGAAAGGGAAATATCTTCCCGTAACAACTAGGCAGAAGCATTCTCAGAAACTTATTTGAGATGTGTGTACTCAACTAAGAGAATTGAACCACCGTTTTGAAGGAGCAGTTTTGAAACACTCTTTTTCTGGAATCTGCAAGAGTATATTTGCCTAGCCTTGAGGATTTCGTTGGAAACGGGATTGTCTTCAGATAAAATCTAGACAGAAGCATTCTCAGAAACTTCTTTGGGATGTTTGCATTCAAGTCACAGAGTAGAACATTCCCTTTGGTAGAGCAGGTTTGAAACACTCTTTTTTTAGTATATGGAAGTGGACATTTGGAGCGCTTTCAGGCCTACGTTGGAAAAGGAAATATCTTCCCATAACAACTAGACAGAAGCATTCTCAGAAACTAGTTTCTGATGTGTGTCCTCAACTAACACAGTTGAACATTTCTTTAGACAGAACAGTTTTGAAACTCTCTTTTTGTGGAATCTGCAAGTGGCTATTTGGCTAGATTTGAGGATTTCGTTGGAAACGGGATTACATATAAAAAGCAGACAGCAGCATTCTCAGAAAGTTCTTTGTGATGATTGCATTCAAGTCACAGAATTGAACATTCCCTTTCACAGAGCAGGTTTGAAACACTCTTTTTATAGTGTGTGTAAGTGGACATTTGGAGCACTTTCCGGCCTAAGGTGAAAAAGGAAATATCTTCCCATAAAAACTAGACAGAAGCATTCTCAGAAACTTACTCGTGATGTGTGTCCTCAACTAAAGGAGTAGAACCTTTCTTTCGCAGAGAAGTTTTGAAACGCTCTTTTTGTGGAATCTGCAAGTGGATATTTGGCTAGTTTGGAGGATTTCGTTGGAAGCGGGAATTCATACAAATTGCAGACTGCAGCGTTCTGAGAAACATCTTTGTGATGTTTGTATTCAGGACACAGAGTTGAACATTCCCTATCATAGAGCAGGTTGGAATCACTCCTTTTGTAGTATCTGGAAGTGGACATTTGGAGCGCTTTCAGGCCTATGTTGGAAAAGGAAATATCTTCCCATAACAACTAGACAGAAGCATTCTCAGAAACTTATTTGAGATGTGTGTACTCAACTAAGAGAATTGAACCACCGTTTTGAAGGAGCAGTTTTGAAACTCTCTTTTTCTGGAATCTGCAAGTGGATATTTGGCTAGCTTTGGGGATTTCGCTGGAAGCGGGAATACATATAAAAAGCACACAGCAGCGTTCTGAGAAACTGCTTTCTGATGTTTGCATTCAAGTCAAAAGTTGAACACTCCCTTTCATAGAGCAGTCTTGAAACACCCCTTTTGTAGTATCTGGAACTGGACTTTTGGAGCGATTTCAGGGCTAAGGTGAAAAAGGAAATATCTTCCCATAAAAACTGGACAGAAGCATTCTCAGAAACTTGGTTATGCTGTATCTACTCAACTAACAAAGTTGAACCTTTCTTTTGATAGAGCAGTTTTGAAATGGTCTTTTTGTGGAATCTGCAAGTGGATATTTGGCTAGTTTTGAGGATTTCGTTGGAAGCGGGAATTCATACAAATTGCAGACTGCAGCGTTCTGAGAAACATCTTTGTGATGTTTGTATTCAGGACAGAGAGTTGAACATTCCCTATCATAGAGCAGGTTGGAATCACTCCTTTTGTAGTATCTGGAAGTGGACATTTGGAGCGCTTTCAGGCCTATGTTGAAAAAGGAAATATCTTCCCATAACAACTAGACACAAGCATTCTCAGAAACTTGTTTGTGATGTGTGCCCTCTACTGACAGAGTTGAACCTTTCTTTTCATAGAGCAGTTTTGAAACACTCTTTTTGTAGAATCTGCAAGAGGATATTTGCATAGCTTTGAGGATTTCGTGGGAAACGGGATTGTCTTCAGGTAAAATCTAGACAGAAGCATTCTCAGAAACTTCTTTGGGATGTTTGCATTCAAGTCACAGAGCAGAACATTCCCTTTGGTAGAGCAGGTTTGAAACACTCTTTTTGTAGTATCTGGAAGTGGACATTTGGAGCGCTTTCAGGCCTATGTTGGAAAGGGAAATATCTTCCCGTAACAACTAGGCAGAAGCATTCTCAGAAACTTATTTGAGATGTGTGGACTCAACGAAGAGAATTGAACCACCGTTTTGAAGGAGCAGTTTTGAAACACTCTTTTTCTGGAATCTGCAAGAGTATATTTGCCTAGCCTTGAGGATTTCGTTGGAAACGGGATTGTCTTCAGATAAAATCTAGACAGAAGCATTCTCAGAAACTTCTTTGGGATGTTTGCATTCAAGTCACAGAGTAGAACATTCCCTTTGGTAGAGCAGGTTTGAAACACTCTTTTTTTAGTATATGGAAGTGGACATTTGGAGCGCTTTCAGGCCTACGTTGGAAAAGGAAATATCTTCCGATAACAACTAGACAGAAGCATTCTCAGAAACTAGTTTCTGATGTGTGTCCTCAACTAACACAGTTGAACATTTCTTTAGACAGAACAGTTTTGAAACACTCTTTTTGTGGAATCTGCAAGTGGCTATTTGGCTAGATTTGAGGATTTCGTTGGAAACGGGATTACATATAAAAAGCAGTCAGCGGCATTCTCAGAAAGTTCTTTGTGATGATTGCATTCAAGTCACAGAATTGAACATTCCCTTTCACAGAGCAGGTTTGAAACACTCTTTTTGTAGTGTGTGTAAGTGGACATTTGGAGCACTTACCGGCCTAAGGTGAAAAAGGAAATATCTTCCCATAAAAACTAGACAGAAGCACTCTCAGAAACTTACTCGTGATGTGTGTCCTCAACTAAAGGAGTAGAACCTTTCTTTTCATAGAGAAGTTTTGAAACGCTCTTTTTGTGGAATCTGCAAGTGGATATTTGGCTAGTTTTGAGGATTTCGTTGGAAGCGGGAATTCATACAAATTGCAGACTGCAGCGTTCTGAGTAAACAACTTTGTGATGTTTGTATTCAGGACACAGAGTTGAACATTCCCTATCATAGAGCAGGTTGGAATCACTCCTTTTGTGGTATCTGGAAGTGGACATTTGGAGCGCTTTCAGGCCTATGTTGGAAAAGGAAATATCTTCCCATAACAACTAGACAGAAGCATTCTCAGAAACTTATTTGAGATGTGTGTACTCAACTAAGAGAATTGAACCACCGTTTTGAAGGAGCAGTTTTGAAACACTCTTTTTCTGGAATCTGCAAGTGGATATTTGGCTAGCTTTGGGGATTTCGCTGGAAGCGGGAATACATATAAAAAGCACACAGCAGCGTTCTGAGAAACTGCTTTCTGATGTTTGCATTCAAGTCAAAAGTTGAACACTCCCTTTCATAGAGCAGTCCTGAAACACTCCTTTTGTAGTATCTGGAACTGGACTTTTGGAGCGCTTTCAGGGCTAAGGTGAAAAAGGAAATATCTTCCCATAAAAACTGGACAGAAGCATTCTCAGAAACTTACTCGTATTGTGTGTCCTCAACTAAAGGAGTAGAACCTTTCTTTTCATAGAGAAGTTTTGAAACGCTCTTTTTGTGGAATCTGCAAGTGGATATTTGGCTAGTTTTGAGGATTTCGTTGGAAGCGGGAATTCATACAAATTGCAGACTGCAGCGTTCTGAGAAACATCTTTGTGATGTTTGTATTCAGGACACAGAGATGAACATTCCCTATCATAGAGCAGGTTGGAATCACTCCTTTTGTAGTATCTGGAAGTGGACATTTGGAGCGCTTTCAGGCCTATGTTGAAAAAGGAAATATCTTCCCATAACAACTAGACACAAGCATTCTCAGAAACTTATTTGAGATGTGTGTACTCAACTAAGAGAATTGAACCACCGTTTTGAAGGAGCAGTTTTGAAACTCTCTTTTTCTGGAATCTGCAAGTGGATATTTGGCTAGCTTTGGGGATTTCGCTGGAAGCGGGAATACATATAAAAAGCACACAGCAGCGTTCTGAGCAAACTTCTTTCTGATGTTCGCATTCAAGTCAAAAGTTGAACACTCCCTTTCATAGAGCAGTCTTGAAACTCCCCTTTTGTGGTATCTGGAAGTGGACATTTGGAGTGCTTTCAGGGCTAAGGTGAAAAAGGAAATATCTTCCCATAAAAACTGGACAGAAGCATTCTCAGAAACTTGTTTATGCTGTATCTACTCAGCTAACAAAGTTGAACCTTTCTTTTGATAGAGCAGTTTTGAAATGCTCTTTTTGTGGAGTCTGCAAGTGGATATTTGGTTACTTTTGAGGATTTCGTTGGAAGCGGGAATTCATACAAATTGCAGACTGCAGCGTTCTGAGAAACATCTTTCTGATGTTTGTATTCAGGACAGAGAGTTGAACATTCCCTATCATAGAGCAGGTTGGAATCACTCCTTTTGTAGTATCTGGAAGTGGATATTTGGAGCGCTTTCAGGCCTATGTTGAAAAAGGAAATATCTTCCCATAACAACTAGACACAAGCATTCTCAGAAACTTGTTTGTGATGTGTGCCCTCTACTGACAGAGTTGAACCTTTCTTTTCATAGAGCAGTTTTGAAACACTCTTTTTGTAGAATCTGCAAGAGGATATTTGCATAGCTTTGAGGATTTCGTGGGAAACGGGATTGTCTTCAGGTAAAATCTAGACAGAAGCATTCTCAGAAACTTCTTTGGGATGTTTGCATTCAAGTCACAGAGTAGAACATTCCCTTTGGTAGAGCAGGTTTGAAACACTCTTTTTGTAGTATCTGGAAGTGGACATTTGGAGCGCTTTCAGGCCCATGTTGGAAAGGGAAATATCTTCCCGTAACAACTAGGCAGAAGCATTCTCAGAAACTTATTTGAGATGTGTGTACTCAACTAAGAGAATTGAACCACCGTTTTGAAGGAGCAGTTTTGAAACACTCTTTTTCTGGAATCTGCAAGAGTATATTTGCCTAGCCTTGAGGATTTCGTTGGAAACGGGATTGTCTTCAGAGAAAATCTAGACAGAAGTATTCTCAGAAACTTCTTTGGGATGTTTGCATTCAAGTCACAGAGTAGAACATTCCCTTTGGTAGAGCAGGTTTGAAACACTCTTTTTGTAGTATCTGGAAGTGGACATTTGGAGCGCTTTCAGGCCTACGTTGGAAAAGGAAATATCTTCCCATAACAACTAGACAGAAGCATTCTCAGAAACTAGTTTCTGATGTGTGTCCTCAACTAACACAGTTGAACATTTCTTTAGACAGAACAGTTTTGAAACACTCTTTTTGTGGAATCTGCAAGTGGCTATTTGGCTAGATTTGAGGATTTCGTTGGAAACGGGATTACATATAAAAAGCAGTCAGCAGCATTCTCAGAAAGTTCTTTGTGATGATTGCATTCAAGTCACAGAATTGAACATTCCCTTTCACAGAGCAGGTTTGAAACACTCTTTTTGTAGTGTGTGTAAGTGGACATTTGGAGCACTTTCCGGCCTAAGGTGAAAAAGGAAATATCTTCCCATAAAAACTAGACAGAAGCATTCTCAGAAACTTACTCGTGATGTGTGCCCTCAACTAAAGGAGTAGAACCTTTCTATTCATAGAGAAGTTTTGAAACGCTCTTTTTGTGGAATCTCCAAGTGGATATTTGGCTAGTTTTGAGGATTTCGTTGGAAGCGGGTATTCATCCAAATTGCAGACTGCAGCATTCTCAGAAACTTGTTTATGCTGTATCTACTCAACTAACAAAGTTGAACCTTTCTTTTGATAGAGCAGTTTTGAAATGCTCTTTTTGTGGAATCTGCAAGTGGATATTTGGCTAGTTTTGAGGATTTCGTTGGAAGCGGGAATTCATACAAATTGCAGACTGCAGCGTTCTGAGAAACATCTTTGTGATGTTTGTATTCAGGACAGAGAGTTGAACATTCCCTATCATAGAGCAGGTTGGAATCACTCCTTTTGTAGTATCTGGAAGTGGACATTTGGAGCGCTTTCAGGCCTATGTTGAAAAAGGAAATATCTTCCCATAACAACTAGACACAAGCATTCTCAGAAACTTGTTTGTGATGTGTGCCCTCTACTGACAGAGTTGAACCTTTCTTTTCATAGAGCAGTTTTGAAACACTCTTTTTGTAGAATCTGCAAGAGGATATTTGCATAGCTTTGAGGATTTCGTGGGAAACGGGATTGTCTTCAGGTAAAATCTAGACAGAAGCATTCTCAGAAACTTCTTTGGGATGTTTGCATTCAAGTCACAGAGTAGAACATTCCCTTTGGTAGAGCAGGTTTGAAACACTCTTTTTGTAGTATCTGGAAGTGGACATTTGGAGCGCTTTCAGGCCTATGTTGGAAAGGGAAATATCTTCCCGTAACAACTAGGCAGAAGCATTCTCTGAAACTTTTTTGAGATGTGTGTACGCAACTAAGAGAATTGAACCACCGTTTTGAAGGAGCAGTTTTGAAACACTCTTTTTCTGGAATCTGCTAGACGATATTTGCCTAGCCTTGAGGATTTCGTTGGAAACGGGATTGTCTTCAGATAAAATCTAGACAGAAGCATTCTCAGAAACTTCTTTGGGATGTTTGTATTCAAGTCACAGAGTAGAAAATTCCCTTTGATAGAGCAGGTTTGAAACACTCTTTTTTTAGTATATGGAAATGGACATTTGGAGCGCTTTCAGGCCTACGTTGGAAAAGGAAATATCTTCCCATAACAACTAGACAGAAGCATTCTCAGAAACTAGTTTCTGATGTGTGTCCTCAACTAACACAGTTGAACTTTTCTTTAGACAGAACAGTTTTGAAACACTCTTTTTGTGGAATCTGCAAGTGGATATTTGGCTAGATTTGAGGATTTCGTTGGAAACGGGATTACATATAAAAAGCAGACAGCAGCATTCTCAGAAAGTTCTTTGTGATGATTGCATTCAAGTCACAGAATTGAACATTCCCTTTCACAGAGCAGGTTTGAAACACTCTTTTTGTAGTGTGTGTAAGTGGACATTTGGAGCGATTTCCGGCCTAAGGTGAAAAAGGAAATATCTTCCCATAAAAACTAGACAGAAGCATTCTCAGAAACTTACTCGTGATGTGTGTCCTCAACTAAAGGAGTAGAACCTTTCTATTCATAGAGAAGTTTTGAAATGCTCTTTTTGTGGAATCTCCAAGTGGATATTTGGCTAGTTTTGAGGATTTCGTTGGAAGCGGGAATTCATACAAATTGCAGACTGCAGCGTTCTGAGAAACATCTTTGTGATGTTTGTATTCAGGACACAGAGATGAACATTCCCTATGATAGAGCAGGTTGGAATCACTCCTTTTGTAGTATCTGGAAGTGGACATTTGGAGCGCTTTCAGGCCTATGTTGAAAAAGGAAATATCTTCCCATAACAACTAGACACAAGCATTCTCAGAAACTTATTTGAGATGTGTGTACTCAACTAAGAGAATTGAACCACCGTTTTGAAGGAGCAGTTTTGAAACACTCTTTTTCTGGAATCTGCAAGTGGATATTTGGCTAGCTTTGGGGATTTCGCTGGAAGCGGGAATACATATAAAAAGCACACAGCAGCGTTCTGAGAAACTGCTTTCTGATGTTTGCATTCAAGTCAAAAGTTGAACACTCCCTTTCATAGAGCAGTCTTGAAACACCCCTTTTGTAGTATCTGGAACTGGACTTTTGGAGCGATTTCAGGGCTAAGGTGAAAAAGGAAATATCTTCCCATAAAAACTGGACAGAAGCATTCTCAGAAACTTGGTTATGCTGTATCTACTCAACTAACAAAGTTGAACCTTTCTTTTGATAGAGCAGTTTTGAAATGGTCTTTTTGTGGAATCTGCAAGTGGATATTTGGCTAGTTTTGAGGATTTCGTTGGAAGCGGGAATTCATACAAATTGCAGACTGCAGCGTTATGAGAAACATCTTTGTGATGTTTGTATTCAGGACACAGAGTTGAACATTCCCTATCATAGAGCAGGTTGGAATCACTCCTTTTGTAGTATCTGGAAGTGGACATTTGGAGCGCTTTCAGGCCTATTTTGGACAGGGAAATATCTTCCCATAACAACTATGCAGAAGCATTCTCAGAAACTTGTTTGTGATGTGTGCCCTCTACTGACAGAGTTGAACCTTTCTTTTCTTAGAGCAGTTTTGAAACACTCTTTTTGTAGAATCTGCAAGAGGATATTTGCATAGCTTTGAGGATTTCGTGGGAAACGGGATTGTCTTCAGGTAAAATCTAGACAGAAGCATTCTCAGAAACTTCTTTGGGATGTTTGCATTCAAGACACAGAGTAGAACATTCCCTTTGGTAGAGCAGGTTTGAAACACTCTTTTTGTAGTATCTGGAAGTGGACATTTGGAGCGCTTTCAGGCCCATGTTGGAAAGGGAAATATCTTCCCATAACAACTAGGCAGAAGCATTCTCAGAAACTTATTTGAGATGTGTGTACTCAACTAAGAGAATTGAACCACCGTTTTGAAGGAGCAGTTTTGAAACCCTCTTTTTCTGGAATCTGCAAGAGTATATTTGCCTAGCCTTGAGGATTTCGCTGGAAACGGGATTGTCTTCAGATAAAATCTAGACAGAAGCATTCTCAGAAACTTCTTTGGGATGTTTGCATTCAAGTCACAGAGTAGAACATTCCCTTTGGTAGAGCAGGTTTGAAACACTCTTTTTTTAGTATATGGAAGTGGACATTTGGAGCGCTTTCAGGCCTACGTTGGAAAAGGAAATATCTTCCCATAACAACTAGACAGAAGCATTCTCAGAAACTAGTTTCTGATGTGTGTCCTCAACTAACACAGTTGAACTTTTCTTTAGACAGAACAGTTTTGAAACACTCTTTTTGTGGAATCTGCAAGTGGATATTTGGCTAGATTTGAGGATTTCGTTGGAAACGGGATTACATATAAAAAGCAGACAGCAGCATTCTCAGAAAGTTCTTTGTGATGATTGCATTCAAGTCACAGAATTGAACATTCCCTTTCACAGAGCAGGATTGAAACACTCTTTTTGTAGTGTGTGTAAGTGGACATTTGGAGCGCTTTCCGGCCTAAGGTGAAAAAGGAAATATCTTCCCATAAAAACTAGACAGAAGCATTCTCAGAAACTTACTCGTGATGTGTGTCCTCAACTAAAGGAGTAGAAGCTTTCTATTCATAGAGAAGTTTTGAAACGCTCTTTTTGTGGAATCTCCACGTGGATATTTGGCTAGTTTTGAGGATTTCGTTGGAAGCGGGAATTCATACAAATTGCAGACTGCAGCGTTCTGAGAAACATCTTTGTGATGTTTGTATTCAGGACACAGAGTTGAACGTTCCCTATCATAGAGCAGGTTTGAATCACTCCTTTTGTAGTATCTGGAAGTGGACATTTGGAGCGCTTTCCGGCCTCAGGTGAAAAAGGAAATATCTTCCCATAAAAACTAGACAGAAGCATTCTCAGAAACTTATTTGAGATGTGTGTACTCAACTAAGAGAATTGAACCACCGTTTTGAAGGAGCAGTTTTGAAACACTCTTTTTCTGGAATCTGCAAGTGGATATTTGGCTAGCTTTGGGGATTTCGCTGGAAGCGGGAATACATATAAAAAGCACACAGCAGCGTTCTGAGAAACTGCTTTCTGATGTTTGCATTCAAGTCAAAAGTTGAACACTCCCTTTCATAGAGCAGTCTTGAAACACCCCTTTTGTAGTATCTGGAACTGGACTTTTGGAGCGATTTCAGGGCTAAGGTGAAAAAGGAAATATCTTCCCATAAAAACTGGACAGAAGCATTCTCAGAAACTTGTTTATGCTGTATCTACTCAACTAACAAAGTTGAACCTTTCTTTTGATAGAGCAGTTTTGAAATGGTCTTTTTGTGGAATCTGCAAGTGGATATTTGGCTAGTTTTGAGGATTTCGTTGGAAGCGGGAATTCATACAAATTGCAGACTGCAGCGTTCTGAGAAACATCTTTGTGATGTTTGTATTCAGGACAGAGAGTTGAACATTCCCTATCATAGAGCAGGTTGGAATCACTCCTTTTGTAGTATCTGGAAGTGGACATTTGGAGCGCTTTCTGGCCTATGTTGAAAAAGGAAATATCTTCCCATAACAACTAGACACAAGCATTCTCAGAAACTTGTTTGTGATGTGTGCCCTCTACTGACAGAGTTGAACCTTTCTTTTCATAGAGCAGTTTTGAAACACTCTTTTTGTAGAATCTGCAAGAGGATTTTTGCATAGCTTTGAGGATTTCGTGGGAAACGGGATTGTCTTCAGGTAAAATCTAGACAGAAGCATTCTCAGAAACTTCTTTGGGATGTTTGCATTCAAGTCACAGAGTAGAACATTCCCTTTGGTAGAGCAGGTTTGAAACACTCTTTTTGTAGTATCTGGAAGTGGACATTTGGAGCGCTTTCAGGCCTATGTTGGAAAGGGAAATATCTTCCCGTAACAACTAGGCAGAAGCATTCTCAGAAACTTATTTGAGATGTGTGTACTCAACTAAGAGAATTGAACCACCGTTTTGAAGGAGCAGTTTTGAAACACTCTTTTTCTGGAATCTGCAAGAGTATATTTGCCTAGCCTTGAGGATTTCGTTGGAAACGGGATTGTCTTCAGAGAAAATCTAGACAGAAGTATTCTCAGAAACTTCTTTGGGATGTTTGCATTCAAGTCACAGAGTAGAACATTCCCTTTGGTAGAGCAGGTTTGAAACACTCTTTTTTTAGTATATGGAAGTGGACATTTGGATCGCTTTCAGGCCTACGTTGGAAAAGGAAATATCTTCCCATAACAACTAGACAGAAGCATTCTCAGAAACTAGTTTCTGATGTGTGTCCTCAACTAACACAGTTGAACATTTCTTTAGACAGAACAGTTTTGAAACACTCTTTTTGTGGAATCTGCAAGTGGCTATTTGGCTAGATTTGAGGATTTCGTTGGAAACGGGATTACATATAAAAAGCAGTCAGCAGCATTCTCAGAAAGTTCTTTGTGATGATTGCATTCAAGTCACAGAATTGAACATTCCCTTTCACAGAGCAGGTTTGAAACACTCTTTTTGTAGTGTGTGTAAGTGGACATTTGGAACCCTTACCGGCCTAAGGTGAAAAAGGAAATATCTTCCCATAAAAACTAGACAGAAGCATTCTCAGAAACTTACTCGTGATGTGTGTCCTCAACTAAAGGAGTAGCACCTTTCTATTCATAGAGAAGTTTTGAAACGCTCTTTTTGTGGAATCTCCAAGTGGATATTTGGCTAGTGTTGAGGATTTCGTTGGAAGCGGGAATTCATACAAATTGCAGACTGCAGCGTTCTGAGAAACATCTTTGTGATGTTTGTATTCAGGACACAGAGATGAACATTCCCTATCATAGAGCAGGTTGGAATCACTCCTTTTGTAGTATCTGGAAGTGGACATTTGGAGCGCTTTCAGGCCTATGTTGAAAAAGGAAATATCTTCCCATAACAACTAGACACAAGCATTCTCAGAAACTTATTTGAGATGTGTGTACTCAACTAAGAGAATTGAACCACCGTTTTGAAGGAGCAGTTTTGAAACACTCTTTTTCTGGAATCTGCAAGTGGATATTTGGCTAGCTTTGGGGATTTCGCTGGAAGCGGGAATACATATAAAAAGCACACAGCAGCGTTCTGAGAAACTGCTTTCTGATGTTTGCATTCAAGTCAAAAGTTGAACACTCCCTTTCATAGAGCAGTCTTGAAACACCCCTTTTGTAGTATCTGGAACTGGACTTTTGGAGCGATTTCAGGGCTAAGGTGAAAAAGGAAATATCTTCCCATAAAAACTGGACAGAAGCATTCTCAGAAACTTGTTTATGCTGTATCTACTCAACTAACAAAGTTGAACCTTTCTTTTGATAGAGCAGTTTTGAAATGGTCTTTTTGTGGAATCTGCAAGTGGATATTTGGCTAGTTTTGAGGATTTCGTTGGAAGCGGGAATTCATACAAATTGCAGACTGCAGCGTTCTGAGAAACATCTTTGTGATGTTTGTATTCAGGACACAGAGTTGAACATTCCCTATCATAGAGCAGGTTGGAATCACTCCTTTTGTAGTATCTGGAAGTGGACATTTGGAGCGCTTTCAGGCCTATGTTGGAAAAGGAAATATCTTCCCATAACAACTAGACAGAAGCATTCTCAGAAACTTGTTTGTGATGTGTGCCCTCTACTGACAGAGTTGAACCTTTCTTTTCATAGAGCAGTTTCGAAACACTCTTTTTGTAGAATCTGCAAGAGGATATTTGCATAGCTTTGAGGATTTCGTGGGAAACGGGATTGTCTTCAGGTAAAATCTAGACAGAAGCATTCTCAGAAACTTCTTTGGGATGTTTGCATTCAAGTCACAGAGTAGAACATTCCCTTTGGTAGAGCAGGTTTGAAACACTCTTTTTGTAGTATCTGGAAGTGGACATTTGGAGCGCTTTCAGGCCCATGTTGGAAAGGGAAATATCTTCCCGTAACAACTAGGCAGAAGCATTCTCAGAAACTTATTTGAGACGTGTGTACTCAACTAAGAGAACTGAACCACCGTTTTGAAGGAGCAGTTTTGAAACCCTCTTTTTCTGGAATCTGCAAGAGTATATTTGCCTAGCCTTGAGGATTTCGTTGGAAACGGGATTGTCTTCAGATAAAATCTAGACAGAAGCATTCTCAGAAACTTCTTTGGGATGTTTGCATTCAAGTCACAGAGTAGAACATTCCCTTTGGTAGAGCAGGTTTGAAACACTCTTTTTTTAGTATATGGAAGTGGACATTTGGAGCGCTTTCAGGCCTACGTTGGAAAAGGAAATATCTTCCCATAACAACTAGACAGAAGCATTCTCAGAAACTAGTTTCTGATGTGTGTCCTCAACTAACACAGTTGAACATTTCTTTAGACAGAACAGTTTTGAAACACTCTTTTTGTGGAATCTGCAAGTGGCTATTTGGCTAGATTTGAGGATTTCGTTGGAAACGGGATTACATATAAAAAGCAGACAGCAGCATTCTCAGAAAGTTCTTTGTGATGATTGCATTCAAGTCACAGAATTGAACATTCCCTTTCACAGAGCAGGTTTGAAACACTCTTTTTGTAGTGTGTGTAAGTGGACATTTGGAGCGCTTTCCGGCCTAAGGTGAAAAAGGACATATCTTCCCATAAAAACTAGACAGAAGCATTCTCAGAAACTTACTCGTGATGTGTGTCCTCAACTAAAGGAGTGGAAACTTTCTATTCATGGAGAAGTTTTGAAACGCTCTTTTTGTGGAATCTCCAAGTGGATATTTGGCTAGTTTTGAGGATTTCGTTGGAAGCGGGAATTCATACAAATTGCAGACTGCAGCGTTCTGAGAAACATCTTTGTGATGTTTGTATTCAAGACACAGAGATGAACATTCCCTATCATAGAGCATGTTGGAATCACTCCTTTTGTAGTATCTGGAAGTGGACATTTGGAGCGCTTTCAGGCCTATGTTGAAAAAGGAAATATCTTCCCATAACAACTAGACACAAAGCATTCTCAGAAACTTATTTGAGATGTGCGTACTCAACTAAGCAGAATTGAACCACCGTTTTGAAGGAGCAGTTTTGAAACACTCTTTTTCTGGAATCTGCAAGTGGATATCTGGCTAGCTTTGGGGATTTCGCTGGAAGCGGGAATACATATAAAAAGCACACAGCAGCGTTCTGAGAAACTGCTTTCTGATGTTTGCATTCAAGTCAAAAGTTGAACACTCCCTTTCATAGAGCAGTCTTGAAACACCCCTTTTGTAGTATCTGGAACTGGACTTTTGGAGCGATTTCAGGGCTAAGGTGAAAAAGGAAATATCTTCCCATAAAAACTGGACAGAAGCATTCTCAGAAACTTGTTTATGCTGTATCTGCTCAACTAACAAAGTTGAACCTTTCTTTTGATAGAGCAGTTTTGAAATGCTCTTTTTGTGGAATCTGCAAGTGGATATTTGGCTAGTTTTGAGGATTTCGTTGGAAGCGGGAATTCATACAAATTGCAGACTGCAGCGTTCTGAGAAACATCTTTGTGATGTTTGTATTCAGGACACAGAGTTGAACATTCCCTATCATAGAGCAGGTTTGAATCACTCCTTTTGTAGTATCTGGAAGTGGACATTTGGAGCGCTTTCAGGCCTATGTTGGAAAAGGAAATATCTTCCCATAACAACTAGACAGAAGCATTCTCAGAAACTTATTTGAGATGTGTGTACTCAACTAAGAGAATTGAACCACCGTTTTGAAGGAGCAGTTTTGAAACACTCTTTTTCTGGAATCTGCAAGTGGATATTTGGCTAGCTTTGGGGATTTCGCTGGAAGCGGGAATACATATAAAAAGCACACAGCAGCGTTCTGAGAAACTGCTTTCTGATGTTTGCATTCAAGTCAAAAGTTGAACACTCCCTTTGATAGTGCAGTCCTGAAACACTCCTTTTGTAGTATCTGGAACTGGACTTTTGGAGCGCTTTCAGGGCTAAGGTGAAAAAGGAAATATCTTCTCATAAAAACTGGACAGAAGCATTCTCAGAAACTTGTTTATGCTGTATCTACTCAACTAACAAAGTTGAACCTTTCTTTTGATAGAGCAGTTTTGAAATGCTCTTTTTGTGGAATCTGCAAGTGGATATTTGGCTAGTTTTGAGGATTTCGTTGGAAGCGGGAATTCATACAAATTGCAGACTGCAGCGTTCTGAGAAACATCTTTGTGATGTTTGTATTCAGGACACAGAGTTGAACATTCCCTATCATAGAGCAGGTTGGAATCACTCCTTTTGTAGTATCTGGAAGTGGACATTTGGAGCGCTTTCAGGCCTATGTTGAAAAAGGAAATATCTTCCCATAACAACTAGACACAAGCATTCTCAGAAACTTGTTTGTGATGTGTGCCCTCTACTGACAGAGTTGAACCTTTCTTTTCATAGAGCAGTGTTGAAACACTCTTTTTGTAGAATCTGCAAGAGGATATTTGCATAGCTTTGAGGATTTCGTGGGAAACGGGATTGTCTTCAGGTAAAATCTAGACAGAAGCATTCTCAGAAACTTCTTTGGGATGTTTGCATTCAAGTCACAGAGTAGAACATTCCCTTTGGTAGAGTAGGTTTGAAACACTCTTTTTGTAGTATCTGGAAGTGGACATTTGGAGCGCTTTCAGGCCCATGTTGGAAAGGGAAATATCTTGCCGTAACAACTAGGCAGAAGCATTCTCAGAAACTTATTTGAGATGTGTGTACTCAACTAAGAGAATTGAACCACCGTTTTGAAGGAGCAGTTTTGAAAAACTCTTTTTCTGGAATCTGCAAGAGTATATTTGCCTAGCCTTGAGGATTTCGTTGGAAACGGGATTGTCTTCAGATAAAATCTAGACAGAAGCATTCTCAGAAACTTCTTTGGGATGTTTGCATTCAAGTCACAGAGTAGAACATTCCCTTTGGTAGAGCAGGTTTGAAACACTCTTTTTTTAGTATATGGAAGTGGACATTTGGAGCGCTTTCAGGCCTACGTTGGAAAAGGAAATATCTTCCCATAACAACTAGACAGAAGCATTCTCAGAAACTAGTTTCTGATGTGTGTCCTCAACTAACACAGTTGAACATTTCTTTAGACAGAACAGTTTTGAAACACTCTTTTTGTGGAATCTGCAAGTGGCTATTTGGCTAGATTTGAGGATTTCGTTGGAAACGGGATTACATATAAAAAGCAGTCAGCAGCATTCTCAGAAAGTTCTTTGTGATGATTGCATTCAAGTCACAGAATTGAACATTCCCTTTCACAGAGCAGGTTTGAAGCACTCTTTCTGTAGTGTGTGTAAGTGGACATTTGGAGCGCTTTCCGGCCTAAGGTGAAAAAGGACATATCTTCCCATAAAAACTAGACAGAAGCATTCCCAGAAACTTATTTGAGATGTGTGTACTCAACTAAGAGAATTGAACCACCGTTTTGAAGGAGCAGTTTGAAAACACTCTTTTTCTGGAATCTGCAAGTGGATATTTGGCTAGCTTTGGGGATTTCGCTGTAAGCGGGAATACATATAAAAAGCACACAGAAGCGTTCTGAGAAACTGCTTTCTGATGTTTGCATTCAAGTCAAAACTTGAACACTCCCTTTCATAGAGCAGTCTTGAAACACCCCTTTTGTAGTATCTGGAACTGGAAATTTGGAGCGCTTTCAGGGCTAAGGTGAAAAAGGAAATATCTTCCCATAAAAACTGGACAGAAGCATTCTCAGAAACTTATTTGAGATGTGTGTACTCAACTAAGAGAATTGAACCACCGTTTTGAAGGAGCAGTTTTGAAACACTCTTTTTCTGGAATCTGCAAGTGGATATTTGGCTAGCTTTGGGGATTTCGCTGGAAGCGGGAATACATATAAAAAGCACACAGCAGCGTTCTGAGAAACTGCTTTCTGATGTTTGCATTCAAGTCAAAAGTTGAACACTCCCTTTCATAGAGCAGTCCTGAAACACTCCTTTTGTAGTATCTGGAACTGGACTTTTGGAGCGCTTTCAGGGCTAAGGTGAAAAAGGAAATATCTTCCCATAAAAACTGGACAGAAGCATTCTCAGAAACTTGGTTATGCTGTATCTACTCAACTAACAAAGTTGAACCTTTCTTTTGATAGAGCAGTTTTGAAATGGTCTTTTTGTGGAATCTGCAAGTGGATATTTGGCTAGTTTTGAGGATTTCGTTGGAAGCGGGAATTCATACAAATTGCAGACTGCAGCGTTCTGAGAAACATCTTTGTGATGTTTGTATTCAGGACACAGAGTTGAACATTCCCTATCATAGAGCAGGTTGGAATCACTCCTTTTGTAGTATCTGGAAGTGGACATTTGGAGCGCTTTCAGGCCTATGTTGGAAAAGGAAATATCTTCCCATAACAACTAGACAGAAGCATTCTCAGAAACTTGTTGGTGATGTGTTTCCTCTACTGACAGAGTTGAACCTTTCTTTTCATAGAGCAGTTTCGAAACACTCTTTTTGTAGAATCTGCAAGAGGATATTTGCATAGCTCTGAGGATTTCGTGGGAAACGGGATTGTCTTCAGGTAAAATCTAGACAGAAGCATTCTCAGAAACTTCTTTGGGATGTTTCCATTCAAGTCACAGAGTAGAACATTCCCTTTGGTAGAGCAGGTTTGAAACACTCTTTTTGTAGTATCTGGAAGTGGACATTTGGAGCGCTTTCAGGCCCATGTTGGAAAGGGAAATATCTTCCCGTAACAACTAGGCAGAAGCATTCTCAGAAACTTATTTGAGATGTGTGTACTCAACTAAGAGAATTGAACCACCGTTTTGAAGGAGCAGTTTTGAAACACTCTTTTTCTGGAATCTGCAAGAGTATATTTGCCTAGCCTTGAGGATTTCGTTGGAAACGGGATTGTCTTCAGATAAAATCTAGACAGAAGCATTCTCAGAAACTTCTTTGGGATGTTTGCATTCAAGTCACAGAGTAGAACATTCCCTTTGGTAGAGTAGGTTTGAAACACTCTTTTTTTAGTATATGGAAGTGGACATTTGGAGCGCTTTCAGGCCTACGTTGGAAAAGGAAATATCTTCCCATAACAACTAGACAGAAGCATTCTCAGAAACTAGTTTCTGATGTGTGTCCTCAACTAACACAGTTGTACATTTCTTTAGACAGAACAGTTTTGAAACACTCTTTTTGTGGAATCTGCAAGTGGATATTTGGCTAGATTTGAGGATTTCGTTGGAAACGGGATTACATATAAAAAGCAGACAGCAGCATTCTCAGAAAGTTCTTTGTGATGATTGCATTCAAGTCACAGAATTGAACATTCCCTTTCACAGAGCAGGTTTGAAACACTCTTTTTGTAGTGTGTGTAAGTGGACATTTGGAGCGCTTTCCGGCCTAAGGTGAAAAAGGACATATCTTCCCATAAAAACTAGACAGAAGCATTCTCAGAAACTTACTCGTGATGTGTGTCCTCAACTAAAGGAGTAGAACCTTTCTATTCATAGAGAAGTTTTGAAACGCTCTTTTTGTGGAATCTCCAAGTGGATATTTGGCTAGTGTTGAGGATTTCGTAGGAAGCGGGAATTCATCCAAATTGCAGACTGCAGCGTTCTGAGAAACATCTTTGTGATGTTTGTATTCAGGACACAGAGTTGAACATTCCCTATCATAGAGCAGGTTTGAATCACTCCTTTTGTAGTATCTGGAAGTGGACATTTGGAGCGCTTTCAGGCCTATGTTGGAAAAGGAAATATCTTCCCATAACAACTAGACAGAAGCATTCTCAGAAACTTATTTGAGATGTGTCTACTCAACTAAGAGAATTGAACCACCGTTTTGAAGGAGCAGTTTTGAAACACTCTTTTTCTGGAATCTGCAAGTGGATATTTGGCTAGCTTTGGGGATTTCGCTGGAAGCGGGAATACATATAAAAAGCACACAGCAGCGTTCTGAGAAACTGCTTTCTGATGTTTGCATTCAAGTCAAAAGTTGAACACTCCCTTTCATAGAGCAGTCTTGAAACACCCCTTTTGTAGTATCTGGAACTGGACTTTTGGAGCGATTTCAGGGCTAAGGTGAAAAAGGAAATATCTTCCCATAAAAACTGGACAGAAGCATTCTCAGAAACTTGGTTATGCTGTATCTACTCAACTAACAAAGTTGAACCTTTCTTTTGATAGAGCAGTTTTGAAATGGTCTTTTTGTGGAATCTGCAAGTGGATATTTGGCTAGTTTTGAGGATTTCGTTGGAAGCGGGAATTCATACAAATTGCAGACTGCAGCGTTCTGAGAAACATCTTTGTGATGTTTGTATTCAGGACACAGAGTTGAACATTCCCTATCATAGAGCAGGTTTGAATCACTCCTTTTGTAGTATCTGGAAGTGGACATTTGGAGCGCTTTCAGGCCTATGTTGGAAAAGGAAATATCTTCCCATAACAACTAGACAGAAGCATTCTCAGAAACTTATTTGAGATGTGTGTACTCAACTAAGAGAATTGAACCACCGTTTTGAAGGAGCAGTTTTGAAACTCTCTTTTTCTGGAATCTGCAAGTGGATATTTGGCTAGCTTTGGGGATTTCGCTGGAAGCGGGAATACATATAAAAAGCACACAGCAGCGTTCTGAGAAACTGCTTTCTGATGTTTGCATTCAAGTCAAAAGTTGAACACTCCCTTTCATAGAGCAGTCCTGAAACACCCCTTTTGTAGTATCTGGAACTGGACTTTTGGAGCGATTTCAGGGCTAAGGTGAAAAAGGAAATATCTTCCCATAAAAACTGGACAGAAGCATTCTCAGAAACTTGTTTATGCTGTATCTACTCAACTAACAAAGTTGAACCTTTCTTTTGATAGAGCAGTTTTGAAATGCTCTTTTTGTGGAATCTGCAAGTGGATATTTGGCTAGTTTTGAGGATTTCGTTGGAAGCGGGAATTCATACAAATTGCAGACTGCAGCGTTCTGAGAAACATCTTTGTGATGTTTGTATTCAGGACAGAGAGTTGAACATTCCCTATCATAGAGCAGGTTGGAATCACTCCTTTTGTAGTATCTGGAAGTGGACATTTGGAGCGCTTCAGGCCTATGTTGAAAAAGGAAATATCTTCCCATAACAACTAGACACAAGCATTCTCAGAAACTTGTTTGTGATGTGTGCCCTCTACTGACAGAGTTGAACCTTTCTTTTCATAGAGCAGTTTTGAAACACTCTTTTTGTAGAATCTGCAAGAGGATATTTGCATAGCTTTGAGGATTTCGTGGGAAACGGGATTGTCTTCAGGTAAAATCTAGACAGAAGCATTCTCAGAAACTTCTTTGGGATGTTTGCATTCAAGTCACAGAGTAGAACATTCCCTTTGGTAGAGCAGGTTTGAAACACTCTTTTTGTAGTATCTGGAAGTGGACATTTGGAGCGCTTTCAGGCCTATGTTGGAAAGGGAAATATCTTCCCGTAACAACTAGGCAGAAGCATTCTCAGAAACTTATTTGAGATGTGTGTACTCAACTAAGAGAATTGAACCACCGTTTTGAAGGAGCAGTTTTGAAACACTCTTTTTCTGGAATCTGCAAGAGTATATTTGCCTAGCCTTGAGGATTTCGTTGGAAACGGGATTGTCTTCAGATAAAATCTAGACAGAAGCATTCTCAGAAACTTCTTTGGGATGTTTGCATTCAAGTCACAGAGTAGAACATTCCCTTTGGTAGAGCAGGTTTGAAACACTCTTTTTTTAGTATATGGAAGTGGACATTTGGAGCGCTTTCAGGCCTACGTTGGAAAAGGAAATATCTTCCCATAACAACTAGACAGAAGCATTCTCAGAAACTAGTTTCTGATGTGTGTCCTCAACTAACACAGTTGTACATTTCTTTAGACAGAACAGTTTTGAAACACTCTTTTTGTGGAATCTGCAAGTGGATATTGGGCTAGATTTGAGGATTTCGTTGGAAACGGGATTATATATAAAAAGCAGTCAGCAGCATTCTCAGAAAGTTCTTTGTGATGATTGTATTCAAGTCACAGAATTGAACATTCCCTTTCATAGAGCAGGTTTGAAACACTCTTTTTGTAGTGTGTGTAAGTGGACATTTGGAGCGCTTTCCGGCCTAAGGTGAAAAAGGACATATCTTCCCATAAAAACTAGACAGAAGCATTCTCAGAAACTTACTCGTGATGTGTGTCCTCACCTAAAGGAGTAGAACCTTTCTATTCATAGAGAAGTTTTGAAACGCTCTTTTTGTGGAATCTCCAAGTGGATATTTGGCTAGTGTTGAGGATTTCGTTGGAAGCGGGAATTCATACAAATTGCAGACTGCAGCGTTCTGAGAAACATCTTTGTGATGTTTGTATTCAAGACACAGAGATGAACATTCCCTATCATAGAGCAGGTTGGAATCACTCCTTTTGTAGTATCTGGAAGTGGACATTTGGAGCGCTTTCAGGCCTATGTTGAAAAAGGAAATATCTTCCCATAACAACTAGACACAAGCATTCTCAGAAACTTATTTGAGATGTGTGTACTCAACTAAGAGAATTGAACCACCGTTTTGAAGGAGCAGTTTTGAAACACTCTTTTTCTGGAATCTGCAAGTGGATATCTGGCTAGCTTTGGGGATTTCGCTGGAAGCGGGAATACATATAAAAAGCACACAGCAGCGTTCTGAGAAAACTGCTTTCTGATGTTTGCATTCAAGTCAAAAGTTGAACACTCCCTTTCATAGGGCAGTCCTGAAACACCCCTTTTGTAGTATCTGGAACTGGACTTTTGGAGCGATTTCAGGGCTAAGGTGAAAAAGGAAATATCTTCCCATAAAAACTGGACAGAAGCATTCTCAGAAACTTGTTTATGCTGTATCTACTCAACTAACAAAGTTGAACCTTTCTTTTGATAGAGCAGTTTTGAAATGGTCTTTTTGTGGAATCTGCAAGTGGATATTTGGCTAGTTTTGAGGATTTCGTTGGAAGCGGGAATTCATACAAATTGCAGACTGCAGCGTTCTGAGAAACACCTTTGTGATGTTTGTATTCAAGACACAGAGATGAACATTCCCTATCATAGAGCAGGTTGGAATCACTCCTTTTGTAGTATCTGGAAGTGGACATTTGGAGGGCTTTCAGGCCTATGTTGAAAAAGGAAATATCTTCCCATAACAACTAGACACAAGCATTCTCAGAAACTTGTTTGTGATGTGTGCCCTCTACTGACAGAGTTGAACCTTTCTTTTCATAGAGCAGTTTTGAAACACTCTTTTTGTAGAATCCGCAAGAGGATATTTGCATCGCTTTGAGGATTTCGTGGGAAACGGGATTGTCTTCAGGTAAAATCTAGACAGAAGCATTCTCAGAAACTTCTTTGGGATGTTTGCATTCAAGTCACAGAGTAGAACATTCCCTTTGGTAGAGCAGGTTTGAAACACTCTTTTTGTAGTATCTGGAAGTGGACATTTGGAGCGCTTTCAGGCCCATGTTGGAAAGGGAAATATCTTCCCGTAACAACTAGGCAGAAGCATTCTCAGAATCTTATTTGAGATGTGTGTACTCAACTAAGAGAGTTGAACCACCGTTTTGAAGGAGCAGTTTTGAAACACTCTTTTTCTGGAATCTGCAAGAGTATATTTGCCTAGCCTTGACGATTTCGTTGGAAACGGGATTGTCTTCAGATCAAATCTAGACAGAAGCATTCTCAGAAACTTCTTTGGGATGTTTGCATTCAAGTCACAGAGTAGAACATTCCCTTTGGTAGAGCAGGTTTGAAACACTCTTTTTGTAGTGTGTGTAAGTGGACATTTGGAGCGCTTTCAGGCCTACGTTGGAAAAGGAAATATCTTCCCATAACAACTAGACAGAAGCATTCTCAGAAACTAGTTTCTGATGTGTGTCCTCAACTAACACAGTTGAACATTTCTTTAGACAGAACAGTTTTGAAACACTCTTTTTGTGGAATCTGCAAGTGGCTATTTGGCTAGATTTGAGGATTTCGTTGGAAACGGGATTACATATAAAAAGCAGTCAGCAGCATTCTCAGAAAGTTCTTTGTGATGATTGCATTCAAATCACAGAATTGAACATTCCCTTTCACAGAGGAGGTTTGAAACACTCTTTTTGTAGTGTGTGTAAGTGGACATTTGGAGCGCTTTCCGGCCTAAGGTGAAAAAGGAAATATCTTCCCATAAAAACTAGACAGAAGCATTCTCAGAAACTTACTCGTGATGTGTGTCCTCAACTAAAGTAGTAGAACCTTTCTTTTCATAGAGAAGTTTTGAAACGCTCTTTTTGTGGAATCTGCAAGTGGATATTTGGCTAGTTTTGAGGATTTCGTTGGAAGCGGGAATTCATACAAATTGCAGACTGCAGCGTTCTGAGAAACATCTTTGTGATGTTTGTATTCAGGACACAGAGTTGAACATTCCCTATCATAGAGCAGGTTGGAATCACTCCTTTTGTAGTATCTGGAAGTGGACATTTGGAGCGCTTTCAGGCCTATGTTGGAAAAGGAAATATCTTCCCATAACAACTAGACAGAAGCATTCTCAGAAACTTATTTGAGATGTGTGTACTCAACTAAGAGAATTGAACCACCGTTTTGAAGGAGCAGTTTTGAAACTCTCTTTTTCTGGAATCTGCAAGTGGATATTTGGCTAGCTTTGGGGATTTCGCTGGAAGCGGGAATACATATAAAAAGCACACAGCAGCGTTCTGAGAAACTGCTTTCTGATGTTTGCATTCAAGTCAAAAGTTGAACACTCCCTTTCATAGAGCAGTCCTGAAACACTCCTTTTGTAGTATCTGGAACTGGACTTTTGGAGCGCTTTCAGGGCTAAGGTGAAAAAGGAAATATCTTCCCATAAAAACTGGACAGAAGCATTCTCAGAAACTTGTTTATGCTGTATCTACTCAACTAACAAAGTTGAACCTTTCTTTTGATAGAGCAGTTTTGAAATGCTCTTTTTGTGGAATCTGCAAGTGGATATTTGGCTAGTTTTGAGGATTTCGTTGGAAGCGGGAATTCATACAAATTGCAGACTGCAGCGTTCTGAGAAACATCTTTGTGATGTTTGTATTCAGGACACAGAGTTGAACATTCCCTATCATAGAGCAGGTTTGAATCACTCCTTTTGTAGTATCTGGAAGTGGACATTTGGAGCACTTTCAGGCCTATGTTGGAAAAGGAAATATCTTCCCATAACAACTAGACAGAAGCATTCTCAGAAACTTGTTGGTGATGTGTTTCCTCTACTGACAGAGTTGAACCTTTCTTTTCATAGAGCAGTTTCGAAACACTCTTTTTGTAGAATCTGCAAGAGGATATTTGCATAGCTCTGAGGATTTCGTGGGAAACGGGATTGTCTTCAGGTAAAACCTAGACAGAAGCATTCTCAGAAACTTCTTCGGGATGTTTGCATTCAAGTCACAGAGTAGAACATTCCCTTTGGTAGAGCAGGTTTGAAACACTCTTTTTGTCGTATCTGGAAGTGGACATTTGTTGCGCTTTCAGGCCTATGTTGGAAAGGGAAATATCTTCCCGTAACAACTAGGCAGAAGCATTCTCAGAAACTTATTTGAGATGTGTGTACTCAACTAAGAGAATTGAACCACCGTTTTGAAGGAGCAGTTTGGAAACACTCTTTTTCTGGAATCTGCAAGAGGATATTTGCCTAGCTTTGAGGATTTCGTTGGAAAAGGGATTGTCTTCAGATCAAATCTAGACAGAAGCATTCTCAGAAACTTCTTTGGGATGTTTGCATTCAAGTCACAGAGTAGAACATTCCCTTTGGTAGAGCAGGTTTGAAACACTCTTTTTTTAGTATATGGAAGTGGACATTTGGAGCGCTTTCAGGCCTACGTTGGAAAAGGAAATATCTTCCCATAACAACTAGACAGAAGCATTCTCAGAAACTAGTTTCTGATGTGTGTCCTCAACTAACACAGTTGTACATTTCTTTAGACAGAACAGTTTTGAAACACTCTTTTTGTGGAATCTGCAAGTGGATATTGGGCTAGATTTGAGGATTTCGTTGGAAACGGGATTACATATAAAAAGCAGTCAGCAGCATTCTCAGAAAGTTCTTTGTGATGATTGCATTCAAGTCACAGAATTGAACATTCCCTTTCACAGAGCAGGTTTGAAACACTCTTTTTGTAGTGTGTGTAAGTGGACATTTGGAGCGCTTTCCGGCCTAAGGTGAAAAAGGACATATCTTCCCATAAAAATTAGACAGAAGCATTCTCAGAAACTTACTCGTGATGTGTGTCCTCAACTAAAGGAGTAGAACCTTTCTTTTCATAGAGAAGTTTTGAAACGCTCTTTTTGTGGAATCTGCAAGTGGATATTTGGCTAGTTTGGAGGATTTCGTTGGAAGCGGGAATTCATACAAATTGCAGACTGCAGCGTTCTGAGAAACATCTTTGTGATGTTTGTATTCAGGACACAGAGTTGAACATTCCCTATCATAGAGCAGGTTGGAATCACTCCTTTTGTAGTATCTGGAAGTGGACATTTGGAGCGCTTTCAGGCCTATGTTGGAAAAGGAAATATCTTCCCATAACAACTAGACAGAAGCATTCTCAGAAACTTATTTGAGATGTGTGTACTCAACTAAGAGAATTGAACCACCGTTTTGAAGGAGCAGTTTTGAAACTCTCTTTTTCTGGAATCTGCAAGTGGATATTTGGCTAGCTTTGGGGATTTCGCTGGAAGCGGGAATACATATAAAAAGCACACAGCAGCGTTCTGAGAAACTGCTTTCTGATGTTTGCATTCAAGTCAAAAGTTGAACACTCCCTTTCATAGAGCAGTCCTGAAACACCCCTTTTGTAGTATCTGGAACTGGACTTTTGGAGCGATTTCAGGGCTAAGGTGAAAAAGGAAATATCTTCCCATAAAAACTGGACAGAAGCATTCTCAGAAACTTGTTTATGCTGTATCTACTCAACTAACAAAGTTGAACCTTTCTTTTGATAGAGCAGTTTTGAAATGGTCTTTTTGTGGAATCTGCAAGTGGATATTTGGCTAGTTTTGAGGATTTCGTTGGAAGCGGGAATTCATACAAATTGCAGACTGCAGCGTTCTGAGAAACATCTTTGTGATGTTTGTATTCAGGACACAGAGTTGAACATTCCCTATCATAGAGCAGGTTGGGATCACTCCTTTTGTAGTATCTGGAAGTGGACATTTGGAGCGCTTTCAGGCCTATGTTGAAAAAGGAAAAATCTTCCCATAACAACTAGACAGAAGCATTCTCAGAAACTTGTTGGTGATGTGTTTCCTCTACTGACAGAGTTGAACCTTTCTTTTCATAGAGCAGTTTCGAAACACTCTTTTTGTAGAATCTGCAAGAGGATATTTGCATAGCTCTGAGGATTTCGTGGGAAACGGGATTGTCTTCAGGTAAAACCTAGACAGAAGCATTCTCAGAAACTTCTTTGGGATGTTTGCATTCAAGTCACAGAGTAGAACATTCCCTTTGGTAGAGCAGGTTTGAAACACTCTTTTTGTAGTATCTGGAAGTGGACATTTGGAGCGCTTTCAGGCCCATGTTGGAAAGGGAAATATCTTCCCGTAACAACTAGGCAGAAGCATTCTCAGAAACTTATTTGAGATGTGTGTACTCAACTAAGAGAATTGAACCACCGTTTTGAAGGAGCAGTTTTGAAACACTCTTTTTCTGGAATCTGCAAGAGTATATTTGCCTAGCCTTGAGAATTTCGTTGGAAACGGGATTGTCTTCAGATCAAATCTAGACAGAAGCATTCTCAGAAACTTCTTTGGGATGTTTGCATTCAAGTCACAGAGTAGAACATTCCCTTTGGTAGAGCAGGTTTGAAACACTCTTTTTTTAGTATATGGAAGTGGACATTTGGAGCGCTTTCAGGCCTACGTTGGAAAAGGAAATATCTTCCCATAACAACTAGACAGAAGCATTCTCAGAAACTAGTTTCTGATGTGTGTCCTCAACTAACACAGTTGTACATTTCTTTAGACAGAACAGTTTTGAAACACTCTTTTTGTGGAATCTGCAAGTGGATACTGGGCTAGATTTGAGGATTTCGTTGGAAACGGGATTACATATAAAAAGCAGACAGCAGCATTCTCAGAAAGTTCTTTGTGATGATTGCATTCAAGTCACAGAATTGAACATTCCCTTTCACAGAGCAGGTTTGAAACACTCTTTTTGTAGTGTGTGTAAGTGGACATTTGGAGCGCTTTCCGGCCTAAGGTGAAAAAGGACATATCTTCCCATAAAAACTAGACAGAAGCATTCTCAGAAACTTACTCGTGATGTGTGTCCTCAACTAAAGGAGTAGAACCTTTCTATTCATGGAGAAGTTTTGAAACGCTCTTTTTGTGGAATCTCCAAGTGGATATTTGGCTAGTTTTGAGGATTTCGTTGGAAGCGGGAATTCATACAAATTGCAGACTGCAGCATTCTCAGAAACTTATTTGAGATGTGTGTACTCAACTAAGAGAATTGAACCACCGTTTTGAAGGAGCAGTTTTGAAACCCTCTTTTTCTGGAATCTGCAAGTGGATATTTGGCTAGCTTTGGGGATTTCGCTGGAAGCGGGAATACATATAAAAAGCACACAGCAGCATTCTCAGAAACTTATTTGAGATGTGTGTACTCAACTAAGAGAATTGAACCACCGTTTTGAAGGAGCAGTTTTGAAACACTCTTTTTCTGGAATCTGCAAGTGGATATTTGGCTAGCTTTGGGGATTTCGCTGGAAGCGGGAATACATATAAAAAGCACACAGCAGCGTTCTGAGAAACTGCTTTCTGATGTTTGCATTCAAGTCAAAAGTTGAACACTCCCTTTCATAGAGCAGTCTTGAAACACCCCTTTTGTAGTATCTGGAACTGGACTTTTGGAGCGATTTCAGGGCTAAGGTGAAAAAGGAAATATCTTCCCATAAAAACTGGACAGAAGCATTCTCAGAAACTTGTTTATGCTGTATCTACTCAACTAACAAAGTTGAACCTTTCTTTTGATAGAGCAGTTTTGAAATGGTCTTTTTGTGGAATCTGCAAGTGGATATTTGGCTAGTTTTGAGGATTTCGTTGGAAGCGGGAATTCATACAAATTGCAGACTGCAGCGTTCTGAGAAACATCTTTGTGATGTTTGTATTCAGGACAGAGAGTTGAACATTCCCTATCATAGAGCAGGTTGGAATCACTCCTTTTGTAGTATCTGGAAGTGGACATTTGGAGCGCTTTCAGGCCTATGTTGAAAAAGGAAATATCTTCCCATAACAACTAGACACAAGCATTCTCAGAAACTTGTTTGTGATGTGTGCCCTCTAGTGACAGAGTTGAACCTTTCTTTTCATAGAGCAGTTTTGAAACACTCTTTTTGTAGAATCTGCAAGAGGATATTTGCATAGCTTTGAGGATTTCGTGGGAAACGGGATTGTCTTCAGGTAAAATCTAGACAGAAGCATTCTCAGAAACTTCTTTGGGATGTTTGCATTCAAGTCACAGAGTAGAACATTCCCTTTGCTAGAGCAGGTTTGAAACACTCTTTTTGTAGTATCTGGAAGTGGACATTTGGAGCGCTTTCAGGCCTATGTTGGAAAGGGAAATATCTTCCCGTAACAACTAGGCAGAAGCATTCTCAGAAACTTATTTGAGATGTGTGTACTCAACTAAGAGAATTGAACCACCGTTTTGAAGGAGCAGTTTTGAAACACTCTTTTTCTGGAATCTGCAAGAGGATATTTGCCTAGCCTTGAGGATTTCGTTGGAAACGGGATTGTCTTCAGATCAAATCTAGACAGAAGCATTCTCAGAAACTTCTTTGGGATGCTTGCATTCAAGTCACAGAGTAGAACATTCCCTTTGGTAGAGCAGGTTTGAAACACTCTTTTTGTAGTATCTGGAAGTGGACATTTGGAGCGCTTTCAGGCCTACGTTGGAAAAGGAAATATCTTCCCATAACAACTAGACAGAAGCATTCTCAGAAACTAGTTTCTGATGTGTGTCCTCAACTAACACAGTTGAACATTTCTTTAGACAGAACAGTTTTGAAACACTCTTTTTGTGGAATCTGCAAGTGGCTATTTGGCTAGATTTGAGGATTTCGTTGGAAACGGGATTACATATAAAAAGCAGACAGCAGCATTCTCAGAAAGTTCTTTGTGATGATTGCATTCAAGTCACAGAATTGAACATTCCCTTTCACAGAGCAGGTTTGAAACACTCTTTTTGTAGTGTGTGTAAGTGGACATTTGGAGCACTTTCCGGCCTAAGGTGAAAAAGGAAATATCTTCCCATAAAAACTAGACAGAAGCATTCTCAGAAACTTACTCGTGATGTGTGTCCTCAACTAAAGGAGTAGAACCTTTCTATTCATAGAGAAGTTTTGAAACGCTCTTTTTGTGGAATCTCCAAGTGGATATTTGGCTAGTTTTGAGGATTTCGTTGGAAGCGGGAATTCATACAAATTGCAGACTGCAGCGTTCTGAGAAACATCTTTGTGATGTTTGTATTCAGGACACAGAGTTGAACATTCCCTATCATAGAGCAGGTTTGAATCACTCCTTTTGTAGTATCTGGAAGTGGACATTTGGAGCGCTTTCAGGCCTATGTTGGAAAAGGAAATATTTTCCCATAACAACTAGACAGAAGCATTCTCAGAAACTTATTTGAGATGTGTGTACTCAACTAAGAGAATTGAACCACCGTTTTGAAGGAGCAGTTTTGAAACACTCTTTTTCTGGAATCTGCAAGTGGATATTTGGCTAGCTTTGGGGATTTCGCTGGAGGCGGGAATACATATAAAAAGCACACAGCAGCGTTCTGAGAAACTGCTTTCTGATGTTTGCATTCAAGTCAAAAGTTGAACACTCCCTTTCATAGAGCAGTCTTGAAACACCCCTTTTGTAGTATCTGGAACTGGACTTTTGGAGCGATTTCAGGGCTAAGGTGAAAAAGGAAATATCTTCCCATAAAAACTGGACAGAAGCATTCTCAGAAACTTGGTTATGCTGTATCTACTCAACTAACAAAGTTGAACCTTTCTTTTGATAGAGCAGTTTTGAAATGGTCTTTTTGTGGAATCTGCAAGTGGATATTTGGCTAGTTTTGAGGATTTCGTTGGAAGCGGGAATTCATACAAATTGCAGACTGCAGCGTTCTGAGAAACATCTTTGTGATGTTTGTATTCAGGACACAGAGTTGAACATTCCCTATCATAGAGCAGGTTGGAATCACTCCTTTTGTAGTATCTGGAAGTGGACATTTGGAGCGCTTTCAGGCCTATTTTGGAAAGGGAAATATCTTCCCGTAACAACTATGCAGAAGCATTCTCAGAAACTTGTTTGTGATGTGTGCCCTCTACTGACAGAGTTGAACCTTTCTTTTCATAGAGCAGTTTTGAAACACTCTTTTTGTAGAATCCGCAAGAGGATATTTGCATAGCTTTGAGGATTTCGTGGGAAACGGGATTGTCTTCAGGTAAAATCTAGACAGAAGCATTCTCAGAAACTTCTTTGGGATGTTTGCATTCAAGTCACAGAGTAGAACATTCCCTTTGGTAGAGCAGGTTTGAAACACTCTTTTTGTAGTATCTGGAAGTGGACATTTGGAGCGCTTTCAGGCCTATGTTGGAAAGGGAAATATCTTCCCGTAACAACTAGGCAGAAGCATGCTCAGAAACTTATTTGAGATGTGTGTACTCAACTAAGAGAATTGAACCACCGTTTTGAAGGAGCAGTTTTGAAACACTCTTTTTCTGGAATCTGCAAGAGTATATTTGCCTAGCTTTGAGGATTTCGTTGGAAACGGGATTGTCTTCCGATAAAATCTAGACAGAAGCATTCTCAGAAACTTCTTTGGGATGTTTGCATTCAAGTCACAGAGTAGAACATTACCTTTGGTAGAGCAGGTTTGAAACACTCTTTTTTTAGTATATGGGAGTGGACATTTGGAGCGCTTTCAGGCCTACGTTGGAAAAGGAAATATCTTCCCATAAAAACTAGACAGAAGCATTCTCAGAAACTAGTTTCTGATGTGTGTCCTCAACTAACACAGTTGAACTTTTCTTTAGACAGAACAGTTTTGAAACACTCTTTTTGTGGAATCTGCAAGTGGATATTTGGCTAGATTTGAGGATTTCGTTGGAAACGGGATTACATATAAAAAGCAGACAGCAGCATTCTCAGAAAGTTCTTTGTGATGATTGCATTCAAGTCACAGAATTGAACATTCCCTTTCACAGAGCAGGTTTGAGACACTCTTTTTGTAGTGTGTGTAAGTGGACATTTGGGGCGCTTTCCGGCCTAAGGTGAAAAAGGAAATATCTTCCCATAAAAACTAGACAGAAGCATTCTCAGAAACTTACTCGTGATGTGTGTCCTCAACTAAAGGAGTAGAACCTTTCTATTCATAGAGAAGTTTTGAAACGCTCTTTTTGTGGAATCTCCAAGTGGATATTTGGCTAGTTTTGAGGATTTCGTTGGAAGCGGGAATTCATACAAATTGCAGACTGCAGCATTCTCAGAAACTTGTTTATGCTGTATCTACTCAACTAACAAAGTTGAACCTTTCTTTTGATAGAGCAGTTTTGAAATGGTCTTTTTGTGGAATCTGCAAGTGGATATTTGGCTAGTTTTGAGGATTTCGTTGGAAGCTGGAATTCATACAAATTGCAGACTGCAGCGTTCTGAGAAACATCTTTGTGATGTTTGTATTCAGGACAGAGAGTTGAACATTCCCTATCATAGAGCAGGTTGGAATCACTCCTTTTGTAGTATCTGGAAGTGGACATTTGGAGCGCTTTCAGGCCTATGTTGAAAAAGGAAATATCTTCCCATAACAACTAGACACAAGCATTCTCAGAAACTTGTTTGTGATGTGTGCCCTCTACTGACAGAGTTGAACCTTTCTTTTCATAGAGCAGTTTTGAAACACTCTTTTTGTAGAATCTGCAAGAGGATATTTGCATAGCTTTGAGGATTTCGTGGGAAACGGGATTGTCTCAGGAAAAATCTAGACAGAAGCATTCTCAGAAACTTCTTTGGGATGTTTGCATTCAAGTCACAGAGTAGAACATTCCCTTTGGTAGAGCAGGTTTGAAACACTCTTTTTGTAGTATCTGGAAGTGGACATTTGGAGCGCTTTCAGGCCTATGTTGGAAAGGGAAATATCTTCCCGTAACAACTAGGCAGAAGCATTCTCAGAAACTTATTTGAGATGTGTGTACTCAACTAAGAGAATTGAACCACCGTTTTGAAGGAGCAGTTTTGAAACACTCTTTTTCTGGAATCTGCAAGAGTATATTTTCCTAGCCTTGAGGATTTCGTTGGAAACGGGATTGTCTTCAGATAAAATCTAGACAGAAACATTCTCAGAAACTTCTTTGGGATGCTTGCATTCCAGTCACAGAGTAGAACATTCCCTTTGGTAGAGCAGGTTTGAAACACTCTTTTTGTAGTATCTGGAAGTGGACATTTGGAGCGCTTTCAGGCCTACGTTGGAAAAGGAAATATCTTCCCATAACAACTAGACAGAAGCATTCTCAGAAACTACTTTCTGATATGTGTCCTCAACTAACACAGTTGAACTTTTCTTTAGACAGAACAGTTTTGAAACACTCTTTTTGTGGAATCTGCAAGTGGATATTGGGCTAGATTTGAGGATTTCGTTGGAAACGGGATTACATATAAAAAGCAGACAGCAGCATTCTCAGAAAGTTCTTTGTGATGATTGCATTCAAGTCACAGAATTGAACATTCCCTTTCACAGAGCAGGTTTGAAACACTCTTTTTGTAGTGTGTGTAAGTGGACATTTGGAGCGCTTTCCGGCCTAAGGTGAAAAAGGAAATATCTTCCCATAAAAACTAGACAGAAGCATTCTCAGAAACTTACTCGTGATGTGTGTCCTCAACTAAAGGAGTAGAACCTTTCTATTCATGGAGAAGTTTTGAAACGCTCTTTTTGTGGAATCTCCAAGTGGATATTTGGCTAGTTTTGAGGATTTCGTTGGAAGCGAGAATTCATACAAATTGCAGACTGCAGCATTCTCAGAAACTTGTTTATGCTGTATCTACTCTACTAAAAAAGTTGAACCTTTCTTTTGATAGAGCAGTTTTGAAATGCTCTTTTTGTGGAATCTGCAAGTGGATATTTGGCTAGATTTGAGGATTTCGTTGGAAGCTGGAATACATACAAATTGCAGACTGCAGCGTTCTGAGAAACATCTTTGTGATGTTTGTATTCAGGACACAGAGTTGAACATTCCCTATCATAGAGCAGGTTGGAATCACTCCTTTTGTAGTATCTGGAAGTGGACATTTGGAGCGCTTTCTGGCCTATGTTGAAAAAGGAAATATCTTCCCATAACAACTAGACACAAGCATTCTCAGAAACTTGTTTGTGATGTGTGCCCTCTACTGACAGAGTTGAACCTTTCTTTTCATAGAGCAGTTTTGAAACACTCTTTTTGTAGAATCTGCAAGAGGATATTTGCATAGCTTTGAGGATTTCGTGGGAAACGGGATTGTCTTCAGGTAAAATCTAGACAGAAGCATTCTCAGAAACTTCTTTGGGATGTTTGCATTCAAGTCACAGAGTAGAACATTCCCTTTGGTAGAGCAGGTTTGAAACACTCTTTTTTTAGTATATGGAAGTGGACATTTGGAGCGCTTTCAGGCCTACGTTGGAAAAGGAAATATCTTCCCATAACAACTAGACAGAAGCATTCTCAGAAACTAGTTTCTGATGTGTGTCCTCAACTAACACAGTTGAACATTTCTTTAGACAGAACAGTTTTGAAACACTCTTTTTGTGGAATCTGCAAGTGGCTATTTGGCTAGATTTGAGGATTTCGTTGGAAACGGGATTACATATAAAAAGCAGACAGCAGCATTCTCAGAAAGTTCTTTGTGATGATTGCATTCAAGTCACAGAATTGAACATTCCCTTTCACAGAGCAGGTTTGAAACACTCTTTTTGTAGTGTGTGTAAGTGGACATTTGGAGCGCTTTCCGGCCTAAGGTGAAAAAGGACATATCTTCCCATAAAAACTAGACAGAAGCATTCTCAGAAACTTACTCGTGATGTGTGTCCTCAACTAAAGGAGTAGAACCTTTCTATTCATAGAGAAGTTTTGAAACCCTCTTTTTGTGGAATCTCCAAGTGGATATTTGGCTAGTTTTGAGGATTTCGTTGGAAGCGGGAATTCATACAAATTGCAGACTGCAGCGTTCTGAGAAACGTCTTTGTGATGTTTGTATTCAGGACACAGAGTTGAACATTCCCTATCATAGAGCAGGTTGGAATCACTCCTTTTGTAGTATCTGGAAGTGGACATTTGGAGCGCTTTCAGGCCTATGTTGAAAAAGGAAATATCTTCCCATAACAACTAGACAGAAGCATTCTCAGAAACTTATTTGAGATGTGTGTACTCAACTAAGAGAATTGAACCACCGTTTTGAAGGAGCAGTTTTGAAACTCTCTTTTTCTGGAATCTGCAAGTGGATATTTGGCTAGCTTTGGGGATTTCGCTGGAAGCGGGAATACATATAAAAAGCACACAGCAGCGGTTCTGAGAAACTGCTTTCTGATGTTTGCATTCAAGTCAAAAGTTGAACACTCCCTTTCATAGAGCAGTCCTGAAACACTCCTTTTGTAGTATCTGGAACTGGACTTTTGGAGCGCTTTCAGGGCTAAGGTGAAAAAGGAAATATCTTCCCATAAAAACTGGACAGAAGCATTCTCAGAAACTTGGTTATGCTGTATCTACTCAACTAACAAAGTTGAACCTTTCTTTTGATAGAGCAGTTTTGAAATGGTCTTTTTGTGGAATCTGCAAGTGGATATTTGGCTAGTTTTGAGGATTTCGTTGGAAGCGGGAATTCATACAAATTGCAGACTGCAGCGTTCTGAGAAACATCTTTGAAATGTTTGTATTCAAGACACAGAGATGAACATTCCCTATCATAGAGCATATTGGAATCACTCCTTTTGTAGTATCTGGAAGTGGACATTTGGAGCGCTTTCAGGCCTATGTTGAAAAAGGAAATATCTTCCCATAACAACTAGACACAAGCATTCTCAGAAACTTGTTTGTGATGTGTGCCTTCTACTGACACAGTTGAACCTTTCTTTTCATAGAGCAGTTTCGAAACACTCTTTTTGTAGAATCTGTAAGAGGATATTTGCATAGCTTTGAGGATTTCGTAGGAAACGGGATTGTCTTCACGTAAAATCTAGACAGAAGAATTCTCAGAAACTTCTTTGGGATGTTTGCATTCAAGTCACAGAGTAGAATATTCACTTTGGTAGAGCAGGTTTGAAACACTGTTTTTATAGTGTGTGTAAGTGGACATTTGGAGCGCTTTCAGGCCTACGTTGGAAAAGGAAATATCTTCCCATAACAACTAGACAGAAGCATTCTCAGAAACTAGTTTCTGATGTGTGTCCTCAACTAACACAGTTGAACATTTCTTTAGACAGAACAGTTTTGAAACACTCTTTTTGTGGAATCTGCAAGTGGATATTTGGCTAGATTTGAGGATTTCGTTGGAAACGGGATTACATATTAAAAGCAGACAGCAGCATTCTCAGAAACTTCTTTGTGATGATTGCATTCAAGTCACAGAATTGAACATTCCCTTTCACAGAGCAGGTTTGAAACACTCTTTTTGTAGTGTGTGTAAGTGGACATTTGGAGCGCTTTTCGGCCTAAGGTGAAAAAGAAAATATCTTCCCATAAAAATTAGACAGAAGCATTCTCAGAAACTTACTCGTGATGTGTGTCCTCAACTAAAGGAGTAGAACCTTTCTTTTCATAGAGAAGTTTTGAAACGCTCTTTTTGTGGAATCTGCAAGTGGATATTTGGCTAGTTTGGAGGATTTCGTTGGAAGCGGGAATTCATACAAATTGCAGACTGCAGCGTTCTGAGAAACATCTTTGTGATGTTTGTATTCAGGACACAGAGTTGAACATTCCCTATCATAGAGCAGGTTTGAATCACTCCTTTTCTATTATCTGGAAGTGGACATTTGGAGCGCTTTCAGGCCTATGTTGGAAAAGGAAATATCTTCCCATAACAACTAGACAGAAGCATTCTCAGAAACTTATTTGAGATGTGTGTACTCAACTAAGAGAATTGAACCACCGTTTTGAAGGAGCAGTTTTGAAACTCTCTTTTTCTGGAATCTGCAAGTGGATATTTGGCTAGCTTTGGGGATTTCGCTGGAAGCGGGAATACATATAAAAAGCACACAGCAGCGTTCTGAGAAACTGCTTTCTGATGTTTGCATTCAAGTCAAAAGTTGAACACTCCCTTTCATAGAGCAGTCTTGAAACACCCCTTTTGTAGTATCTGGAACTGGACTTTTGGAGCGATTTCAGGGCTAAGGTGAAAAAGGAAATATCTTCCCATAAAAACTGGACAGAAGCATTCTCAGAAACTTGGTTATGCTGTATCTACTCAACTAACAAAGTTGAACCTTTCTTTTGATAGAGCAGTTTTGAAATGGTCTTTTTGTGGAATCTGCAAGTGGATATTTGGCTAGTTTTGAGGATTTCGTTGGAAGCGGGAATTCATACAAATTGCAGACTGCCAGCGTTCTGAGAAACATCTTTGTGATGTTTGTATTCAGGACACAGCAGATGAACATTCCCTATCATAGAGCAGGTTGGAATCACTCCTTTTGTAGTATCTGGAAGTGGACATTTGGAGCGCTTTCAGGCCTATGTTGAAAAAGGAAATATCTTCCCATAACAACTAGACACAGCATTCTCAGAAACTTGTTTGTGATGTGTGCCTTCTACTAACACAGTTGAACCTTTCTTTTCATAGAGCAGTTTCGAAACACTCTTTTTGTAGAATCTGCAAGAGGATATTTGCATAGATTTGAGGATTTCGTGGGAAACGGGATTGTCTTCAGGTAAAATCTAGACAGAAGCATTCTCAGAAACTTCTTTGGGATGTTTGCATTCAAGTCACAGAGTAGAACATTCCATTTGGTAGAGCAGGTTTGAAACACTCTTTTTGTAGTGTGTGTAAGTGGACATTTGGAGCGCTTTCAGGCCTACGTTGGAAAAGGAAATATCTTCCCATAACAACTAGACAGAAGCATTCTCAGAAACTAGTTTCTGATGTGTGTCCTCAACTAACACAGTTGAACATTTCTTTAGACAGAACAGTTTTGAAACACTCTTTTTGTGGAAACTGCAAGTGGATATTTGGCTAGATTTGAGGATTTCATTGGAAACGGGATTACATATAAAAAGCAGACAGCAGCATTCTCAGAAAGTTCTTTGTGATGATTGCATTCAAGTCACAGAATTGAACATTCCCTTTCACAGAGCAGGTTTGAAACACTCTTTTTGTAGTGTGTGTAAGTGGACATTTGGAGCGCTTTCCGGCCTAAGGTGAAAAAGGACATATCTTCCCATAAAAACTAGACAGAAGCATTCTCAGAAACTTACTCGTGATGTGTGTCCTCAACTAAAGGAGTAGAACCTTTCTATTCATAGAGAAGTTTTGAAACGCTCTTTTTGTGGAATCTCCAAGTGGATATTTGGCTAGTTTTGAGGATTACGTTGGAAGCGGGAATTCAAACAAATTGCAGACTGCAGCGTTCTGAGAAACATCTTTGTGATGTTTGTATTCAGGACACAGAGTTGAACATTCCCTATCATAGAGCAGGTTGGAATCACTCCTTTTGTAGTATCTGGAAGTGGACATTTGGAGCGCTTTCAGGCCTATGTTGGAAAAGGAAATATCTTCCAATAACAACTAGACAGAAGCATTCTCAGAAACTTATTTGAGATGTGTGTACTCAACTAAGAGAATTGAACCACCGTTTTGAAGGAGCAGTTTTGAAACACTCTTTTTCTGGAATCTGCAAGTGGATATTTGGCTAGCTTTGGGGATTTCGCTGGAAGCGGGAATACATATAAAAAGCACACAGCAGCGTTCTGAGAAACTGCTTTCTGATGTTTGCATTCAAGTCAAAAGTTGAACACTCCCTTTCATAGAGCAGTCTTGAAACACCCCTTTTGTAGTATCTGGAACTGGACTTTTGGAGCGATTTCAGGGCTAAGGTGAAAAAGGAAATATCTTCCCATAAAAACTGGACAGAAGCATTCTCAGAAACTTGTTTATGCTGTATCTACTCAACTAACAAAGTTGAACCTTTCTTTTGATAGAGCAGTTTTGAAATGGTCTTTTTGTGGAATCTGCAAGTGGATATTTGGCTAGTTTTGAGGATTTCGTTGGAAGCGGGAATTCATACAAATTGCAGACTGCAGCGTTCTGAGAAACATCTTTGTGATGTTTGTATTCAGGACACAGAGATGAACATTCCCTATCATAGAGCAGGTTGGAATCACTCCTTTTGTAGTATCTGGAAGTGGACATTTGGAGCGCTTTCAGGCCTATGTTGAAAAAGGAAATATCTTCCCATAACAACTAGACACAAGCATTCTCAGAAACTTGTTTGTGATGTGTGCCCTCTACTGACAGAGTTGAACCTTTCTTTTCATAGAGCAGTTTTGAAACACTCTTTTTGTAGAATCTGCAAGAGGATATTTGCATAGCTTTGAGGATTTCGTGGGAAACGGGATTGTCTTCAGGTAAAATCTAGACAGAAGCATTCTCAGAAACTTCTTTGGGATGTTTGCATTCAAGTCACAGAGTAGAACATTCCCTTTGGTAGAGCAGGTTTGAAACACTCTTTTTGTAGTATCTGGAAGTGGACATTTGGAGCGCTTTCAGGCCCATGTTGGAAAGGGAAATATCTTCCCGTAACAACTAGGCAGAAGCATTCTCAGAAACTTATTTGAGATGTGTGTACTCAACTAAGAGAATTGAACCACCGTTTTGAAGGAGCAGTTTTGAAACACTCTTTTTCTGGATTCTGCAAGAATATATTTGCCTAGCCTTGAGGATTTCGTTGGAAACGGGATTGTCTTCAGATAAAATCTAGACAGAAGCATTCTCAGAAACTTCTTTGGGATGTTTGCATTCAAGTCACAGAGTAGAACATTCCCTTTGGTAGAGCAGGTTTGAAACACTCTTTTTGTAGTATCTGGAAGTGGACATTTGGAGCGCTTTCAGGCCTACGTTGGAAAAGGAAATATCTTCCCATAACAACTAGACAGAAGCATTCTCAGAAACTAGTTTCTGATGTGTGTCCTCAACTAACACAGTTGAACATTTCTTTAGACAGAACAGTTTTGAAACACTCTTTTTGTGGAATCTGCAAGTGGCTATTTGGCTAGATTTGAGGATTTCGTTGGAAACGGGATTACATATAAAAAGCAGACAGCAGCATTCTCAGAAACTTCTTTGTGATGATTGCATTCAAGTCACAGAATTGAACATTCCCTTTCACAGAGCAGGTTTGAAACACTCTTTTTGTAGTGTGTGTAAGTGTACATTTGGAGCGCTTTTCGGCCTAAGGTGAACAAGGAAATATCTTCCCATAAAAACTAGACAGAAGCATTCTCAGAAACTTACTCGTGATGTGTGTCCTCAACTAAAGGAGTAGAACCTTTCTTTTCATAGAGAAGTTTTGAAACGCTCTTTTTGTGGAATCTGCAAGTGGATATTTGGCTAGTTTTGAGGATTTCGTTGGAAGCGGGAATTCATACAAATTGCAGACTGCAGCGTTCTGAGAAACTGCTTTCTGATGTTTGCATTCAAGTCAAAAGTTGAACACTCCCTTTCATAGAGCAGTCTTGAAACACCCCTTTTGTAGTATCGGGAACTGGACATTTGGAGCGCTTTCAGGGCTAAGGTGAAAAAGGAAATATCTTCCCATAAAAACTGGACAGAAGCATTCTCAGAAACTTGTTTATGCTATATCTACTCAACTAACAAAGTTGAACCTTTCTTTTGATAGAGCAGTTTGAAATGCTCTTTTTGTGGAATCTGCAAGTGGATATTTGGCTAGGTTTGAGGATTTCGTTGGAAGCGGGAATTCATACAAATTGCAGACTGCAGCGTTCTGAGAAACGTCTTTGTGATGTTTGTATTCAGGACACAGAGTTGAACATTCCCTATCATAGAGCAGGTTGGAATCACTCCTTTTGTAGTATCTGGAAGTGGACATTTGGAGCGCTTTCAGGCCTATGTTGAAAAAGGAAATATCTTCCCATAACAACTAGACAGAAGCATTCTCAGAAACTTGTTTGTGATGTGTGCCCTCTACTGACAGAGTTGAACCTTTCTTTTCATAGAGCAGTTTTGAAACACTCTTTTTGTAGAATCCGCAAGAGGATATTTGCATAGCTTTGAGGATTTCGTGGGAAACGGGATTGTCTTCAGTAAAATCTAGACAGAAAGCATTCTCAGAAACTTCTTTGGGATGTTTGCATTCAAGTCACAGAGCAGAACATTCCCTTTGGTAGAGCAGGTTTGAAACACTCTTTTTGTAGTATCTGGAAGTGGACATTTGGAGCGCTTTCAGGCCTATGTTGGAAAGGGAAATATCTTCCCGTAACAACTAGGCAGAAGCATTCTCAGAAACTTATTTGAGATGTGTGTACTCAACTAAGAGAATTGAACCACCGTTTTGAAGGAGCAGTTTTGAAACACTCTTTTTCTGGAATCTGCAAGAGTATATTTGCCTAGCCTTGAGGATTTCGTTGGAAACGGGATTGTCTTCAGAGAAAATCTAGACAGAAGCATTCTCAGAAACTTCTTTGGGATGTTTGCATTCAAGTCACAGAGTAGAACATTCCCTTTGGTAGAGCAGGTTTGAAACACTCTTTTTTTAGTATATGGAAGTGGACATTTGGATCGCTTTCAGGCCTACGTTGGAAAAGGAAATATCTTCCCATAACAACTAGACAGAAGCATTCTCAGAAACTAGTTTCTGATGTGTGTCCTCAACTAACACAGTTGAACATTTCTTTAGACAGAACAGTTTTGAAACACTCTTTTTGTGGAATCTGCAAGTGGCTATTTGGCTAGATTTGAGGATTTCGTTAGAAACGGGATTACATATAAAAAGCAGTCAGCGGCATTCTCAGAAAGTTCTTTGTGATGATTGCATTCAAGTCACAGAATTGAACATTCCCTTTCACAGAGCAGGTTTGAAACACTCTTTTTGTAGTGTGTGTAAGTGGACATTTGGAGCACTTACCGGCCTAAGGTGAAAAAGGAAATAATCTTCCCATAAAAACTAGACAGAAGCATTCTCAGAAACTTACTCGTGATGTGTGTCCTCAACTAAAGGAGTAGAACCTTTCTTTTCATAGAGAAGTTTTGAAACGCTCTTTTTGTGGAATCTGCAAGTGGATATTTGGCTAGTTTTGAGGATTTCGTTGGAAGCGGGAATTCATACAAATTGCAGACTGCAGCATTCTCAGAAACTTGTTTATGCTGTATCTACTCAACTAACAAAGTTGAACCTTTCTTTTGATAGAGCAGTTTTGAAATGCTCTTTTTGTGGAATCTGCAAGTGGATATTTGGCTAGTTTTGAGGATTTCGTTGGAAGCGGGAATTCATACAAATTGCAGACTGCAGCGTTCTGAGAAACATCTTTGTGATGTTTGTATTCAGGACACAGAGTTGAACATTCCCTATCATAGAGCATGTTGGAATCACTCCTTTTGTAGTATCTGGAAGTGGACATTTGGAGCGCTTTCAGGCCTATGTTGAAAAAGGAAATATCTTCCCATAACAACTAGACAGAAGCATTCTCAGAAACTTGTTTGAGATATGTGCCCTCTACTGACACAGTTGAACCTTTCTTTTCATAGAGCAGTTTCGAAACACTCTTTTTGTAGAATCTGCAAGAGGATATTTGCATAGCTTTGAGGATTTCGTGGGAAACGGGATTGTCTTCAGATAAAATCTAGACAGAAGCATTCTCAGAAACTTCTTTGGGATGTTTGCATTCAAGTCACAGAGTAGAACATTCCCTTTGGTAGAGCAGGTTTGAAACACTCTTTTTGTAGTATCTGGAAGTGGACATTTGGAGCGCTTTCAGGCCTATGTTGGAAAGGGAAATATCTTCCCGTAACAACTAGGCAGAAGCATTCTCAGAAACTTATTTGAGATGTGTGTACTCAACTAAGAGAATTGAACCACCCTTTTGAAGGAGCAGTTTTGAAACACTCTTTTTCTGGAATCTGCAAGAGTATATTTGCCTAGCTTTGAGGATTCCGTTGGAAACGGGATTGTCTTCAGATCAAATCTAGACAGAAGCATTCTCAGAAACTTCTTTGGGATGTTTGCATTCAAGTCACAGAGTAGAACATTCCCTTTGGTAGAGCAGGTTTGAAACACTCTTTTTTTCGTATATGGAAGTGGACATTTGGAGCGCTTTCAGGCCTACTTTGGAAAAGGAAATATCTTCCCATAACAACTAGACAGAAGCATTCTCAGAAACTAGTTTCTGATGTGTGTCCTCAACTAACACAGTTGAACATTTCTTTAGACAGAACAGTTTTGAAACACTCTTTTTGTGGAATCTGCAAGTGGCTGTTTGGCTAGATTTGAGGATTTCGTTGGAAACGGGATTACATATAAAAAGCAGACAGCAGCATTCTCAGAAGTTCTTTGTGATGATTGCATTCAAGTCACAGAATTGAACATTCCCTTTCACAGAGCAGGTTTGAAACACTCTTTTTGTAGTGTGTGTAAGTGGACATTTGGAGCACTTACCGGCCTAAGGTGAAAAAGGAAATATCTTCCCATAAAAACTAGACAGAAGCATTCTCAGAAACTTACTCGTGATGTGTGTCCTCAACTAAAGGAGTAGAACCTTTCTTTTCATAGAGAAGTTTTGAAACGCTCTTTTTGTGGAATCTGCAAGTGGATATTTGGCTAGTTTTGAGGATTTCGTTGGAAGCGGGAATTCATACAAATTGCAGACTGCAGCGTTCTGAGAAACATCTTTGTGATGTTTGTATTCAGGACACAGAGTTGAACATTCCCTATCATAGAGCAGGTTTGAATCACTCCTTTTGTAGTATCTGGAAGTGGACATTTGGAGCGCTTTCAGGCCTATGTTGGAAAAGGAAATATCTTCCCATAACAACTAGACAGAAGCATTCTCAGAAACTTATTTGAGATGTGTGTACTCAACTAAGAGAATTGAACCACCGTTTTGAAGGAGCAGTTTTGAAACACTCTTTTTCTGGAATCTGCAAGTGGATATCTGGCTAGCTTTGGGGATTTCGCTGGAAGCGGGAATACATATAAAAAGCACACAGCAGCGTTCTGAGAAACTGCTTTCTGATGTTTGCATTCAAGTCAAAAGTTGAACACTCCCTTTCATAGAGCAGTCTTGAAACACCCCTTTTGTAGTATCTGGAACTGGACTTTTGGAGCGATTTCAGGGCTAAGGTGAAAAAGGAAATATCTTCCCATAAAAACTGGACAGAAGCATTCTCAGAAACTTGTTTATGCTGTATCTACTCAACTAACAAAGTTGAACCTTTCTTTTGATAGAGCAGTTTTGAAATGCTCTTTTTGTGGAATCTGCAAGTGGATATTTGGCTAGTTTTGAGGATTTCGGTTGGAAGCGGGAATTCATACAAATTGCAGACTGCAGCGTTCTGAGAAACATCTTTGTGATGTTTGTATTCAGGACACAGAGTTGAACATTCCCTATCATAGAGCAGGTTTGAATCACTCCTTTTGTAGTATCTGGAAGTGGACATTTGGAGCGCTTTCAGGCCTATGTTGGAAAAGGAAATATCTTCCCATAACAACTAGACAGAAGCATTCCCAGAAACTTATTTGAGATGTGTGTACTCAACTAAGAGAATTGAACCACCGTTTTGAAGGAGCAGTTTGGAAACACTCTTTTTCTGGAATCTGCAAGTGGATATTTGGCTAGCTTTGGGGATTTCGCTGGAAGCGGGAATACATATAAAAAGCACACAGCAGCGTTCTGAGAAACTGCTTTCTGATGTTTGCATTCAAGTCAAAAGTTGAACACTCCCTTTCATAGAGCAGTCTTGAAACACCCCTTTTGTAGTATCTGGAACTGGAAATTTGGAGCGCTTTCAGGGCTAAGGTGAAAAAGGAAATATCTTCCCATAAAAACTGGACAGAAGCATTCTCAGTAAACTTGTTTATGCTGTATCTACTCAACTAACAAAGTTGAACCTTTCTTTTGATAGAGCAGTTTTGAAATGCTCTTTTTGTGGAATCTGCAAGTGGATATTTGGCTAGTTTTGAGGATTTCGTTGGAAGCGGGAATTCATACAAATTGCAGACTGCAGCGTTCTGAGAAACATCTTTGTGATGTTTGTATTCAGGACACAGAGTTGAACATTCCCTATCATACAGCAGGTTGGGATCACTCCTTTTGTAGTATCTGGAAGTGGACATTTGGAGCGCTTTCAGGCCTATGTTGAAAAAGGAAAAATCTTCCCATAACAACTAGACAGAAGCATTCTCAGAAACTTGTTGGTGATGTGTTTCCTCTACTGACAGAGTTGAACCTTTCTTTTCATAGAGCAGTTTCGAAACACTCTTTTTGTAGAATCTGCAAGAGGATATTTGCATAGCTCTGAGGATTTCGTGGGAAACGGGATTGTCTTCAGGTAAAATCTAGACAGAAGCATTCTCAGAAACTTCTTTGGGATGTTTGCATTCAAGTCACAGAGTAGAACATTCCCTTTGGTAGAGCAGGTTTGAAACACTCTTTTTGTAGTATCTGGAAGTGGACATTTGGAGCGCTTTCAGGCCCATGTTGGAAAGGGAAATATCTTCCCGTAACAACTAGGCAGAAGCATTCTCAGAAACTTATTTGAGATGTGTGTACTCAACTAAGAGAATTGAACCACCGTTTTGAAGGAGCAGTTTTGAAACACTCTTTTTCTGGAATCTGCAAGAGGATATTTGCCTAGCCTTGAGGATTTCGTTGGAAACGGGATTGTCTTCAGAGAAAATCTAGACAGAAGCATTCTCAGAAACTTCTTTGGGATGTTTGCATTCAAGTCACAGAGTAGAACATTCCCTTTGGTAGAGCAGGTTTGAAACACTCTTTTTGTAGTATCTGGAAGTGGACATTTGGAGCGCTTTCAGGCCTACGTTGGAAAAGGAAATATCTTCCCATAACAACTAGACAGAAGCATTCTCAGAAACTAGTTTCTGATGTGTGTCCTCAACTAACACAGTTGTACATTACTTTAGACAGAACAGTTTTGAAACACTCTTTTTGTGGAATCTGCAAGTGGATATTGGGCTAGATTTGAGGATTTCGTTGGAAACGGGATTACATATAAAAAGCAGTCAGCAGCATTCTCAGAAAGTTCTTTGTGATGACTGCATTCAAGTCACAGAATTGAACATTCCCTTTCACAGAGCAGGTTTGAAACCCTCTTTTTGTAGTGTGTGTAAGTGGACATTTGGAGCACTTTCCGGCCTAAGGTGAAAAAGGACATATCTTCCCATAAAAACTAGACAGAAAGCATTCTCAGAAACTTACTCGTGATGTGTGTCCTCAACTAAAGGAGTAGAACCTTCCTTTTCATAGAGAAGTTTTGAAACGCTCTTTTTGTGGAATCTGCAAGTGGATATTTGGCTAGTTTTGAGGATTTCGTTGGAAGCGGGAATTCATACAAATTGCAGACTGCAGCGTTCTGAGAAACTGCTTTCTGATGTTTGCATTCAAGTCAAAAGTTGAACACTCCCTTTCATAGAGCAGTCTTGAAACACCCCTTTTGTAGTATCTGGAACTGGACTTTTGGAGCGATTTCAGGGCTAAGGTGAAAAAGGAAATATCTTCCCATAAAAACTGGACAGAAGCATTCTCAGAAACTTGGTTATGCTGTATCTACTCAACTAACAAAGTTGAACCTTTCTTTTGATAGAGCAGTTTTGAAATGGTCTTTTTGTGGAATCTGCAAGTGGATATTTGGCTAGTTTTGAGGATTTCGTTGGAAGCGGGAATTCATACAAATTGCAGACTGCAGCGTTCTGAGAAACATCTTTGTGATGTTTGTATTCAGGACACAGAGTTGAACATTCCCTATCATAGAGCAGGTTGGAATCACTCCTTTTGTAGTATCTGGAAGTGGACATTTGGAGCGCTTTCAGGCCTATGTTGGAAAAGGAAATATCTTCCCATAACAACTAGACAGAAGCATTCTCAGAAACTTGTTTGTGATGTGTGCCCTCTACTGACAGAGTTGAACCTTTCTTTTCATAGAGCAGTTTTGAAACACTCTTTTGGTAGAATCCGCAAGAGGATATTTGCATCGCTTTGAGGATTTCGTGGGAAACGGGATTGTCTTCAGGTAAAATCTAGACAGAAGCATTCTCAGAAACATCTTTGGGATGTTTGCATTCAAGTCACAGAGTAGAACATTCCCTTTGGTAGAGCAGGTTTGAAACACTCTTTTTGTAGTATCTGGAAGTGGACATTTGGAGCGCTTTCAGGCCCATGTTGGAAAGGGAAATATCTTCCCGTAACAACTAGGCAGAAGCATTCTCAGAAACTTATTTGAGATGTGTGTACTCAACTAAGAGAATTGAACCACCGTTTGGAAGGAGCAGTTTTGAAACCCTCTTTTTCTGGAATCTGCAAGAGTATATTTGCCTAGCCTTGAGGATTTCGTTGGAAACGGGATTGTCTTCAGATAAAATCTAGACAGAAGCATTCTCAGAAACTTCTTTGGGATGTTTGCATTCAAGTCACAGAGTAGAACATTCCCTTTGGTAGAGCAGGTTTGAAACACTCTTTTTTTAGTATATGGAAGTGGACATTTGGAGCGCTTTCAGGCCTACGTTGGAAAAGGAAATATCTTCCCATAGCAACTAGACAGAAGCATTCTCAGAAACTAGTTTCTGATGTGTGTCCTCAACTAACACAGTTGAACATTTCTTTAGACAGAACAGTTTTGAAACACTCTTTTTGTGGAATCTGCAAGTGGCTATTTGGCTAGATTTGAGGATTTCGTTGGAAACGGGATTACATATAAAAAGCAGTCAGCAGCATTCTCAGAAAGTTCTTTGTGATGATTGCATTCAAGTCACAGAATTGAACATTCCCTTTCACAGAGCAGGTTTGAAACACTCTTTTTGTAGTGTGTGTAAGTGGACATTTGGAGCACTTTCCGGCCTAAGGTGAGAAAGGAAATATCTTCCCATAAAAACTAGACAGAAGCATTCTCAGAAACTTACTCGTGATGTGTGTCCTCAACTAAAGGAGTAGAACCTTTCTTTTCATAGAGAAGTTTTGAAACGCTCTTTTTGTGGAATCTGCAAGTGGATATTTGGCTAGTTTGGAGGATTTCGTTGGAAGCGGGAATTCATACAAATTGCAGACTGCAGCGTTCTGAGAAACATCTTTGTGATGTTTGTATTCAGGACACAGATTTGAACATTCCCTATCATAGAGCAGGTTTGAATCACTCCTTTTGTAGTATCTGGAAGTGGACATTTGGAGCGCTTTCAGGCCTATGTTGGAAAAGGAAATATCTTCCCATAACAACTAGACAGAAGCATTCCCAGAAACTTATTTGAGATGTGTGTACTCAACTAAGAGAATTGAACCACCGTTTTGAAGGAGCAGTTTGGAAACTCTCTTTTTCTGGAATCTGCAAGTGGATATTTGGCTAGCTTTGGGGATTTCGCTGGAAGCGGGAATACATATAAAAAGCACACAGCAGCGTTCTGAGAAACTGCTTTCTGATGTTTGCATTCAAGTCAAAAGTTGAACACTCCCTTTCATAGAGCAGTCTTGAAACACCCCTTTTGTAGTATCTGGAACTGGACTTTTGGAGCGATTTCAGGGCTAAGGTGAAAAAGGAAATATCTTCCCATAAAAACTGGACAGAAGCATTCTCAGAAACTTGTTTATGCTGTATCTACTCAACTAACAAAGTTGAACCTTTCTTTTGATAGAGCAGTTTTGAAATGCTCTTTTTGTGGAATCTGCAAGTGGATATTTGGCTAGTTTTGAGGATTTCGCTGGAAGCGGGAATTCATACAAATTGCAGACTGCAGCGTTCTGAGAAACATCTTTGTGATGTTTGTATTCAGGACAGAGAGTTGAACATTCCCTATCATAGAGCAGGTTGGAATCACTCCTTTTGTAGTATCTGGAAGTGGACATTTGGAGCGCTTTCTGGCCTATGTTGAAAAAGGAAATATCTTCCCATAACAACTAGACACAAGCATTCTCAGAAACTTGTTTGTGATGTGTGCCCTCTACTGACAGAGTTGAACCTTTCTTTTCATAGAGCAGTTTTGAAACACTCTTTTTGTAGAATCTGCAAGAGGATATTTGCATAGCTTTGAGGATTTCGTGGGAAACGGGATTGTCTTCAGGTAAAATCTAGACAGAAGCATTCTCAGAAACTTCTTTGGGATGCTTGCATTCAAGTCACAGAGTAGAACATTCCCTTTGGTAGAGCAGGTTTGAAACACTCTTTTTGTAGTATCTGGAAGTGGACATTTGGAGCGCTTTCAGGCCTACGTTGGAAAAGGAAATATTCTTCCCATAACAACTAGACAGAAGCATTCTCAGAAACTAGTTTCTGATGTGTGTCCTCAACTAACACAGTTGAACATTTCTTTAGACAGAACAGTTTTGAAACTCTCTTTTTGTGGAATCTGCAAGTGGCTATTTGGCTAGATTTGAGGATTTCGTTGGAAACGGGATTACATATAAAAAGCAGACAGCAGCATTCTCAGAAAGTTCTTTGTGATGATTGCATTCAAGTCACAGAATTGAACATTCCCTTTCACAGAGCAGGTTTGAAACACTCTTTTTATAGTGTGTGTAAGTGGACATTTGGAGCACTTTCCGGCCTAAGGTGAAAACGGAAATATCTTCCCATAAAAACTAGACAGAAGCATTCTCAGAAACTTACTCGTGATGTGTGTCCTCAACTAAAGGAGTAGAACCTTTGTTTTCATAGATAAGTTTTGAAACGCTCTTTTTGTGGAATCTGCAAGTGGATATTTGGCTAGTTTGGAGGATTTCGTTGGAAGCGGGAATTCATACAAATTGCAGACTGCAGCGTTCTGAGAAACATCTTTGTGATGTTTGTATTCAGGACACAGAGTTGAACATTCCCTATCATAGAGCAGGTTTGAATCACTCCTTTTGTAGTATCTGGAAGTGGACCTTTGGAGCGCTTTCAGGCCTATGTTGGAAAAGGAAATATCTTCCCATAACAACTAGACAGAAGCATTCTCAGAAACTTATTTGAGATGTGTGTACTCAACTAAGAGAATTGAACCACCGTTTTGAAGGAGCAGTTTTGAAACACTCTTTTTCTGGAATCTGCAAGTGGATATTTGGCTAGCTTTGGGGATTTCGCTGGAAGCGGGAATACATATAAAAAGCACACAGCAGCGTTCTGAGAAACTGCTTTCTGATGTTTGCATTCAAGTCAAAAGTTGAACACTCCCTTTCATAGAGCAGTCTTGAAACACCCCTTTTGTAGTATCTGGAACTGGACTTTTGGAGCGATTTCAGGGCTAAGGTGAAAAAGGAAATATCTTCCCATAAAAACTGGACAGAAGCATTCTCAGAAACTTGTTTATGCTGTATCTACTCAACTAACAAAGTTGAACCTTTCTTTTGATAGAGCAGTTTTGAAATGGTCTTTTTGTGGAATCTGCAAGTGGATATTTGGCTAGTTTTGAGGATTTCGTTGGAAGCGGGAATTCATACAAATTGCAGACTGCAGCTTTCTGAGAAACATCTTTGTGATGTTTGTATTCAGGACACAGAGTTGAACATTCCCTATCATAGAGCAGGTTGGAATCACTCCTTTTGTAGTATCTGGAAGTGGACATTTGGAGCGCTTTCAGGCCTATGTTGAAAAAGGAAATATCTTCCCATAACAACTAGGCAGAAGCATTCTCAGAAACTTGTTTGTGATGTGTGCCCTCTACTGACACAGTTGAACCTTTCTTTTCATAGAGCAGTTTCGAAACACTCTTTTTGTAGAATCTGCAAGAGGATATTTGCATAGCTTTGAGGATTTCGTGGGAAACGGGATTGTCTTCAGGTAAAATCTAGACAGAAGCATTCTCAGAAACTTCTTTGGGATGTTTGCATTCAAGTCACAGAGTAGAACATTCCCTTTGGTAGAGCAGGTTTGAAACACTCTTTTTGTAGTGTGCGTAAGTGGACATTTGGAGCGCTTTCAGGCCTACGTTGGAAAAGGAAATATCTTCCCATAACAACTAGACAGAAGCATTCTCAGAAACTAGTTTCTGATGTGTGTCCTCAACTAACACAGTTGAACTTTTCTTTAGACAGAACAGTTTTGAAACACTCTTTTTGTGGAATCTGCAAGTGGATATTTGGCTAGATTTGAGGATTTCGTTGGAAACGGGATTACATATAAAGAGCAGACAGCAGCATTCTCAGAAAGTTCTTTGTGATGATTGCATTCAAGTCACAGAATTGAACATTCCCTTTCACAGAGCAAGTTTGAAACTCTCTTTTTGTAGTGTGTGTAAGTGGACATTTGGAGCGCTTTCCGGCCTAAGGTGAAAAAGGAAATATCTTCCCATAAAAACTAGACAGAAGCATTCTCAGAAACTTACTCGTGATGTGTGTCCTCAACTAAAGGAGTAGAACCTTTCTTTTCATAGAGAAGTTTTGAAACGCTCTTTTTGTGGAATCTGCAAGTGGATATTTGGCTAGTTTTGAGGATTTCGTTGGAAGCGGGAATTCATACAAATTGCAGACTGCAGCGTTCTGAGAAACATCTTTGTGATGTTTGTATTCAGGACACAGAGTTGAACATTCCCTATCATAGAGCAGGTTTGAATCACTCCTTTTGTAGTATCTGGAAGTGGACATTTGGAGCGCTTTCAGGCCTATGTTGGAAAAGGAAATATCTTCCCATAACAACTAGACAGAAGCATTCTCAGAAACTTATTTGAGATGTGTGTACTCAACTAAGAGAATTGAACCACCGTTTTGAAGGAGCAGTTTTGAAACACTCTTTTTCTGGAATCTGCAAGTGGATATTTGGCTAGCTTTGGGGATTTCGCTGGAAGCGGGAATACATATAAAAAGCACACAGCAGCGTTCTGAGAAACTGCTTTCTGATGTTTGCATTCAAGTCAAAAGTTGAACACTCCCTTTCATAGAGCAGTCTTGAAACACCCCTTTTGTAGTATCTGGAACTGGACTTTTGGAGCGATTTCAGGGCTAAGGTGAAAAAGGAAATATCTTCCCATAAAAACTGGACAGAAGCATTCTCAGAAACTTGTTTATGCTGTATCTACTCAACTAACAAAGTTGAACCTTTCTTTTGATAGAGCAGTTTTGAAATGGTCTTTTTGTGGAATCTGCAAGTGGATATTTGGCTAGTTTTGAGGATTTCGTTGGAAGCGGGAATTCATACAAATTGCAGACTGCAGCGTTCTGAGAAACATCTTTGTGATGTTTGTATTCAGGACACAGAGTTGAACATTCCCTATCATAGAGCAGGTTGGAATCACTCCTTTTGTAGTATCTGGAAGTGGACATTTGGAGCGCTTTCAGGCCTATTTTGGAAAGGGAAATATCTTCCCGTAACAACTATGCAGAAGCATTCTCAGAAACTTGTTTGTGATGTGTGCCCTCTACTGACAGAGTTGAACCTTTCTTTTCATAGAGCAGTTTTGAAACACTCTTTTTGTAGAATCTGCAAAAGGATATTTGCATAGCTTTGAGGATTTCGTGGGAAACGGGATTGTCTTCAGGTAAAATCTAGACAGAAGCATTCTCAGAAACTTCTCTGGGATGTTTGCATTCAAGTCACACAGTAGAACATTCCCTTTGGTAGAGCAGGTTTGAAACACTCTTTTTGTAGTATCTGGAAGTGGACATTTGGAGCGCTTTCAGGCCCATGTTGGAAAGGGAAATATCTTCCCGTAACAACTAGGCAGAAGCATTCTCAGAAACTTATTTGAGATGTGTGTACTCAACTAAGAGAATTGAACCACCGTTTTGAAGGAGCAGTTTTGAAACACTCTTTTTCTGGAATCTGCAAGAGGATATTTGCATAGATTTGAGGATTTCGTTGGAAACGGGATTGTCTTCAGATCCAATCTAGACAGAAGCATTCTCAGAAACTTCTTTGGGATGTTTGCATTCAAGTCACAGAGTAGAACATTCCCTTTGGTAGAGCAGGTTTGAAACACTCTTTTTTTAGTATATGGAAGTGGACATTTGGAGCGCTTTCAGGCCTACGTTGGAAAAGGAAATATCTTCCCATAACAACTAGACAGAAGCATTCTCAGAAACTAGTTTCTGATGTGTGTCCTCAACTAACACAGTTGCACATTTCTTTAGACAGAACAGTTTTGAAACACTCTTTTTGTGGAATCTGCAAGTGGCTATTTGGCTAGATTTGAGGATTTCGTTGGAAACGGGATTACATATAAAAAGCAGTCAGCAGCATTCTCAGAAAGTTCTTTGTGATGATTGCATTCAAGTCACAGAATTGAACATTCCCTTTCACAGAGCAGGTTTGAAACACTCTTTTTGTAGTGTGTGTATTTGGACATTTGGAGCGCTTTCCGGCCTAAGGTGAAAAAGGACATATCTTCCCATAAAAACTAGACAGAAGCATTCTCAGAAACTTACTCGTGATGAGTGTCCTCAACTAAAGGCTTAGAACTTTTCTTTTCATAGAGAAGTTTTGAAACGCTCTTTTTGTGGATTCTGCAAGTGGATATTTGGCTAGTTATGAGGATTTCGTTAGAAGCGGGAATTCATACAAATTTCAGACTGCAGCGTTCTGAGAAACATCTTTGTGATGTTTGTATTCAGTACACAGAGATGAACATTCCCTATCATAGAGCAGGTTTCAAACACTCTTTCTATAGTATCTGGAAGAGGACATTTCGAGCGCTTTCAGGCCTATGCTGAACAAGGAATTATCTTCCCATAAAAACTTGACAGAAGGCATTCTCAGAAACTTATTTGAGATGTGTGTACTCAACTAAGAGAATTGAACCACCGTTTTGAAGGAGCAGTTTTGAAACTCTCTTTTTCTGGAATCTGCAAGTGGATATTTGGCTAGCTTTGGGGATTTCGCTGGAAGCGGGAATACATATAAAAAGCACACAGCAGCGTTCTGAGAAACTGCTTTCTGATGTTTGCATTCAAGTCAAAAGTTGAACACTCCCTTTCATAGAGCAGTCTTGAAACACCCGTTTTGTAGTATCTGGAACTGGACTTTTGGAGCGATTTCAGGGCTAAGGTGAAAAAGGAAATATCTTCCCATAAAAACTGGACAGAAGCATTCTCAGAAACTTGTTTATGCTGTATCTACTCAACTAACAAAGTTGAACCTTTCTTTTGATAGAGCAGTTTTGAAATGGTCTTTTTGTGGAATCTGCAAGTGGATATTTGGCTAGTTTTGAGGATTTCGTTGGAAGCGGGAATTCATACAAATTGCAGACTGCAGCGTTCTGAGAAACATCTTTGTGATGTTTGTATTCAGGACAGAGAGTTGAACATTCCCTATCATAGAGCAGGTTGGAATCACTCCTTTTGTAGTATCTGGAAGTGGACATTTGGAGCGCTTTCAGGCCTATGTTGAAAAAGGAAATATCTTCCCATAACAACTAGACACAAGCATTCTCAGAAACTTGTTTGTGATGTGTGCCCTCTACTGACAGAGTTGAACCTTTCTTTTCATAGAGCAGTTTTGAAACACTCTTTTTGTAGAATCTGCAAGAGGATATTTGCATAGCTTTGAGGATTACGTGGGAAACGGGATAGTCTTCAGGTAAAATCTAGACAGAAGCATTCTCAGAAACTTCTTTGGGATGTTTGCATTCAAGTCACAGAGTAGAACATTCCCTTTGGTAGAGCAGGTTTGAAACACTCTTTTTGTAGTATCTGGAAGTGGACATTTGGAGCGCTTTCAGGCCTATGTTGGAAAGGGAAATATCTTCCCGTAACAACTAGGCAGAAGCATTCTCAGAAACTTATTTGAGATGTGTGTACTCAACTAAGAGAATTGAACCACCGTTTTGAAGGAGCAGTTTTGAAACACTCTTTTTCTGGAATCTGCAAGAGGATATTTGCCTAGCCTTGAGGATTTCGTTGGAAACGGGATTGTCTTCAGATCAAATCTAGACAGAAGCATTCTCAGAAACTTCTTTGGGATGTTTGCATTCAAGTCACAGAGTAGAACATTCCCTTTGGTAGAGCAGGTTTGAAACACTCTTTTTGTAGTATCTGGAAGTGGACATTTGGAGCGCTTTCAGGCCTACGTTGGAAAAGGAAATATCTTCCCATAACAACTAGACAGAAGCATTCTCAGAAACTAGTTTCTGATGTGTGTCCTCAACTAACACAGTTGAACTTTTCTTTAGACAGAACAGTTTTGAAACACTCTTTTTGTGGAATCTGCAAGTGGATATTTGGCTAGATTTGAGGATTTCGTTGGAAACGGGATTACATATAAAAAGCAGACAGCAGCATTCTCAGAAAGTTCTTTGTGATGATTGCATTCAAGTCACAGAATTGAACATTCCCTTTCACAGAGCAGGTTTGAAACACTCTTTTTATAGTGTGTGTAAGTGGACATTTGGAGCGCTTTCCGGCCTAAGGTGGAAAAGGAAATATCTTCCCATAAAAACTAGACAGAAGCATTCTCAGAAACTTACTCGTGATGTGTGTCCTCAACTAAAGGAGTAGAACCTTTCTATTCATAGAGAAGTTTTGAAACGCTCTTTTTGTGGAATCTCCAAGTGGATATTTGGCTAGTTTTGAGGATTTCGTTGGAAGCGGGAATTCATACAAATTGCAGACTGCAGCATTCTCAGAAACTTGTTTATGCTGTATCTACTCTACTAACAAAGTTGAACCTTTCTTTTGATAGAGCAGTTTTGAAATGCTCTTTTTGTGGAATCTGCAAGTGGATATTTGGCTAGATTTGAGGATTTCGTTGGAAGCTGGAATTCATACAAATTGCAGACTGCAGCGTTCTGATAAACATCTTTGTGATGTTTGTATTCAGGACAGAGAGTTGAACATTCCCTATCATAGAGCAGGTTGGAATCACTCCTTTTGTAGTATCTGGAAGTGGACATTTGGAGCGCTTTCTGGCCTATGTTGAAAAAGGAAATATCTTCCCATAACAACTAGACACAAGCATTCTCAGAAACTTGTTTGTGATGTGTGCCCTCTACTGACAGAGTTGAACCTTTCTTTTCATAGAGCAGTTTTGAAACACTCTTTTTGTAGAATCTGCAAGAGGATATTTGCATAGCTTTGAGGATTTCGTGGGAAACGGGATTGTCTTCAGGTAAAATCTAGACAGAAGCATTCTCAGAAACTTCTTTGGGATGTTTGCATTCAAGTCACAGAGTAGAACATTCCCTTTGGTAGAGCAGGTTTGAAACACTCTTTTTGTAGTATCTGGAAGTGGACATTTGGAGCGCTTTCAGGCCCATGTTGGAAAGGGAAATATCTTCCCGTAACAACTAGGCAGAAGCATTCTCAGAAACATATTTGAGATGTGTGTACTCAACTAAGAGAATTGAACCACCGTTTTGAAGGAGCAGTTTTGAAACACTCTTTTTCTGGAATCTGCAAGAGTATATTTGCCTAGCCTTGAGGATTTCGTTGGAAACGGGATTGTCTTCAGATCAAATCTAGACAGAAGCATTCTCAGAAACTTCTTTGGGATGTTTGCATTCAAGTCACAGAGTAGAACATTCCCTTTGGTAGAGCAGGTTTGAAACACTCTTTTTTTAGTATATGGAAGTGGACATTTGGAGCACTTTCAGGCCTACGTTGGAAAAGGAAATATCTTCCCATAACAACTAGACAGAAGCATTCTCAGAAACTAGTTTCTGATGTGTGTCCTCAACTAACACAGTTGAACATTTCTTTAGACAGAACAGTTTTGAAACACTCTTTTTGTGGAATCTGCAAGTGGCTATTTGGCTAGATTTGAGGATTTCTTTGGAAACGGGATTACATATAAAAAGCTGACAGCAGCATTCTCAGAAAGTTCTTTGTGATGATTGCATTCAAGTCACAGAATTGAACATTCCCTTTCACAGAGCAGGTTTGAAAGACTCTTTTTGTAGTGTGTGTAAGTGGACATTTGGAGCACTTACCGGCCTAAGGTGAAAAAGGAAATATCTTCCCATAAAAACTAGACAGAAGCATTCTCAGAAACTTACTCGTGATGTGTGTCCTCAACTAAAGGAGTAGAACCTTTCTATTCATAGAGAAGTTTTGAAACGCTCTTTTTGTGGAATCTGCAAGTGGATATTTGGCTAGTTTTGAGGATTTCGTTGGAAGCGGGAATTCATACAAATTGCAGACTGCAGCGTTCTGAGAAACATCTTTGTGATGTTTGTATTCAGGACACAGAGTTGAACATTCCCTATCATAGAGCAGGTTTGAATCACTCCTTTTGTAGTATCTGGAAGTGGACATTTGGAGCGCTTTCAGGCCTATGTTGGAAAAGGAAATATCTTCCCATAACAACTAGACAGAAGCATTCTCAGAAACTTATTTGAGATGTGTGTACTCAACTAAGAGAATTGAACCACCGTTTTGAAGGAGCAGTTTTGAAACTCTCTTTTTCTGGAATCTGCAAGTGGATATTTGGCTAGCTTTGGGGATTTCGCTGGAAGCGGGAATACATATAAAAAGCACACAGCAGCGTTCTGAGAAACTGCTTTCTGATGTTTGCATTCAAGTCAAAAGTTGAACACTCCCTTTCATAGAGCAGTCTTGAAACACCCCTTTTGTAGTATCTGGAACTGGACTTTTGGAGCGATTTCAGGGCTAAGGTGAAAAAGGAAATATCTTCCCATAAAAACTGGACAGAAGCATTCTCAGAAACTTGTTTATGCTGTATCTACTCAACTAACAAAGTTGAACCTTTCTTTTGATAGAGCAGTTTTGAAATGGTCTTTTTGTGGAATCTGCAAGTGGATATTTGGCTAGTTTTGAGGATTTCGTTGGAAGCGGGAATTCATACAAATTGCAGACTGCAGCGTTCTGAGAAACATCTTTGTGATGTTTGTATTCAGGACACAGAGTTGAACATTCCCTATCATAGAGCAGGTTGGAATCACTCCTTTTGTAGTATCTGGAAGTGGACATTTGGAGCGCTTTCAGGCCTATGTTGAAAAAGGAAATATCTTCCCATAACAACTAGACACAAGCATTCTCAGAAACTTGTTTGTGATGTGTGCCCTCTACTGACAGAGTTGAACCTTTCTTTTCATAGAGCAGTTTTGAAACACTCTTTTTGTAGAATCTGCAAGAGGATATTTGCATAGCTTTGAGGATTTCGTGGGAAACGGGATTGTCTTCAGGTAAAATCTAGACAGAAGCATTCTCAGAAACTTCTTTGGGATGTTTGCATTCAAGTCACAGAGTAGAACATTCCCTTTGGTAGAGCAGGTTTGAAACACTCTTTTTGTAGTATCTGGAAGTGGACATTTGGAGCGCTTTCAGGCCTATGTTGGAAAGGGAAATATCTTCCCGTAACAACTAGGCAGAAGCATTCTCAGAAACTTATTTGAGATGTGTGTACTCAACTAAGAGAATTGAACCACCGTTTTGAAGGAGCAGTTTTGAAACACTCTTTTTCTGGAATCTGCAAGAGTATATTTGCCTAGCCTTGAGGATTTCGTTGGAAACGGGATTGTCTTCAGAGAAAATCTAGACAGAAGCATTCTCAGAAACTTCTTTGGGATGTTTGTATTCAAGTCACAGAGTAGAACATTCCCTTTGATAGAGCAGGTTTGAAACACTCTTTTTTTAGTATATGGAAATGGACATTTGGAGCGCTTTCAGGCCTACGTTGGAAAAGGAAATATCTTCCCGTAACAACTAGACAGAAGCATTCTCAGAAACTAGTTTCTGATGTGTGTCCTCAACTAACACAGTTGAACTTTTCTTTAGACAGAACAGTTTTGAAACACTCTTTTGTGGAATCTGCAAGTGGATATTTGGCTAGATTTGAGGATTTCTTTGGAAACGGGATTACATATAAAAAGCAGACAGCAGCATTCTCAGAAAGTTCTTTGTGATGATTGCATTCAAGTCACAGAATTGAACATTCCCTTTCACAGAGCAGGTTTGAAACACTCTTTTTGTAGTGTGTGTAAGTGGACATTTGGAGCACTTTCCGGCCTAAGGTGAACAAGGAAATATCTTCCCATAAAAACTAGACAGAAGCATTCTCAGAAACTTACTCGTGATGTGTGTCCTCAACTAAAAGAGTAGAACCTTTCTATTCATAGAGAAGTTTTGAAACGCTGTTTTTGTGGAATCTCCAAGTGGATATTTGGCTAGTTTTGAGGATTTCGTTGGAAGCGGGAATTCATACAATTTGCAGACTGCAGCATTCTCAGAAACTTATTTGAGATGTGTGTACTCAACTAAGAGAATTGAACCACCGTTTTGAAGGAGCAGTTTTGAAACTCTCTTTTTCTGGAATCTGCAAGTGGATATTTGGCTAGCTTTGGGGATTTCGCTGGAAGCGGGAATACATATAAAAAGCACACAGCAGCGTTCTGAGAAACTGCTTTCTGATGTTTGCATTCAAGTCAAAAGTTGAACACTCCCTTTCATAGAGCAGTCCTGAAACACCCCTTTTGTAGTATCTGGAACTGGACTTTTGGAGCGATTTCAGGGCTAAGGTGAAAAAGGAAATATCTTCCCATAAAAACTGGACAGAAGCATTCTCAGAAACTTGTTTATGCTGTATCTACTCAACTAACAAAGTTGAACCTTTCTTTTGATAGAGCAGTTTTGAAATGCTCTTTTTGTGGAATCTGCAAGTGGATATTTGGCTAGTTTGGAGGATTTCGTTGGAAGCGGGAATTCATACAAATTGCAGACTGCAGCGTTCTGAGAAACATCTTTGTGATGTTTGTATGCAGGACAGGGAGTTGAACATTCCCTATCATAGAGCAGGTTGGAATCACTCCTTTTTTAGTATCTGGAAGTGGACATTTGGAGCGCTTTCTGGCCTATGTTGAAAAAGGAAATATCTTCCCATAACAACTAGACACAAGCATTCTCAGAAACTTGTTTGTGATGTGTGCCCTCTACTGACAGAGTTGAACCTTTCTTTTCATAGAGCAGTTTTGAAACACTCTTTTTGTAGAATCTGCAAGAGGATATTTGCATAGCTTTGAGGATTTCGTGGGAAACGGGATTGTCTTCAGGTAAAATCTAGACAGAAGCATTCTCAGAAACTTCTTTGGGATGTTTGCATTCAAGTCACAGAGTAGAACATTCCCTTTGGTAGAGCAGGTTTGAAACACTCTTTTTGTAGTATCTGGAAGTGGACATTTGGAGCGCTTTCAGGCCTATGTTGGAAAGGGAAATATCTTCCCGTAACAACTAGGCAGAAGCATTCTCAGAAACTTATTTGAGATGTGTGTACTCAACTAAGAGAATTGAACCACCGTTTTGAAGGAGGAGTTTTGAAACACTCTTTTTCTGGAATCTGCAAGAGGATATTTGCCTAGCCTTGAGGATTTCGTTGGAAACGGGATTGTCTTCAGATCAAATCTAGACAGAAGCATTCTCAGAAACTTCTTTGGGATGTTTGCATTCAAGTCACAGAGTAGAACATTCCCTTTGGTAGAGCAGGTTTGAAACACTCTTTTTTTAGTATATGGAAGTGGACATTTTGATCGCTTTCAGGCCTACGTTGGAAAAGGAAATATCTTCCCATAACAACTAGACAGAAGCATTCTCAGAAACTAGTTTCTGATGTGTGTCCTCAACTAAAACAGTTGTACATTTCTTTACACAGAACAGTTTTGAAACACTCTTTTTGTGGAATCTGCAAGTGGATATTGGGGTAGATTTGAGGATTTCGTTGGAAACGGGATTACATATAAAAAGCAGACAGCAGCATTCTCAGAAAGTTCTTTGTGATGATTGCATTCAAGTCACAGAATTGAACATTCCCTTTCACAGAGCAGGTTTGAAACACTCTTTTTGTAGTGTGTGTAAGTGGACATTTGGAGCACTTTCCGGCCTAAGGTGAAAAAGGAAATATCTTCCCATAAAAACTAGACAGAAGCATTCTCAGAAACTTACTCGTGATGTGTGTCCTCAACTAAAGGAGTAGAACCTTTCTTTTCATAGAGAAGTTTTGAAACGCTCTTTTTGTGGAATCTGCAAGTGGATATTTGGCTAGTTTTGAGGATTTCGTTGGAAGCGGGAATTCATACAAATTGCAGACTGCAGCGTTCTGAGAAACTGCTTTCTGATGTTTGCATTCAAGTCAAAAGTTGAACACTCCCTTTCATAGAGCAGTCTTGAAATACCCCTTTTGTAGTATCTGGAACTGGACTTTTGGAGCGATTTCAGGGCTAAGTTGAAAAAGGAAATATCTTCCCATAAAAACTGGACAGAAGCATTCTCAGAAACTTATTTGAGATGTGTGTACTCAACTAAGAGAATTGAACCACCGTTTTGAAGGAGCAGTTTTGAAACACTCTTTTTCTGGAATCTGCAAGTGGATATTTGGCTAGCTTTGGGGATTTCGCTGGAAGCGGGAATACATATAAAAAGCACACAGCAGCGTTCTGAGCAAACTGCTTTCTGATGTTTGCATTCAAGTCAAAAGTTGAACACTCCCTTTCATAGAGCAGTCTTGAAACACCCCTTTTGTAGTATCTGGAACTGGACTTTTGGAGCGATTTCAGGGCTAAGGTGAAAAAGGAAATATCTTCCCATAAAAACTGGACAGAAGCATTCTCAGAAACTTGTTTATGCTGTATCTACTCAACTAACAAAGTTGAACCTTTCTTTTGATAGAGCAGTTTTGAAATGGTCTTTTTGTGGAATCTGCAAGTGGATATTTGGCTAGTTTTGAGGATTTCGTTGGAAGCGGGAATTCATACAAATTGCAGACTGCAGCGTTCTGAGAATCATCTTTGTGATGTTTGTATTCAGGACACAGAGATGAACATTCCCTATCATAGAGTCAGGTTGGAATCACTCCTTTTGTAGTATCTGGAAGTGGACATTTGGAGCGCTTTCAGTCCTATGTTGAAAAAGGAAATATCTTCCCATAACAACTAGACACAAGCATTCTCAGAAACTTGTTTGTGATGTGTGCCCTCTACTGACAGAGTTGAACCTTTCTTTTCATAGAGCAGTTTTGAAACACTCTTTTTGTAGAATCTGCAAGAGGATATTTGCATAGCTTTGAGGATTTCGTGGGAAATGGGATTGTCTTCAGGTAAAATCTAGACAGAAGCATTCTCAGAAACTTCTTTGGGATGTTTGCATTCAAGTCACAGAGTAGAACATTCCCTTTGGTAGAGCAGGTTTGAAACACTCTTTTTGTAGTATCTGGAAGTGGACATTTGGAGCGCTTTCAGGCCCATGTTGGAAAGGGAAATATCTTCCCGTAACAACTAGGCAGAAGCATTCTCAGAAACTTATTTGAGATGTGTGTACTCAACTAAGAGAATTGAACCACCGTTTTGAAGGAGCAGTTTTGAAACACTCTTTTTCTGGAATCTGCAAGAGGATATTTGCCTAGCTTTGAGGATTTCGTTGGAAACGGGATTGTGTTCAGATCAAATCTAGACAGAAGCATTCTCAGAAACTTCTTTGGGATGTTTGCATTCAAGTCACAGAGTAGAACATTCCCTTTGGTAGAGCAGGTTTGAAACACTCTTTTTTTAGTATATGGAAGTGGACATTTGGATCGCTTTCAGGCCTACGTTGGAAAAGGAAATATCTTCCCATAACAACTAGACAGAAGCATTCTCAGAAACTAGTTTCTGATGTGTGTCCTCAACTAACACAGTTGTACATTTCTTTATACAGAACAGTTTTGAAACACTCTTTTTGTGGAATCTGCAAGTGGATATTGGGCTAGATTTGAGGATTTCGTTGGAAACGGGATTACATATAAAAAGCAGACAGCAGCATTCTCAGAAAGTTCTTTGTGATGATTGCATTCAAGTCACAGAATTGAACATTCCCTTTCACAGAGCAGGTTTGAAACACTCTTTTTGTAGTGTGTGTAAGTGGACATTTGGAGCGCTTTCCGGCCTAAGGTGAAAAAGGACATATCTTCCCATAAAAACTAGACAGAAGCATTCTCAGAAACTTACTCGTGATGTGTGTCCTCAACTAAAGGAGTAGAACCTTTCTATTCAAAGAGAAGTTTTGAAACGCTCTTTTTGTGGAATCTCCAAGTGGATATTTGGCTAGTTTTGAGGATTTCGTTGGAAGCGGGAATTCATACAAATTGCAGACTGCAGCGTTCTGAGAAACATCTTTGTGATGTTTGTATTCAAGACACAGAGATGAACATTCCCTATCATAGAGCAGGTTGGAATCACTCCTTTTGTAGTATCTGGAAGTGGACATTTGGAGCGCTTTCAGGCCTATGTTGAAAAAGGAAATATCTTCCCATAACAACTAGACACAAGCATTCTCAGAAACTTATTTGAGATGTGTGTACTCAACTAAGAGAATTGAACCACCGTTTTGAAGGAGCAGTTTTGAAACTCTCTTTTTCTGGAATCTGCAAGTGGATATTTGGCTAGCTTTGGGGATTTCGCTGGAAGCGGGAATACATATAAAAAGCACACAGCAGCGTTCTGAGAAACTGCTTTCTGATGTTTGCATTCAAGTCAAAAGTTGAACACTCCCTTTCATAGAGCAGTCCTGAAACACTCCTTTTGTAGTATCTGGAACTGGACTTTTGGAGCGCTTTCAGGGCTAAGGTGAAAAAGGAAATATCTTCCCATAAAAACTGGACAGAAGCATTCTCAGAAACTTGTTTATGCTGTATCTACTCAACTAACAAAGTTGAACCTTTCTTTTGATAGAGCAGTTTTGAAATGGTCTTTTTGTGGAATCTGCAAGTGGATATTTGGCTAGTTTTGAGGATTTCGTTGGAAGCGGGAATTCATACAAATTGCAGACTGCAGCGTTCTGAGAAACATCTTTGTGATGTTTGTATTCAGGACACAGAGATGAACATTCCCTATCATAGAGCAGGTTGGAATCACTCCTTTTGTAGTATCTGGGACATTTGGAGCGCTTTCAGGCCTATGTTGAAAAAGGAAATATCTTCCCATAACAACTAGACACAAGCATTTTCAGAAACTTGTTTGTGATGTGTGCCCTCTACTGACAGAGTTGAACCTTTCTTTTCATAGAGCAGTTTTGAAACACTCTTTTTGTAGAATCTGCAAGAGGATATTTGCATAGCTTTGAGGATTTCGTGGGAAACGGGATTGTCTTCAGGTAAAATCTAGACAGAAGCATTCTCAGAAACTTCTTTGGGATGTTTGCATTCAAGTCACAGAGTAGAACATTCCCTTTGGTAGAGCAGGTTTGAAACACTCTTTTTGTAGTATCTGGAAGTGGACATTTGGAGCGCTTTCAGGCCCATGATGGAAAGGGAAATATCTTCCCGTAACAACTAGGCAGAAGCATTCTCAGAAACTTATTTGAGATGTGTGTACTCAACTAAGAGAATTGAACCACCGTTTTGAAGGAGCAGTTTTGAAACCCTCTTTTTCTGGAATCTGCAAGAGTATATTTGCCTAGCCTTGAGGATTTCGTTGGAAACGGGATTGTCTTCAGATAAAATCTAGACAGAAGCATTCTCAGAAACTTCTTTGGGATGTTTGCATTCAAGTCACAGAGTAGAACATTCCCTTTGGTAGAGCAGGTTTGAAACACTCTTTTTTTAGTATATGGAAGTGGACATTTGGAGCGCTTTCAGGCCTACGTTGGAAAAGGAAATATCTTCCCATAACAACTAGACAGAAGCATTCTCAGAAACTAGTTTCTGATGTGTGTCCTCAACTAACACAGTTGAACATTTCTTTAGACAGAACAGTTTTGAAACTCTCTTTTTGTGGAATCTGCAAGTGGCTATTTGGCTAGATTTGAGGATTTCGTTGGAAACGGGATTACATATAAAAAGCAGACAGCAGCATTCTCAGAACGTTCTTTGTGATGATTGCATTCAAGTCACAGAATTGAACATTCCCTTTCACAGAGCAGGTTTGAAACACTCTTTTTGTAGTGTGTGTAAGTGGACATTTGGAGCACTTTCCGGCCTAAGGTGAAAAAGGAAATATCTTCCCATAAAAACTAGACAGAAGCATTCTCAGAAACTTACTCGTGATGTGTGTCCTCAACTAAAGGAGTAGAACCTTTCTTTTCATAGAGAAGTTTTGAAACGCTCTTTTTGTGGAATCTGCAAGTGGATATTTGGCTAGTTTGGAGGATTTCGTTGGAAGCGGGAATTCATACAAATTGCAGACTGCAGCATTCTCAGAAACTTATTTGAGATGTGTGTACTCAACTAAGAGAATTGAACCACCGTTTTGAAGGAGCAGTTTTGAAACACTCTTTTTCTGGAATCTGCAAGTGGATATTTGGCTAGCTTTGGGGATTTCGCTGGAAGCGGGAATACATATAAAAAGCACACAGCAGCGTTCTGAGAAACTGCTTTCTGATGTTTGCATTCAAGTCAAAAGTTGAACACTCCCTTTCATAGAGCAGTCCTGAAACACTCCTTTTGTAGTATCTGGAACTGGACTTTTGGAGCGCTTTCAGGGCTAAGGTGAAAAAGGAAATATCTTCCCATAAAAACTGGACAGAAGCATTCTCAGAAACTTACTCGTATTGTGTGTCCTCAACTAAAGGAGTAGAACCTTTCTTTTCATAGAGAAGTTTTGAAACGCTCTTTTTGTGGAATCTGCAAGTGGATATTTGGCTAGTTTTGAGGATTTCGTTGGAAGCGGGAATTCATACAAATTGCAGACTGCAGCGTTCTGAGAAACTGCTTTCTGATGTTTGCATTCAAGTCAAAAGTTGAACACTCCCTTTCATAGAGCAGTCCTGAAACACCCCTTTTGTAGTATCTGGAACTGGACTTTTGGAGCGATTTCAGGGCTAAGGTGAAAAAGGAAATATCTTCCCATAAAAACTGGACAGAAGCATTCTCAGAAACTTGTTTATGCTGTATCTACTCAACTAACAAAGTTGAACCTTTCTTTTGATAGAGCAGTTTTGAAATGCTCTTTTTGTGGAATCTGCAAGTGGATATTTGGCTAGTTTTGAGGATTTCGTTGGAAGCGGGAATTCATACAAATTGCAGACTGCAGCGTTCTGAGAAACATCTTTGTGATGTTTGTATTCAGGACAGAGAGTTGAACATTCCCTATCATAGAGCAGGTTGGAATCACTCCTTTTGTAGTATCTGGAAGTGGACATTTGGAGCGCTTTCAGGCCTATGTTGAAAAAGGAAATATCTTCCCATAACAACTAGACACAAGCATTCTCAGAAACTTGTTTGTGATGTGTGCCCTCTACTGACAGAGTTGAACCTTTCTTTTCATAGAGCAGTTTTGAAACACTCTTTTTGTAGAATCTGCAAGAGGATATTTGCATAGCTTTGAGGATTTCGTGGGAAACGGGATTGTCTTCAGGTAAAATCTAGACAGAAGCATTCTCAGAAACTTCTTTGGGATGTTTGCATTCAAGTCACAGAGCAGAACATTCCCTTTGGTAGAGCAGGTTTGAAACACTCTTTTTGTAGTATCTGGAAGTGGACATTTGGAGCGCTTTCAGGCCTATGTTGGAAAGGGAAATATCTTCCCGTAACAACTAGGCAGAAGCATTCTCAGAAACTTATTTGAGATGTGTGTACTCAACTAAGAGAATTGAACCACCGTTTTGAAGGAGCAGTTTTGAAACACTCTTTTTCTGGAATCTGCAAGAGGATATTTGCCTAGCCTTGAGGATTTCGTTGGAAACGGGATTGTCTTCAGATCAAATCTAGACAGAAGCATTCTCAGAAACTTCTTTGGGATGCTTGCATTCCAGTCACAGAGTAGAACATTCCCTTTGGTAGAGCAGGTTTGAAACACTCTTTTTTTAGTATCTGGAAGTGGACATTTGGAGCGCTTTCAGGCCTACGTTGGAAAAGGAAATATCTTCCCATAACAACTAGACAGAAGCATTCTCAGAAACTAGTTTCTGATGTGTGTCCTCAACTAACACAGTTGAACATTTCTTTAGACAGAACAGTTTTGAAACTCTCTTTTTGTGGAATCTGCAAGTGGCTATTAGGCTAGATTTGAGGATTTCGTTGGAAACGGGATTACATATAAAAAGCAGACACCAGCATTCTCAGAAAGTTCTTTGTGATGATTGCATTCAAGTCACAGAATTGAACATTCCCTTTCACAGAGCAGGTTTGAAACACTCTTTTTGTAGTGTGTGTAAGTGGACATTTGGAGCACTTTCCGGCCTAAGGTGAGAAAGGAAATATCTTCCCATAAAAACTAGACAGAAGCATTCTCAGAAACTTACTCGTGATGTGTGTCCTCAACTAAAGGAGTAGAACCTTTCTTTCATAGAGAAGTTTTGAAACGCTCTTTTTGTGGAATCTGCAAGTGGATATTTGGCTAGTTTGGAGGATTTCGTTGGAAGCGGGAATTCATACAAATTGCAGACTGCAGCATTCTCAGAAACTTATTTGAGATGTGTGTACTCAACTAAGAGAATTGAACCACCGTTTTGAAGGAGCAGTTTTGAAACACTCTTTTTCTGGAATCTGCAAGTGGATATTTGGCTAGCTTTGGGGATTTCGCTGGAAGCGGGAATACATATAAAAAGCACACAGCAGCGTTCTGAGAAACTGCTTTCTGATGTTTGCATTCAAGTCAAAAGTTGAACACTCCCTTTCATAGAGCAGTCTTGAAACACCCCTTTTGTAGTATCTGGAACTGGACTTTTGGAGCGATTTCAGGGCTAAGGTGAAAAAGGAAATATCTTCCCATAAAAACTGGACAGAAGCATTCTCAGAAACTTGTTTATGCTGTATCTACTCAACTAACAAAGTTGAACCTTTCTTTTGATAGAGCAGTTTTGAAATGGTCTTTTTGTGGAATCTGCAAGTGGATATTTGGCTAGTTTTTAGGATTTCGTTGGAAGCGGGAATTCATACAAATTGCAGACTGCAGCGTTCTGAGAAACATCTTTGTGATGTTTGTATTCAGGACAGAGAGTTGAACATTCCCTATCATAGAGCAGGTTGGAATCACTCCTTTTGTAGTATCTGGAAGTGGACATTTGGAGCGCTTTCAGGCCTATGTTGAAAAAGGAAATATCTTCCCATAACAACTAGACACAAGCATTCTCAGAAACTTGTTTGTGATGTGTGCCCTCTAGTGACAGAGTTGAACCTTTCTTTTCATAGAGCAGTTTTGAAACACTCTTTTTGTAGAATCAGCAAGAGGATATTTGCATAGCTTTGAGGATTTCGTGGGAAACGGGATTGTCTTCAGGTAAAATCTAGACAGAAGCATTCTCAGAAACTTCTTTGGGATGTTTGCATTCAAGTCACAGAGCAGAACATTCCCTTTGGTAGAGCAGGTTTGAAACACTCTTTTTGTAGTATCTGGAAGTGGACATTTGGAGCGCTTTCAGGCCTATGTTGGAAAGGGAAATATCTTCCCGTAACAACTAGGCAGAAGCATTCTCAGAAACTTATTTGAGATGTGTGTACTCAACTAAGAGAATTGAACCACCGTTTTGAAGGAGCAGTTTTGAAACACTCTTTTTCTGGAATCTGCAAGAGTATATTTGCCTAGCCTTGAGGATTTCGTTGGAAACGGGATTGTCTTCAGATCAAATCTAGACAGAAGCATTCTCAGAAACTTCTTTGGGATGTTTGCATTCAAGTCACAGAGTAGAACATTCCCTTTGGTAGAGCAGGTTTGAAACACTCTTTTTTTAGTATATGGAAGTGGACATTTGGAGCGCTTTCAGGCCTACGTTGGAAAAGGAAATATCTTCCCATAACAACTAGACAGAAGCATTCTCAGAAACTAGTTTCTGATGTGTGTCCTCAACTAACACAGTTGAACATTTCTTTAGACAGAACAGTTTTGAAACACTGTTTTTGTGGAATCTGCAAGTGGCTATTTGGCTAGATTTGAGGATTTCGTTGGAAACGGGATTACATATAAAAAGCAGACAGCAGCATTCTCAGAAAGTTCTTTGTGATGATTGCATTCAAGTCACAGAATTGAACATTCCCTTTCACAGAGCAGGTTTGAAACACTCTTTTTGTAGTGTGTGTAAGTGGACATTTGGAGCACTTTCCGGCCTAAGGTGAAAAAGGAAATATCTTCCCATAAAAACTAGACAGAAGCATTCTCAGAAACTTACTCGTGATGTGTGTCCTCAACTAAAGGAGTAGAACCTTTCTTTTCATAGAGAAGTTTTGAAACGCTCTTTTTGTGGAATCTGCAAGTGGATATTTGGCTAGTTTTGAGGATTTCGTTGGAAGCGGGAATTCATACAAATTGCAGACTGCAGCGTTCTGAGAAACTGCTTTCTGATGTTTGCATTCAAGTCAAAAGTTGAACACTCCCTTTCATAGAGCAGTCCTGAAACACTCCTTTTGTAGTATCTGGAACTGGACTTTTGGAGCGCTTTCAGGGCTAAGGTGAAAAAGGAAATATCTTCCCATAAAAACTGGACAGAAGCATTCTCAGAAACTTGTTTATGCTGTATCTACTCAACTAACAAAGTTGAACCTTTCTTTTGATAGAGCAGTTTTGAAATGCTCTTTTTGTGGAATCTGCAAGTGGATATTTGGCTAGTTTTGAGGATTTCATTGGAAGCGGGAATTCATACAAATTGCAGACTGCAGCGTTCTGAGAAACATCTTTGTGATGTTTGTATTCAGGACAGAGAGTTGAACATTCCCTATCATAGAGCAGGTTGGAATCACTCCTTTTGTAGTATCTGGAAGTGGACATTTGGAGCGCTTTCAGGCCTATGTTGAAAAAGGAAATATCTTCCCATAACAACTAGACACAAGCATTCTCAGAAACTTGTTTGTGATGTGTGCCCTCTACTGACAGAGTTGAACCTTTCTTTTCATAGAGCAGTTTTGAAACACTCTTTTTGTAGAATCTGCAAGAGGATATTTGCATAGCTTTGAGGATTTCGTGGGAAACGGGATTGTCTTCAGGTAAAATCTAGACAGAAGCATTCTCAGAAACTTCTTTGGGATGTTTGCATTCAAGTCACAGAGTAGAACATTCCCTTTGGTAGAGCAGGTTTGAAACACTCTTTTTGTAGTATCTGGAAGTGGACATTTGGAGCGCTTTTCAGGCCTATGTTGGAAAGGGAAATATCTTCCCGTAACAACTAGGCAGAAGCACTCTCAGAAACTTATTTGAGATGTGTGTACTCAACTAAGAGAATTGAACCACCGTTTTGAAGGAGCAGTTTTGAAACACTCTTTTTCTGGAATCTGCAAGAGGATATTTGCCTAGCCTTGAGGATTTCGTTGGAAACGGGATTGTCTTCAGATCAAATCTAGACAGAAGCATTCTCAGAAACTTCTTTGGGATGTTTGCATTCAAGTCACAGAGTAGAACATTCCCTTTGGTAGAGCAGGTTTGAAACACTCTTTTTTTAGTATATGGAAGTGGACATTTGGAGCGCTTTCAGGCCTACGTTGGAAAAGGAAATATCTTCCCATAACAACTAGACAGAAGCATTCTCAGAAACTAGTTTCTGATGTGTGTCCTCAACTAACACAGTTGAACATTTCTTTAGACAGAACAGTTTTGAAACACTCTTTTTGTGGAATCTGCAAGTGGCTATTTGGCTAGATTTGAGGATTTCGTTGGAAACGGGATTACATATAAAAAGCAGACAGCAGCATTCTCAGAAAGTTCTTTGTGATGATTGCATTCAAGTCACAGAATTGAACATTCCCTTTCACAGAGCAGGTTTGAAACACTCTTTTTGTAGTGTGTGTAAGTGGACATTTGGAGCACTTACCGGCCTAAGGTGAAAAAGGAAATATCTTCCCATAAAAACTAGACAGAAGCATTCTCAGAAACTTACTCGTGATGTGTGTCCTCAACTAAAGGAGTAGAACCTTTCTTTTCATAGAGAAGTTTTGAAACGCTCTTTTTGTGGAATCTGCAAGTGGATATTTGGCTAGTTTGGAGGATTTCGTTGGAAGCGGGAATTCATACAAATTGCAGACTGCAGCGTTCTGAGAAACTGCTTTCTGATGTTTGCATTCAAGTCAAAAGTTGAACACTCCCTTTCATAGAGCAGTCCTGAAACACTCCTTTTGTAGTATCTGGAACTGGACTTTTGGAGCGCTTTCAGGGCTAAGGTGAAAAAGGAAATATCTTCCCATAAAAACTGGACAGAAGCATTCTCAGAAACTTGTTTATGCTGTATCTACTCTACTAACAAAGTTGAACCTTTCTTTTGATAGAGCAGTTTTGAAATGCTCTTTTTGTGGAATCTGCAAGTGGATATTTGGCTAGATTTGAGGATTTCGTTGGAAGCTGGAATTCATACAAATTGCAGACTGCAGCGTTCTGAGAAACATCTTTGTGATGTTTGTATTCAGGACAGAGAGTTGAACATTCCCTATCATAGAGCAGGTTGGAATCACTCCTTTTGTAGTATCTGGAAGTGGACATTTGGAGCGCTTTCAGGCCTATGTTGAAAAAGGAAATATCTTCCCATAACAACTAGACACAAGCATTCTCAGAAACTTGTTTGTGATGTGTGCCCTCTACTGACAGAGTTGAACCTTTCTTTTCATAGAGCAGTTTTGAAACACTCTTTTTGTAGAATCTGCAAGAGGATATTTGCATAGCTTTGAGGATTTCGTGGGAAACGGGATTGTCTCAGGAAAAATCTAGACAGAAGCATTCTCAGAAACTTCTTTGGGATGTTTGCATTCAAGTCACAGAGTAGAACATTCCCTTTGGTAGAGCAGGTTTGAAACACTCTTTATGTAGTATCTGGAAGTGGACATTTGGAGCGCTTTCAGGCCTATGTTGGAAAGGGAAATATCTTCCCGTAACAACTAGGCAGAAGCATTCTCAGAAACTTATTTGAGATGTGTGTACTCAAGTAAGAGAATTGAACCACCGTTTTGAAGGAGCAGTTTTGAAACACTCTTTTTCTGGAATCTGCAAGAGGATATTTGCCTAGCCTTGATGATTTCGTTGGAAACGGGATTGTCTTCAGATCAAATCTAGACAGAAGCATTCTCAGAAACTTCTTTGGGATGTTTGTATTCAAGTCACAGAGCAGAACATTCCCTTTGGTAGAGCAGGTTTGAAACACTCTTTTTGTAGTATCTGGAAGTGGACATTTGGAGCGCTTTCAGGCCTACGTTGGAAAAGGAAATATCTTCCCATAACAACTAGACAGAAGCATTCTCAGAAACTAGTTTCTGATGTGTGTCCTCAACTAACACAGTTGAACATTTCTTTAGACAGAACAGTTTTGAAACACTCTTTTTGTGGAATCTGCAAGTGGCTATTTGGCTAGATTTGAGGATTTCGTTGGAAACGGGATTACATATAAAAAGCAGACAGCAGCATTCTCAGAAAGTTCTTTGTGATGATTGCATTCAAGTCACAGAATTGAACATTCCCTTTCACAGAGCAGGTTTGAAACACTCTTTTTATAGTGTGTGTAAGTGGACATTTGGAGCACTTTCCGGCCTAAGGTGAAAAAGGAAATATCTTCCCATAAAAACTAGACAGAAGCATTCTCAGAAACTTACTCGTGATGTGTGTACTCAAGTAAAGGAGTAGAAACTTTCTTTTCATAGAGAAGTTTTGAAACGCTCTTTTTGTGGAATCTGCAAGTGGATATTTGGCTAGTTTTGAGGATTTCGTTGGAAGCGGGAATTCATACAAATTGCAGACTGCAGCGTTCTGAGAAACATCTTTGTGATGTTTGTATTCAGGACACAGAGTTGAACGTTCCCTATCATAGAGCAGGTTGGAATCACTCCTTTTGTAGTATCTGGAAGTGGACATTTGGAGCGCTTTCAGGCCTATGTTGGAAAAGGAAATATCTTCCCATAACAAATAGACAGAAGCATTCTCAGAAACTTATTTGAGATGTGTGTACTCAACTAAGAGAATTGAACCACCGTTTTGAAGGAGCAGTTTTGAAACACTCTTTTTCTGGAATCTGCAAGTGGATATTTGGCTAGCTTTGGGGATTTCGCTGGAAGCGGGAATACATATAAAAAGCACACAGCAGCGTTCTGAGAAACTGCTTTCTGATGTTTGCATTCAAGTCAAAAGTTGAACACTCCCTTTCATAGAGCAGTCCTGAAACACCCCTTTTGTAGTATCTGGAACTGGACTTTTGGAGCGATTTCAGGGCTAAGGTGAAAAAGGAAATATCTTCCCATAAAAACTGGACAGAAGCATTCTCAGAAACTTGTTTATGCTGTATCTACTCAACTAACAAAGTTGAACCTTTCTTTTGATAGAGCAGTTTTGAAATGATCTTTTTGTGGAATCTGCAAGTGGATATTTGGCTAGTTTTGAGGATTTCGTTGGAAGCGGGGATTCATACAAATTGCAGACTGCAGCGTTCTGAGAAACATCTTTGTGATGTTTGTATTCAGGACACAGAGTTGAACATTCCCTATCATAGAGCAGGTTGGAATCACTCCTTTTGTAGTATCTGGAAGTGGACATTTGGAGCGCTTTCAGGCCTATTTTGGAAAGGGAAATATCTTCCCGTAACAACTATGCAGAAGCATTCTCAGAAACTTGTTTGTGATGTGTGCCCTCTACTGACAGAGTTGAACCTTTCTTTTCATAGAGCAGTTTTGAAACACTCTTTTTGTAGAATCTGCAAGAGGATATTTGCATAGCTTTGAGGATTTCGTGGGAAACGGGATTGTCTTCAGGTAAAATCTAGACAGAAGCATTCTCAGAAAATTCCTCGGGATGTTTGCATTCAAGTCACAGAGTAGAACATTCCCTTTGTTAGAGCAGGTTTGAAACACTCTTTTTGTAGTATCTGGAAGTGGACATTTGGAGCGCTTTCAGGCCTATGTTGGAAAGGGAAATATCTTCCCGTAACAACTAGGCAGAAGCATTCTCAGAAACTTATTTGAGATGTGTGTACTCAACTAAGAGAATTGAACCACCGTTTTGAAGGAGCAGTTTTGAAACACTCTTTTTCTGGAATCTGCAAGAGGATATTTGCCTAGCTTTGAGGATTTCGTTGGAAACGGGATTGTGTTCAGATCAAATCTAGACAGAAGCATTCTCAGAAACTTCTTTGGGATGTTTGCATTCAAGTCACAGAGTAGAACATTCCCTTTGGTAGAGCAGGTTTGAAACACTCTTTTTTTAGTATATGGAAGTGGACATTTGGAGCGCTTTCAGGCCTACGTTGGAAAAGGAAATATCTTCCCATAACAACTAGACAGAAGCATTCTCAGAAACTAGTTTCTGATGTGTGTCCTCAACTAACACAGTTGAACATTTCTTTAGACAGAACAGTTTTGAAACACTCTTTTTGTGGAATCTGCAAGTGGCTATTTGGCTAGATTTGAGGATTTCGTTGGAAACGGGATTACATATAAAAAGCAGTCAGCAGCATTCTCAGAAAGTTCTTTGTGATGATTGCATTCAAGTCACAGAATTGAACATTCCCTTTCACAGAGCAGGTTTGAAACACTCTTTTTGTAGTGTGTGTAAGTGGACATTTGGAGCACTTACCGGCCTAAGGTGAAAAAGGAAATATCTTCCCATAAAAACTAGACAGAAGCATTCTCAGAAACTTACTCGTGATGTGTGTCCTCAACTAAAGGAGTAGAACCTTTCTATTCATAGAGAAGGTTTGAAACGCTCTTTTTGTGGAATCTCCAAGTGGATATTTGGCTAGTTTTGAGGATTTCGTTGGATGCGGGAATTCATACAAATTGCAGACTGCAGCGTTCTGAGAAACTGCTTTCTGATGTTTGCATTCAAGTCAAAAGTTGAACACTCCCTTTCATAGAGCAGTCTTGAAACACCCCTTTTGTAGTATCTGGAACTGGACTTTTGGAGCGATTTCAGGGCTAAGGTGAAAAAGGAAATATCTTCCCATAAAAACTGGACAGAAGCATTCTCAGAAACTTGTTTATGCTGTATCTACTCAACTAACAAAGTTGAACCTTTCTTTTGATAGAGCAGTTTTGAAATGCTCTTTTTGTGGAATCTGCAAGTGGATATTTGGCTAGTTTTGAGGATTTCGTTGGAAGCGGGAATTCATACAAATTGCAGACTGCAGCGTTCTGAGAAACATCTTTGTGATGTTTGTATTCAGGACACAGAGTTGAACATTCCCTATCATAGAGCAGGTTTGAATCACTCCTTTTGTAGTATCTGGAAGTGGACATTTGGAGCGCTTTCAGGCCTATGTTGGAAAAGGAAATATCTTCCCATAACAACTAGACAGAAGCATTCCCAGAAACTTATTTGAGATGTGTGTACTCAACTATGAGAATTGAACCACCGTTTTGAAGGAGCAGTTTGGAAACACTCTTTTTCTGGAATCTGCAAGTGGATATTTGGCTAGCTTTGGGGATTTCGCTGTAAGCGGGAATACATATAAAAAGCACACAGCAGCGTTCTGAGAAACTGCTTTCTGATGTTTGCATTCAAGTCAAAAGTTGAACACTCCCTTTCATAGAGCAGTCTTGAAACACCCCTTTTGTAGTATCTGGAACTGGAAATTTGGAGCGCCTTCAGGGCTAAGGTGAAAAAGGAAATATCTTGCCATAAAAACTGGACAGAAGCATTCTCAGAAACTTATTTGAGATGTGTGTACTCAACTAAGAGAATTGAACCACCGTTTTGAAGGAGCAGTTTTGAAACTCTCTTTTTCTGGAATCTGCAAGTGGATATTTGGCTAGCTTTGGGGATTTCGCTGGAAGCGGGAATACATATAAAAAGCACACAGCAGCGTTCTGAGAAACTGCTTTCTGATGTTTGCATTCAAGTCAAAAGTTGAACACTCCCTTTCATAGAGCAGTCTTGAAACACCCCTTTTGTAGTATCTGGAACTGGACTTTTGGAGCGATTTCAGGGCTAAGGTGAAAAAGGAAATATCTTCCCATAAAAACTGGACAGAAGCATTCTCAGAAACTTGGTTATGCTGTATCTACTCAACTAACAAAGTTGAACCTTTCTTTTGATAGAGCAGTTTTGAAATGGTCTTTTTGTGGAATCTGCAAGTGGATATTTGGCTAGTTTTGAGGATTTCGTTGGAAGCGGGAATTCATACAAATTGCAGACTGCAGCGTTCTGAGAAACATCTTTGTGATGTTTGTATTCAGGACAGAGAGTTGAACATTCCCTATCATAGAGCAGGTTGGAATCACTCCTTTTGTAGTATCTGGAAGTGGACATTTGGAGCGCTTTCAGGCCTATGTTGAAAAAGGAAATATCTTCCCATAACAACTAGACACAAGCATTCTCAGAAACTTGTTTGTGATGTGTGCCCTCTACTGACAGAGTTGAACCTTTCTTTTCATAGAGCAGTTTTGAAACACTCTTTTTGTAGAATCTGCAAGAGGATATTTGCATAGCTTTGAGGATTTCGTGGGAAACGGGATTGTCTTAAGGTAAAATCTAGACAGAAGCATTCTCAGAAACTTCTTTGGGATGTTTGCATTCAAGTCACAGAGTAGAACATTCCCTTTGGTAGAGCAGGTTTGAAACACTCTTTTTATAGTATCTGGAAGTGGACATTTGGAGCGCTTTCAGGCCTATGTTGGAAAGGGAAATATCTTCCCGTAACAACTAGGCAGAAGCATTCTCAGAAACTTATTGGAGATGTGTGTACTCAACTAAGAGAATTGAACCACCGTTTTGAAGGAGCAGTTTTGAAACACTCTTTTTCTGGAATCTGCAAGAGGATATTTGCCTAGCTTTGAGGATTTCGTTGGAAACGGGATTGTC